>NC_000010.11:132643798-132992687 GCF_000001405.40 Homo sapiens | reverse complement strand
GGAGGTGGGAGGACCCGCGAGGATGCGAACACAGAGAGACCCCACAGAGCCAGACCCTGCTCCGGGAGGACAGAGGAGCCAGCATGAAACCCCAGACTCGGGGCTGAGGGGGTGGCAGCCCTGGGGACCCTGGATGCCAGGGGTCATGGGAAGGCTGCCTGGTGAGCAATGTCCATGCCCCGGCCCAGGGACCCAGGATTGCACACTTGGCAGCGCTCGCACTTGGCTCCCGGGCTGAGGAGTCCAGTGAGCTGCTCCCAGCTTCTGCCAGCAGCCCCTCTGCATCCCACCAGCACCCCTGCACCCACCACCTCCTCCTCTGCACCCCGCCCCCTCCCCCCGCCCCCGCTGCTGCCTCCTCTGCCTCCCGCCAGCCTGAGCCCTGGGGACCGACTGACACCACAGCCCAGGCTGAGGCTGGAACCTGGGACAGTCAGGGCGCCGTCCACCCTCTGTCCTCGAGGCTCCCTCTGTCCTCGAGGCTCACAGGCAGGACACCTAAACTACAGCCTGAGTGAAGGACGCTGGGACAAGGCCACCGTGGCTGCCCCTTTTGCAGGAATGTCCAGTGGCCTCCATTGCTTGGGGGATGGAATTTAGGTACCAGGGAAAAGTGGTCTTTGATTGGGTGACCCCCAGGCCCCCTACCTCTGTCTCTTTGTCAACTGACATGAATCCCTCCCCATCTCCTACTGTGAGCAGGGCCCAGCAGCCACAGGGTGGGAGGCCTGCTAGGACTCAGCTGCTCTGCTGACTGCCTGTGACCTTGCCTGGCTTCTCGCTCAGACGCTCACTGAGGAAACAGGTGCCCAGGTGCAGACCACACAACCTGCCGTGATTAAAGAGACAAGGTCTGCTGGCCCCGGGTGGACTCCACCCAGGTCGGACGCGAGGGGCTCCAGGCACTGGGGGGCCATTGGCGCCTGTGTTTCCTTTAATCATAAATCATTCCACTTTCGAGCAGAGAATATGAGTCCCCCCAGCACACACACATTTCCTGCATATTCTTTCTTTGGATCTGTATTTGGGCCTGGGTCAGAGTGGAAATGCCCCATGCAGGAAGGTTTCCTTGGCGATTACGGTCCCTCGTGGCACTGGTCAGTGTGGCTGGCTGTCCAGCCTGGTCAGTCCTGGGGCCACAGCAAGTTCAAGGGCTGGAGGAGCTGCCCTGAGGCCCAGGCCTCACCCCCCTCATTCATCAGAGGCTGAGGGGGCACCAACTTGCTGCCAGGCCTGCTCCAGAGGAGGCCCACGGGGAGCAGCCTGGACGGTTCCCTTCACTGTCACTGCAGCATGAAACAGAAACAAGAGGTGAGAGTGAGGGAGGCCGCCGAGAGCATGGGTGGGGAGGCTGCAGAGCCAAGAGCACCCCCAGGGAGGTGGGCGCCAGGAATCCAGGGGCAGGAGGGCCCCAGCAACTGTGACGGGGGTGCCAGCCGGGGGTGTGTAGCTTCCATGACAGGGAGCCTGGTGTGGGCCTCAGGCCTCATGGGAATGGAGCCCCCTCCTTTGACACCCCATCTGATTGTTAAGGGCTTCATTAGCATTAAAAAGTAATGTAAAAAGTTCTTACACAAATCATGGGGAATTGGATGTAACGGGGTAAAGATGCTTTTGGAAACATGTTTATCCGACAGTGAAACCACTGGGCACAGTGCCCAGTGCTGAGCGCTCCATCTGCCCGGGAAACACACGGGTGTGGGTCTCCTCCATCCACTGAGGCAAAGCACCCCATGTCCTCTTCGAACGAGGGATGGAGCCCGAGGGACTGGCGGGACCTGTCACACATGTGGCCACATGCACGTGGGGTCTCGGGACTGGCGGGAGCCGTCACACACTCAGGGTCTCGGGGCTGGCGGGACCCGTCACACACTCAGGGTCTTGGGGCTGGCGGGACCCGTCTCACACTCAGGGTCTCGGGGCTGGCGGGACCCGTCTCACACTCAGGGTCTCGGGGCTGGCGGGACCCGTCTCACACTCAGGGTCTTGGGAGAGGAGGGCGAGAAGGGCAGGATGTACGTGGTGGAAAATGCCTGTTTAGCAAAGGAAGGTGCCTCCCATCAATGAGCTCAGCTCTCACTGTAGGAAAGTGGGGAAAAAAGAGCAAATTAAATCCAGAGCAAGCAGAAAGAAAGTGAATAACAGAGATCAGAGCAAAAATCAGTGACACAGAAAACAGAAAAACAACAGAGAAAACGGATGAAGCCGAAATCTGGCTCTTTGAGAATATCAATACAACGGATAAATCTCCAGCTGCAATGAGCAGAAGAAAAGGAGGGAACACAAAATAACAATATCAAGAATGAGAAAGTTATTTACAATAAAAGAAAATATTGGTCAATCAGCCTTTATCGCAGTTAAAAATGTTTGCCCTTCGAAAGGTGCGGTTAAGAGAATGAACAAGCAAGCACCTGAGCAGGTGAAACTGTCTGCGATGCCCGGATCTGGGAAGGGACTTGTATCTAGAATAGACGAGGAACTCGTCGCCCAGAAATAAGACAACGAACAACCTGATACAAATACACACCCCCGGTTCCAGCAGACACTTCATTCAGCAAAGAACACACGCAAACAACCAGCAAGTACGCGAAGAGACAGTTCACACCGTTAATCCACGTGGAAACGCACATTAAATCGCGGTGCACCTAATGGAATGGCCAAAATTAAAAACACAAACGCCGACCGGGCTAGGGCTGCTGAGGGCGGGAGGTACCGGAACACGCGTGCTCTGCTGGCGGGAATGTCAAGTGGAGCAGTTGCTTGGAGAACAACTTGGCAGCTTCCTGGGCAGTTAGACGGCGTGTGTCACCTACAACCCACCCATCCCACTTCCCGTTGCTTCTCCAAGAAAAATAAGAATGTGTTCCTACCTGCACTTATGCAAAAATATGGGTAGCAGCTTACAGGTCGTGGTGAAGATGCAATGTAGCTCGCATGTCCCTCAGCAGGAGAACGCACCCTCGTGGTGGCACGTCTGTGCAGAGGGCACGGCGCTTCGAAGGAACAGATCCACCCACGACACACACCGAGCACCACGGTGGCTCCCGAGAGCCGAGTGGAGGAGCCACAGCCCAGATCCCATGTGTGGGCCACGTCCACAAAGTCCTACACAAGACAAGGCCCACCTGCCTGGCGGAATAGACCCAGGGCTGCGGGGGGCTGACAGCGCACAGGCTTAGCACCCAGGGGCCTGAGAAAACTTTTGGTGTGAAGAAAATAGTTGTATCCCGATTGTGGGGTGAGAGTGGTGAGGGCACCCACCAAAACACATCAACCGCCCCTCAAACGTGTGCATTTCATTTCTGGAAAGTGTGCCTCGGTGTGGTGGATTAAACGAACGAATATTTGCTATGAACCAGATCTTCAAAGCACCCGGCACCCACTGTTGCCCCACACACTGTCTTTCTTCCCAAGATAAGAATTCCCATTCTCCCGCCACCAGCTCCACACCAGGGCACAGAGAGGGGAACAGCAGCTCCCCAACAAACTGGCCTCAGGCCCCTCCCAGTAAGGTCAGCACCCCCCCCACCGGGCCTCGGGCCCCTCCCAGTAAGGTCAGCACCCCCCCCACCAGGCCTCAGGCCCCTCCCTGTAAGGTCAGCTACCCCCAGGCCTCAGGCCCCTCCCTGTAAGGTCAGCTACCCCCAGGCCTCAGGCCCCTCCCTGTAAGGTCAGCACCCCCCCCCCCCCCACCGGGCCTCAGGCCCCTCCCTGTAAGGTCAGCTACCCCCAGGCCTCAGGCCCCTCCCTGTAAGGTCAGCTACCCCCAGGCCTCAGGCCCCTCCCTGTAAGGTCAGCTACCCCCAGGCCTCAGGCCCCTCCCTGTAAGGTCAGCTACCCCCAGGCCTCAGGCCCCTCCCTGTAAGGTCAGCTACCCCCAGGCCTCAGGCCCCTCCCTGTAAGGTCAGCTACCCCCAGGCCTCAGGCCCCTCCCTGTAAGGTCAGCTACCCCCAGGCCTCAGGCCCCTCCCTGTAAGGTCAGCTACCCCCAGGCCTCAGGCCCCTCCCTGTAAGGTCAGCTACCCCCAGGCCTCAGGCCCCTCCCTGTAAGGTCAGCTACCCCCAGGCCTCAGGCCCCTCCCTGTAAGGTCAGCACCCCCAGGCCTAAGGTCTCTGCCTGTAAGGTCAGCACCCCCGGGCCTCAGCCCCTCCCTGTAAAGTCAGCCTTGGCCTCAGGCACCCAGCTGCTGGTGGTGCCCCTCGTGCAGCAGGAATCCTGTACCCTGCTCCCCACATTCGGCGCTCATGACGCACAGAATCCGGCAGAAGACAGCCACCCCCTCATGTGGCACCCCCGGCGCAATGGTGCCGAAAGCCAAGGCAGCTCTCAGAGGGTTCGGAGGCGGATTTGCTTCCTGTGACCACACGAGCTTTCTCTCCACAGAATCCTGGTGATAACCAGCAGATTCAAAACCCGGGCACTGCCATCTGGCTCCGTGAGTGGTAATTATGTCACTTGTTTCTTTTTAAACTCCACATGCCTGGCATTCATTCTGTTTCCAAATCTGTTCCCGCGTTCCGTTTTCATCTGGTTCCAGTTAAATGTGCATTTTGTTTATTGAGTATAATTTGGCTGCATAGTTAAAATATATCTTGATGAAGAATGGCCTTTAACGCTGATGTGGATTGCCGGCGATGGATATAGCATCCTCTAACCATACATTTTTTTAAACCCTCTCTGGCTTGTTAAGTTTGAATGATGCTGTGGAACGGAGTCTGGGCCAGGGACTTCCGCTGGAGATGATTCAGCATTGAGGACAAAGCCAAGCACATGAGTGGATGGGGCTTGTGTGCAGCGGGGAGGTGCCCAGGGCCACTGCCTCTCCAGGCCGGAGTTTAAGAGGTGCTGTCTTGGCCGGGCGCAGAGGCTCACAGCTGTAATCCAGCTACTCGGGAGGCTGAGGCAGGAGAACTGCTTGAACCTGGGAGGCAGAGGTTGTAGTGAGCCAAGATCGCAGCACCACTGCACTCCAGCCTGGGCAACAAGAGCGAAACTCCATCTCAAAAAAAAAAAAAAGAAAGAGGTGCTATTCCAAGAGGACTCCAAGGGCCGCTTCTCCCTGAGATGCCTGGTCCTTCCTGCCGGGGGCCTGGATGGTACCAACATATTTCCAGTCTCTCGGAGGGGGCCGACTCCTGCTGCCCCTCATGACGGCCCCAGACACATCCTTGGGACGGGTGTTCTCACCAGCTGAGATTCTCACACATGCTGGAGTCTGAGCACCACTAACCTTCTCCTCCCATGATCTCGAGACTTTACGAACGGATGTCTCCTCAAAGTCCATGAGGAAGACCATAGAGACCACTGACGTGTAAACCTCTTTTCCAGAATTGGCAATGACAATCTGTGTGAGCCACTATCGGGTATAAATTGCCATGTCAGTTGTTTATAAGAACTTATACTTGATAGCACTTTAAAGCTCCTCATTCCAGCTACGGCTCTCACCAGCGTCTGTCACACCCTGACATTCATTCCAGCTACGGCTCTCACCAGTGTTTGTCGTATCCTGACATTCTCGGGTAATTTTCGCAGAATCAGATCACGTGTGCTGAGCCAGACGTGCCGCCTGCAGCAGGCCACGCAGAAGAGTGAAATGAAGATGCGTGGACCCATCAGCTTCAGTTCCCAAAGGACAGCGAGACCACAGAATTCTCAAATCAAGATCTTCAGGCAGGATAGCCCCTGGCCCCAAGAGTTCAACTACACGCATCAGAAACACCTTTGTGAATAAAACACTTTGGGAATGTTCAAAACTCAAGGAGAGAAGACTCTGGAAGCCATGAGTGCCAGTGAAGTCCCTGTGGACTGTGACGTGCCTCCCTTCTCACAGCAAGAGCGTCACCAGCCCAGCCTCCGCCACCCGGGCCCACAGGCAAGACCAGCTTCCACAGAGAGGAACGGGTGCCCGCTGCACCTGCTGGCCTCAGCCAGTGCTCAGGACCCCCCAGCACCAGCATCGGCCACACCCACCCTGCTGGTCTGGTGCCCTGGAGGCCTCCCAGAAAACGGCAAAGGGCTTGTGACCTGTCCCCACCCTCAGGGGAAGGTCCCATCCCTGTCCCTGACCCTCAGGGGAGGGGCCAGGAAATACTCCCTGTGTTTCCTGGGAATGTGCTGAGGCCACATCTTGCTGGGAGAACCCACTGAGTGGGTTTGGAAATGGGACCCCATTGACCTCACACTGAGCTTGGTACTTATAACTGCTCTGTGGAGTCAGGCATCCGGGGAAAGGAGCTCTTGGCACCTGCAGAGCTGCAGCGTCCACACCCTTTGAGCAGGGGCTCCTGGAGAGAGCTCAGTGACGCCTGCCAGGCCTCTCCCCACCACCCACCCAGAGCCGCCCCTTCCTCCAGCTGGGCCCTGCTCTCAAGCTTAGATGATCATGCCACAAACGAGGAAGCCGAGGTCCAAGACCCCCGGGACCTGCCCAAGTAGCCAGCCTTGGACAGGCCAACCCTCCCTCAGGGACACCCTGGCCAGCCATGCTGGGACACAGGCCCCACGGCCAACACCTGCAGCCACTGCTGGGCAGGAAAGCTGGGCTCCCATAGACTGCAGAGTGCAGTCATGCTGAGGACAGCCTAGGGCCCCTTGACCAGCCCCTCCACTCCTACCTGGATCCTCCCTGACTCCCCCTGCACCCCCACCCTGTCTCCTCCCCCACCCCCTGCACCCCCACCTGGACCCTCCCCGAGCCCCCTGAACCCCTACCCTTTCTCTTCCCCAATCACCCTGCACCCCCAACTGGACCCTCCCCGACCCCCTGCACCCCCACCTGGACCCTCCCTGACCCCCCTGCACCCCCACCCTGTCTCCTCCCCGACCCCCTGGACCCCCACCCTGTCTCCTCCCCGACCCCCAGCAGCCCCACCCTGTCTCCTCCCCAACCTCCTGCACCCTCACCTGGACCATTGCTGACCCCCCTGCACCCCCACCTAGACCCTTCCTGACCCCCTGCACCCCCGCTGCTGGGACCCTCTCCACTGCAGCGTCCAGGCCCCTTGAGCCGCCCATGTCCCCATCTGGTCAGGGCTACCCCACATGCTCAGCTGCTCAAAGTGAGGTCTCAGCGTCATCTCAATTCTCTCTGTAAAGACAGCTCCTCCTCTGGTCTCTGTAATTGGATGTCCTAAAGACATTACCCCATCCACAGACGACCGCCACCTGCCTCAGGCCACTGTCATCTCTGGGGGCCCCTGGCACCCCGCCCCGAGGACCCCGAAGAAAGGAGGGGTCAGCCTTCTCCACGCCTGACCTGCTCTGGTCACAACAGCCCTGTGGGTGGCCATGAGCTGTGGACACAGGAGCAGCTTCCAAGGATCTTCCCAGGCAAGGAATGCCTCAGGGGTTTTCTCTAGCAGGGAACTGCAAATCCAGTGACCAAGGCCTGGGCTTTCCAGCCCTGCTCCCAGGACAGCTCATGTCTGTTGAAGTCCAGCCTCCAAAGGCACCACCCTTCCTGCCGAGATGGGACCAGAGCCGGAGCCCTTTTGGAGTGCGTGCCGGGTGGGGCAGGCCTGAGGGTTCCCAGCACCAGCCTGGGTTCGCCATCCAGACCTAGGGCCGGCCCGCCTGGGGCAACCCACCAGCCTGTTTCTGACGTCCTGGGGCCGAGGTGCCTGGTGTGGGGCCGCCAGCCCTCAGCCTGGGCCGTCAGTTCTCAGGATCTGCTGACCCCCACAGGCGGTGAATCTGCCTCACGGGCAGACGGGCAGGTCCTGGGAGCCCTTCTTCAGCCCCTCCCAGCTGCAGCCGAGCCAAGGTCGGGAGGGAAGAACCTCCCTTCAGCACCTGGAACAGCACTCAACTCCTCCCAGACCCAAGACGCCACTTGTTAACAGAGGTGGGACTTCCAGGACACCTGCGGTGGCTCGAGAAGTGACGGTTTGTGTCCAGTCCCGACGTCAGGAGGACAATCCAAGCCCCGTAGACACTAAACGACAGGGAAGCATCTGCAGCCAAAGCTGGGAGCGTCGGAATGCTGACCCGCATCTTTGTGCCTTAAGGAGAGAAATACAGAAACTGCCCAGCCAGCTTCAGGAGCCCAGGAAGACACGACAGGGGAAATCCTAGGGGCTGGCACACCTTTAAGTGCGGTGAATGAAGGCCCTGCAGCCGAGCCCAGCCAGGGCCAGACCTGCAACATGGGAGGAATTTCTACCGCAAAGATGACAACCCCCCCAGGTGCATGGCTTTTATTTTTATCTCCGAAAGCGCTCGGAGAGGAGGCATTTTGAGGATCTCACCTGTGTTCATCTCAGTGATAAGTTTATGAAGATTTTTAATTTTAAAAACCACACAGTCATTGATTTTATAAATAAAAAAACACTCAAGCTCAAGATGCAGTTAAATGAAAAAGCAGCAGCTTCCCTGATCTGACTCATAATTTAGCACGGCTGAGAGTTTCCAAGGGGTCTGGATTCTCACACCAACAGGACGGTTTGTAACAGACGGCCCGACCCCGGGCACTAAACGGGAGGGACGCAGACGAGCTTACGTCGGCCGCACACCCACACGCGCGCAGCAACTCGCACAGACGCCTGAGCCCACGCGGTCACGCGCGACTGACAGAGAGCCTCGTCCGAGAATTAAACTCGGAGCTGCCGTGAGATTCAGCAGCCCCACCCTCAGCTGAAAGCCGGCGTTCACACAAACACACGTGCAGGAACATTCGCATCAGCCAGCAGCGGGGAGCCCCCCAGACACCACCAATGGCGAGGACGCGTGAACAGGACGTGCTCATCCATGCACTGGAGCGACTAGTGACGAGGACAGGGACCCAGAACCCACGCAGGCTACGGCGTGATGAAGCTGGAAGGCATCTCGCTCCGTGGATAAGCCAGACGCGAAAGGCCGTATGTTTTATGATTCCATTTACGTGGAATGTCCAGAATAGGTCAATCCAGAGGCGGCAAGAGATTCCTGGTTGTTGGGGGCTGGAGGGCGGGAGAAGGGGAGCGGTGGTCAGCTCGGGCGACGCCGTGTTCTGAGCTCAGGGGTGATGCTTGCACAGCACTCTACAAGCCCTGCACACCCAGACTCGCACACTTTAAAATGGCTAAAGTGGTGAATTTTACCCCAATAAAAAAGGGGGGGTGACTATGTCCTATCTGCCCCCACCCACCTATTCTCAAGGCCACCCTGAACGACTGTGAGACCAGATGACCCCGAACGACTGTGAGGCCAGTGTGTGTCCATGAAAGGCCTGCCCAGGACGGTGTCATGGACCGGCCGCCTGAGCGAGCTCTAAGCTGGGGTGTCCAGCCAGGCCTGAAGACCCACTGCCCTGAGGGCCGCAGTTACAGGCGGTGCTGGGAGCCGGAGGGTGGGAGGAGGGTTACAGGCGGCGCTGGGAGCCGGAGGGTGGGAGGAGGGTTACAGGCGGCACTGGGAGCCGGAGGGTGGGAGGAGGGTTACAGGCGGCGCTGGGAGCCGGAGGGTGGGAGGAGGGTTACAGGCGGCGCTGGGAGCCGGAGGGTGGGAGGAGGGTTACAGGCGGCGCTGGGAGCCGGAGGGTGGGAGGAGGGTTACAGGCGGCGCTGGGAGCCGGACGGTGGGAGGAGGGTTACAGGCGGCGCTGGGAGCCGGAGGGTGGGAGGAGGGTTACAGGCGGCGCTGGGAGCCGGACGGTGGGAGGAGGGTTACAGGCGGCGCTGGGAGCCGGACGGTGGGAGGAGGGTTACAGGCGGCGCTGGGAGCCGGACGGTGGGAGGAGGGTTACAGGCGGCGCTGGGAGCTGGATGGTGGGAGGAGGGTTACAGGCGGCGCTGGGAGCTGGAGGGTGGGAGGAGGGTTACAGGCGGCGCTGGGAGCTGGAGGGTGGGAGGAGGGGAAGCCCGTCCTTAGAACACGCCACTGCTCCTAGGCTGGAAACTCAGAGGGTCCAGAGGGTCCACCTGACTTCATTTCAATGACGACATCGTGGCTCTCAGCATCACCGCCCTATCTGCACCTCTGCCAACTCCAGCCTGGCTGTGTCGAGCTCACAGGACAGCTGCCTGGAGTCCACTCCATCGAACAACGGGAAGCTGAGGAAAAAGACAAACAGCAGCAGCGCACAGAGGGAAGGCCAGGCCCTCCCAGGTTTCGTGTCTCTTTTAAAAGGTCCACTGTGCACAGACCTACTTCCGCAGGCAACTGGACCATCAGGTCAGGAGGCAGCGTGCACAGAGACCGAAAGCAAAGGCAGGGCCCGGGGCCTCACGTGCCACGGACACGCCGCGCCCATGCTCTAATGACGCGTCTGTCTCTGCGTCCTGCCCGTGGCCAGCCTTGGGGCGCTGGCGTGTTGCTCGTGGGACTGCCCACGTGGGTTTCATTCCAGGCCTGGTGAGGAGGGAGGCGCCTCCTGTCATCAGGAGTTCACAGCCCAGGGCACCCAGCCCCCTATGGTGCCAGCCAGGCCCCCCACAATCCCCACAAAATATAGCAAACGGGGTAGAGACACCCGCCTCTCCCTCCCTTCTCCAGGAGCCAATTGCCATCAAATACATCAGGAACAGTAACAATTTCTTGAAGGTTTGGGAGGAATGAACCTCATTAATCCATGGTCATGATTTATACAAATCACTTCAGCATTTCACAATGAAGCCGTTCAGCCACTGACAGCAGAGTGCGAAAGCCACCCTCGAAGCTGCAGCTCGTCTAGAGGGCCGTTCCGAAACAGAATGACAGAATCAGGTGGGCGGCCTAAGGCAGCCTAAAGCAACATGCTCGCACAACACAGACCCATCGTGGCACCTGACGAGACGTTGTCTCCATCTGAGCGCCGCTTTGACAAAGCCCTGACGGCTGCCACCAGCCAGACGCGCCTCTGTCCTCCAGGCCGAGGGTGAGGATGGGAGATGCTCCGTGGGACTTTCAGGCCTGAAACTGGGCATTCCGGGGCAAACCAGGAGGTGGGCTGCCCTATTCATTAACGCGTAGTTGTGAAAAGCAAATCGTGTATTTCCTGCTTCCACCAGGGCCTCTCCCATGTTCCACCTCGGTTCTAAAATCTCAGTTCAAAGAAATTTTGCTCTAGAAAGTAGCGCACACGCGTTGGTCCAAACCTCTTGTGCTGCTGGTAGGAGGGCAGCCTTGGGTGGGGAGGGCCAGCAGCTCCCACAGGTGGGGACAGGTGGGCAGGGCATGGGCGTCCTGCTGCCCGACTGCCCGCCTTGCCATGCCCCAGCCTGGGGAAGCCCTGGTCCCCGCTGCCCCGAGCGCGGTGGAGAGGATTGCGCAGGCTTCCCACCTTGTTTCTGAGAAGCTCCCACTGGGCTTGTCGGGCGGGGGCACAGCCCCAGATGTGGTCGCTTTTCTCAGGCAGCCCACAGCGGCCCCCTTCACCCCCTGAGCACCCCTGAGCCCCTCCTCTGGGCTCTGATGCGTTTCCCACAGGGGCTGGCAGCAGCAGCTTGGTGGGCAGCAGCTCGGTTTCTGTTCAGAACTGTCCGTCTGCCTAGACTGGCATGGCTCCAGGGTCAGCCGGAAACTGGAGCAAGGGTTGCGGACAGAACATGCTCTCCCACTTCTCTGCTTCCTCCTTTCCCAGATCCTCACACACTCACACACTGGCAGCCCTGGCTGTCCCAGGTATCTTCACCTGTGTTCTCCATACCCAGAGGTGGTGACTTTGTGCCAGCGTCTTACTAACCCCAGGCAGTGCTGCCCTCCTGGCAAAGCCACACACAGAAGCCTCGCCTGGGCCGGGTGCTGCTTCTAGCTCTGACTCTCCCTCCAGAAACTGCCTGTTTCTCCTGCTCTAGAGCCCCGGGCGGTTGACTTTGTATTGTGCCTGGGTCCACGCGTGTTACCCGAGGAGCCTCCATTCGCTGGGCACTCACCGGGCACTCGCTGGGCACTCGCTGGGCATTCACCGGGCACTCGCTGGGCACTCACTGGGCATTCACCAGGCACTCGCTGGGCACTTGCAGGCACTCACCGGGCACTCGCTGGGCACTCGCTGGGCATTCACCGGGCACTCGCTGGGCACTCGCTGGGCATTCGCCGGGCACTTGCTGGGCACTCACTGGGCACTCACTGGGCATTCGCCGGGCACTCGCTGGGCACTCGCTGGGCATTCACCAGGCACTCGTTGGGCACTTGCGGGCACTCACCGGGCACTCGCTGGGCATTCACCGGGCACTCGCTGGGCACTCTCTGGGCACTCACTGGGCATTCACCGGGCACTCACTGGGCACTCGCTGGGCATTCACCGGGCACTCGCTGGGCACTCACTGGGCATTCGCCGGGCACTCGCTGGGCACTTGCGGGCACTCACCAGGCACTCACCGGGCACTCACCGGGCTCTCACCAGGCACTCGCCAGGTACTTGCTCCTCCTCATTAGAGACAGAACTCTGGAATTTCCTTTCGTGACATACTCCTGTTGGCTGCGTTTATTTAGTGTTGACTTCGTTCCCACAGGTCCTTAATAGAAAAACAGTGTCACTGGCTGGGGTTGGCTGCAAGCTGAAATCCAATAAATTGGCGTGAAGTGTCTCTTATAACCTCTCAAGTGTGTAGGAAAAGCTGCACAAAGACGGAGCAGTTAAACCCAACTGCCAGGCAATTCCGTTTATGGTCAAAGCATCTTGAGAGCTGACCAGTAACTGCCCTCTGGAGCCCACGCTGCTGTTAAGAGCTGCAGGCTCTCCTTTCCACACTCATGCTCTCCCCCAGGCCAGCGTATCTGTTCCTGCACCTGCTGCCCAGGAGACCAGGAGGCCGGAGAGGCTGGAGAACCTCCACCTTCTCTTTGTGCTCCCTGTGGTGATGGTCAGTGGCAGGACGTCCAGGCACAAAATTGGGTGAGAGATGCCGTGAAGACACCTGTGTCCACAGGAGAGCTGAGTCCAGGACACACAGGTCTTCAGGTTACCTCAACGAGGTGAATTCGCAAGAGGACAGGGCTGGGCTGAAAAGCACCTGTGGGCACTGGAAAAGATTAACCCTTCATGGAACTCACCATGGGCCCAGCACAGGATCCCAGCCCTGAGGGTGCATCAGTCTTGACCGGTACAGTCCTTAGAGCTTATGAAACCAGTGTTCACGCAGGGCGACCCTCCGTCACGAGGGCAATTCATCATGAACCCACGAACATGCTCTCTGACAAGACCCCATGCATTTGACGCCGGAGAAAACCTGCCAGTTTTGATTAAATGTCAAAACATCAAATGGTGTTGCTACTGACCTGCAGAATCTAAATTAATAAGAAAAAAGACATTAATAAAGGGAGTTGAAAATCAGCCCTGGCAAACACAACAACAAAAAAGAAAACAGCTTTCCTGGGATCCTAGAGAAAACTTTCTTATTGGTGGGAGCATCATGGACAGTGTTGGAGCAGGACTGCAGGTGAGGAAGCCTCCAGCACACCTGTGCCTTCCTGGTACCCAGGCTGAGAGCTGCCAGGAAAACTCACAGTGAGGCAGCTGTCACCTGCTGCTCCGGCAGCTCCTCACACGGCCCTGAAGGGCTGGGTAGTTATTCCCAGCTTGCAGGTGAGGACGCTGAGGCCCCTCTTCTTTCTTAGTACATCTGGGCTCCAACCACCTCTGCAAGCACCAGCGTCTCCACTCAGCGCTGACTAAGACATCAGCATCTTAATCAGCGTGGATTAAGGACCCTCACATCCAACCACACTCCAGAAGTATTCCTCTAAGTTCTTGCTCATGTGTTTTTTGGAGAGTTCCACACGTGCACAGTAGAGTGGCTGCAGAGCTCACCAAGCATCAGTGGCTTCCAGCTCCTCAGCCAGGCCCATCTGGCTTTTCATCCTTGCTATGATCTGAGTGTGTCCCTCGAAAAGTTCAGGTGTCGGAAACTTAATCCCAAATGCAACAGTGTTGGGAGAGAGGGCCTAAAAAGAGGTAACTGGGTCGTGAGGGTGGCGCCCTTACAAGTGGATCGGTGTTATTGCTGGAATGAGTGGTCATGAAGTGAGTCCAGCCCTGGTGCCTCTGCTCACTCCCACCTTCCGTCTACATGGCGGGGCCACCCTCCCAGATGTAGACACCACGCTCTCGGCCTTCCAAGCCTCCAGAGCTGTGAGAAATAAGCTCATTTCTTTATAAATGACCCATAGGTGGTATTCTGTTTTAACAACAGAAAGCAAACTAAGACAGTAACAGTAAATTGGATTATTTTAAAACAAATCCCAGACATGATATCATTTCATCTGTAAATATTTCAGGATGTTTCTCCAAAGGATGTGGACACTTTTCAGATATATAACCATGGTACCATCCTCACACCTAAGGTGAGTAACAGTGCACCCTCCATATCATCCGATGTCCTGCAAGGATCCATATTGATAACTGCCCCATACGTCTGATTTTATTGTTGTTTACCTTTGCTACCTGGGGTTCATTTGTTCGACTCAGGGTCAAAATATCCCACAGAGTGCATGTGTCTTTGATGCCTCTTTTGATATCCTGCCCGCTCCGTTTCTGCTTTTCCTTGCAATTGATCAAAGTTGTTGGGCCATCTGTGCCATGGAGGCCAGCGTGCAGCCTGAGGACATCCTGTAGCTGCCCTGGGTGCTCTGCGTCTCTGTGGGACGTCTCCGTGCCCCGCGTCTCTGTGGGGACATCTCCGTGCCCCGCGTCTCTGGGGGACGTCTCCGTGTCCCGCGTCTCTGTGGGACGTCTCCGTGCCCCGCATCTCTGTGGGACGTCTCCGTGCCCCGCGTCTCTGTGGGAACTGCTAGTTGGAACGAGGCTGGGGCACATCCGGGTTCTTTGCTTTTGGTCGGAGGCGCCTCCATCAGGATGTATGTGGCATCCTCTTGTCTTGTCTTTGTTGTGATGTTAGCGTCAGTAAATACTTCAGCCAAGGAATGTTCTAGTGAACAAGCGAATGAACTCACAGAGCCCCTGCCCTGACGGGGCTGTTTACCCGCGGGGGCATTTTCCCCGGCCCCTCATCCTAACATGCACTCGTCTTTTAACTCTTTTGCTGAGTTAACAAAAGTTGCAGAAATAGCAGAGCGAGCTCCCTCATCCCTTCACCTAGATTCCTTCACTGCTAACCTTTCTGATCCACCTGAAACTTCCTTGCAAGCACAACAGATGCCTGTTACTGCTAAATACTTCAGTGAGTATTTCCTGAGAAAAAGACGCTGCACACAAAACTGCAGCAAAATCACTCACAGCAGGAAACCAGCGTTGGCTCAATGGCAACACCTACCCCATGGGCTCCACTCCGATTGCACCAGTTCCGCGGTTTCTTCCAGAAGTCCAAGACTAAGCCCAGGGTCAGGTGCTGTGTTCGGCCGCCACACACCCGTGCTCTGAAGAGCGTCTCGGCTCTGCCTGCGTTTCAGGATCTCGGCAGGCCGGCCCACGGCTTCGCGTCCTTCAGTTTGCCTGGCGCTTTCTTCTGAGGCGTGTGTTTCGGGCAGAACATGCTAGACATCGTGCTGGGCTGATCTCAGCACCGCGCAGGGCACGCGCACGAGGCCAACCCATCCCTGGCTGATGACCGCGCCTCCGACCACCAGGGTAAGAGGGTATCTGCCTGGTCTCTCTGCCGTTACTGTGTGGCCTCGGAGAGAACAGCCCCCAAGGTGCCCACCTACTAATCCTGGGAACCTGGGTATGCATCAGGTTATGTGGCAAAGGGAGCCAAGACTGCCTGGGACGCGAGGTCATCCCCAAGACTTCAGGGGCAGTGAGGGTTACCCACCTGCTGGCCTGAGACGGGGAGGTCATCCCCAAGACTGCAGGGGGAGTGAGGGTTACCCACCCACTGGCCTGAGACGGGGAGGTCATCCCTGGCCATCCGGGCAGGCCCAGAGTAATCATGAGGGTCCATCCCAGTGAGAGGGGAGGTGAGGGATCAGAGTCAGGGAGAGGCTTGAAGGTGCTGAAGAAGTTTGAAGATACTGGCTTGAAAGGTGGACTGGGTCTGTGAGACAAGGGACTTGGGTGGCCTCTAGGAGCTGAAGGGGCCCAGATTCTCCCCTGGAGCCCCCAGAAGGAAGGGCTCACAGCACCAAGTCCCATGTCAGGCATCTGGCCTCCAGGACTAAACAGTGACAGTGACTGTTGTTTCAGCCATAAGTTTATGCTGATTTGTTATAGCAGCCACAGAAAGCTAATGCACATGGAATATATTGATATACATGGAATGCATTGATACACATGGAATGCATTGATACACGTGGAATATATTGATACACGTGGAATATATTGATACACGTGGAATGCATTGATACACGTGGAATGCATTGATACACGTGGAATGCATTGATACACGTGGAATATATTGATACACGTGGAATATATTGATACACGTGGAATATATTGATACATGTGGAATATATTGATACACATGGAATACATTGATTGAAAAGCAATTAATATCTATTTTCCGGGGAGATCCTTCAGCACCGGAGGGGTCTGGTGATGACACCCTGGCCTGGTGCGTGGAAAGACCTCACAGAAGAGGAACACTGATGATTTGCTGAGACTTTGTCTCAGCTGAGGCAACAAACTCACTGGCCCCGCGGTGCCCTGGTGTCTTCACTCTGCCCCACCTGGCCCTGGCCCTGCTGCGCTGGACTCCCCCACACTGGCTCCTGGAGAGGCCCCCGCACGGTCTATGCCTGGATCCCGAGCCCACCTTTCCCCCAAGGACGCATCCACATTGTCGAAATCCAGGAAGGAAAACGAAACCACAGACGTTTTCTCTCCTCCTCTCATTAACCCCATGCGATGACAGTTAAGGAGCAGAAGGGAATTAACCAGCCGTGAGGAAGACAGAACTGGCATTCACAGAAAAAAGATTCAACAAATTCCCGGGAGGTGGGAAGTCGACAGAAACGTTTCAAGAAGCAGCGTAGGGGTGCCGGAGCGATGTCCCAGGACGGCAGGACCCCAGGGCTGTCCCCACACGGGAATCAGAGTCTGCATGGACGTCAGACTTCGCCTCAACAACGCTGGAGCCGGAAGACAATGGAGCCGGGCCTTCCAAATTCCACAGGAATCTGGCTTCCAGCCTTGAATTTTATACTCACGCAAACCATCCATCAGGGAGAAAGGATGCCTCAGCCCTTCCAGGCCTGGCCAGTTTGCACGACTTCTTAGACAGCACGCGGAGGTTTCCTGCAGCAGGGCAAGGACTCACCCAGAGAAACAGAGGCAGTGGCTCTAGCCTGGGGCCCGGAACAGCCCAAGAGGCATCCCAACCAGGGCAGAGCATGGAGGAGGGTGTCAGGAGGTGTCTCTGAGGATAAGGAGGGGGTAAGGATGGTGGAAGTGCAGACCACAGGAAGGAAAGGAAGTCAGTTGGGGCTGCGAGGAGACACAGCCTGCGCCGGGGATGTGCACCGGGGACGTGCGCCGCAGACATGGCCGAGGCAGCCTCAACCCTCCCTGTGGACTCAGCCAGGGGACACCCCCGTGGGGCATCTAGGTGGGGCCTCTGCAAAGAGCATTTCCACAGCTCCTGGCTCTGCCCTGCGGAGGGACCTGAGGAACAACACGTGTTGATTTGTTGATTTTCAGCTCTGGAATGAACCCTGAGACCAACCCTGAAGACCCAGCAGGAGGTGCTGGGCATTACTGATGTTGAGACTGGGTGGTTCAGCCGGGAGCAGCTGAGCCCTAACCTGCCTGCTTTGGTGGGAGGAGCCAGTCCTCATCTGCCCATCGGTGGCCTGGCGCTGTCTGGCCCTCAGCCCGTTCCCCACAGCACCTTTCCTTCAGGGCAGCTCTGGTGTCTGGTGTGGGCCTGACGCTGTAGGACCATCCCTTCCTGCTGTCCCTATGAAGGGAGCCTTTTCCCAAGGCTGCTGGTGGACCACCGGTCCCATCCCACTGGCTAGAAACATGGTCTCACGCTCACCCCTGTACTCATCCTGCAGGCAGCTCAGGCTGATGGGAATCTGCCCTCGAAGAGGGGCTGGGGTGGCTATTGGGCTGTGCACTCCCAGCAGGCTCCAGGGCTGTGACGCTGCAGCCTGGACCGCACCGTGTGTGGGCAGCAAGTTGCCAAGAACATGCTTGGTATCCACCTCTCCTGGGCAGGGCAAGTCGGGGAGAGGCAGGCACAGGCGGCGTCCATCTCTCCCAGGCAGGGAGAGTGGGGGAGAGGCAGGTGCGGGCGGCATCCACCTCTCCCGGGCAGGGCGCGTTGGGGAGAGGCAGGTGCAGACAGCGTCCACCTCTCCCGGGCAGGGTGAGTGGGGGAGAGGTAGGTGTGGGCGGCGTCCACCTGTCCCGCGCAGGGCGAGTTGGGGAGAGGCAGGTGCGGGCGGCGAGGATCTGGCCTCATCTCACAGGCAGCGGCAGAGCCCACCTGGAGTCAGAACAGAAATGACGCTGCAGGGTTTTGGGGGAGCTGTGTGTGGACGAGGCTGGGACAATGACACGCTGGAAGGAGGCTGTGAGCGGCGTGGGTTGACCTAGATTCTCGTCACCAGTCACAGCCTGAAGCTGGCGCCTCTGGAAGGCACAGCCCGGCACCACAGGACCCCAGCCATCAAACCACAGCCTCTGAATTTGGAAATGTCTCGCCAGAGAGGGAAATACCCATCCCCACAGGAGCGAGAGCCCAGGGGTTGACAACCCTGGGAAGCCGGTGGATTTCAGAATCCACACAGGAGGTCCAGCCCGGCTAGGGCCGGATGGCCAGGCTGTCCTTGGTTGGCCTGTGGCCTGGCCTCTGGCCTGGAGACCCCAGGAGGGCAGGTGGCCACTCCCAACAAGACCACATGGCCACTGCCACACGTGTCTTCTTCCTCCAGCCACAAAGATAGTGATCCCTTGGGCGTCCCTGTGGGGCTGTACAGCAAATCCCCTGGGGAGAGGGACCGAGGCCCGTCCCAAAGGGACAGTCCAGGTGCTGCAGGGCAGCCGCTCAGGGCAGGCATGGCTGGCAGAGGGTGCCTGAGGGGCTCAGATAGCCCCTTCTCCATGGAGCACCCCCGCCAACCCCCTTGGGCCATTCTTTCTGCACTGGGGGGTGTCAGCCCCCTGGGTCAAGGGCAGTGGGGACCTGGGCTGATGTCCTCAGCACCGAGGCAGGACCCGGCACCCAGAGCCCACCCCGGGCGGCCCCTGCACACTCCCCAGAGGGGCCCGGGTACATCTGGCCATGGCCGTGCTCTGTGCCTGAGCCCTGACGCCTGGCTTTGTGTGTGCTGGGCTGGGCTGGGCCTCCGGACAGGGGCATGAGCTGGGCCACTGGCTGACCAGGGGTGTCCGTCATCCAGGGGTGTCCGTCATCCAGGGGTGTCCATCCATCCCCAGTGGGCACAGCTCCAACCCCTCCAGGGCAGCCTCAGCTCCCATTCCCATCCAGTCTGCCCCTGCCCAGCCTGCCCAGCTGGGTGCAGGCCATGCCCTCAGGCCCAAGTGGGCCTAGCCTCATTCTCTGTGGGTGGCTCACCCCTCTTCCCAGGGTGGGCTGCCCCCCGTCCTCCCCACAGGGGAAGATCCTATGTCTGGGCCCACCGTGGACAGCCGGAGGAGACCTCACACCCTCTCCTGGAGGCCACGCTGGTGCGTGTGGCCAGGTGTGGGATCTGGGCCTCGCTGGCTACCAGGACATACTGTCATCCTTGTGTGCTGGGGGACGGGGCTGTCCCTGACATGAGGAAAGAGGCAGGCAACTTCAGTACACGGTGCTGGATGGGAGGAGATGAGAGGAGAACCCTGGCACTCGAGACCTCCCTCCAAGACGCCCTTGCCGCCGAGTCCGTCCTGAACCTCGGCGAGTGAGTCACTTTCCCACTCAGAGGTCAGTTTCTCCGAAGTGACTTCCCAGAGCCGTGAAGACAGCAAGCCAGCCTCTGGCAAGCGATGGCTTGGGGGCAGCGGTGAGGGAGGGGCTGTGCTGAGCAACCTCAGGACTGGTCGCCAGTGCCTGAGTCAGGGCACCTGGATGGGGTCACAGGCAGGGAGGTGGGCACGTCTCCAGCTGCGCAGCCCCGTCTACCCAGCCCAGCCCCAGAGACCCTACCAGCCTGGCAGGAGGGCAGTGTGGCTTAGAGCAGGTAGGAGATGGATCTGATGGCGAGTGCCGGGCTCTTTGTGCATAAAACGGGCCCCAGATACTCACAGTGGGCCCTCGTGTGCTGTCTCAGTCGTGGTCCCGTGGGAGGAACGTGAGTGTCGGGAACCAGTAGCAAGAGGGAGGGCCAGGGAGCAGGGCCTGGGCTGGGGAAGAACCTGAAAGGGGTGCTGGAGTGGCTGCCCTGTGGGAGGCGGAGGGAGGGGCCTCTAAAGAAGCACGGCCGATTGCTGCGACTCTGGGCCTCCTGGTTTTTAAGACCACAGCAGACAATTAAACTGCCCCTCACTCGTGTTTGGCGGTCTCTGGCCGCACGGAAGCCAGGGGTCAGAGCCCTACCAGCCCAGGCAGAGTCAGTTCCTTGAGGTCAGGCCCTCCAGGACCTGGGGGATCCAGGGACCAAGTGGGTGGACAGCTCTGCTCCTGGGGTGATCTTCCCCCTCCCCTGAGTCCTGACCCAAATAAACAGCTGGTGCCCTGTCCTTGCAGCCTATGCTCCTGGGGAGCCGGCCTGGGATTTGGATTTGTACTCATGAAGGACAGCGCTCCCTGACTCCCAGCTCCCCCTCCCTGGGCTGCTCCCCTTGGCAGATCACCAGGGGAGGGGGACAGGATGCGGGAACCAGCGCCCTCCCTCTCCTGAGGCTCAGCAGAGCCCTGCCCGGTCCCGCAGTGCTCCCAGGACCCTGTACCAGCCCATCTGTGCACTGTGCCTCGGGCACTCCTGGTAACGATGCCTCTTCCTCCAGGACGTGCGCCCAGGCCTCCGCTCAGCGCCGTCCGGGTTTCCTGCTGCCTCCTCTTGCTCCTTTCGGGGACACAAGACACCCGGGTCTTGCTCCTGCCATACCCTGCTCTGAACCTCCCCCCAGGAACCCCGACCAGACCGCCAGGCAGTGCCTGGACTCGCTGTCCAGAGTGGGGAATTCGACCAGACTCATTCATGTCTAAACCCTCTGAGTGTTTCCAAATCACCCCACTCCCAGCCCCACCGAGAGGAAGGTGGGGAAAGAAACCAAGCACGGTGGAGGGTCCCTGCTCCTTCCCCACAAGAGGCCGCGCCTGTGGTGCCGAGTCAGCACTGCTGCTGGTGTGGCTGTAAATAGTCCTGAGATTGGAGAGCTCAGCTTTGAGGAGGCTGGAAGGTAACAACACCTGACAAGTTTTATTTTTAAATGTATCTGCCCAGGCTGCAAGAGGGGCTTACATAATTCAGGCCAGTGTGTTTACTTAGTCTAAGGTGAAACCCAAAAAAAGAAAAGGAGGGAGGGAGGAGGAAGGGTGGGAAGGAAGAACAGAACAGGGAAGGGGGAGAGGAAGGGTCCCCAGCAGCCTCGGCTGGCACAGACTTGGCTGGGGCTGCCCTCAGCCACCGCCTGGAGGGAGTCAATGTCCACCACAGGTGTGGGGGCACCTGGTTGGCCTCCCAGCAGGCTGTTTCCTGGCTAGGGCCCTTGAGCAGAGCCCTCAGGCCACACGTGATTCGCTGAAGTGGGCATATCAAGGAGGGGGCACGTCCTACCTGGGGTGAGGGCCGAACCTGCTGCTCCCAGGTCAGCACAGCTAGTGGGGAGGAGGCGTCCTGACCCTGGAATTGTGGTATGTGCAACAGAGTCAGGCTGTTCTCAGCCGGGCAGAGCTCCTCCCTCCTCCTGAGCATGGAGGGAGCCATCGGGTACTAGTGGTTGCCATGAGCACCGACCCGCCCTGGTCAGTCCCCCAGTGCTGCTGCTGGCCACTCCAGGGGTCCCAGCTCTGAGGGCACCCTGCCCCTTCCTGGGGCAGCCTAACGATGCCATGCAGGCTGGGTGACCCTCACAGAGGAGCGTGGGTGCCTTGGGGGCTGAGGCCCAGTGGGGGCCGAGCGGTGGGCGTCGTGCCCACCCCAGGCAGCAGGGTGCACCACTCATGGCACAGTGGCCACCGCTCACTTCGTCCCAGGACGACTGGCATGGATGACACCCAGGTGCTTCTGCAGCAAAGAGCCCTGACTGCAAATGGGAGCTGAAAGGGGTCCCGCCGGCTCCCATGAGTGAACCCATCTGGAATGAGGTTTAGTCATCATCCTGACTGGAGCCCCAACTCCAGCTCAGCCCTTGCCCCTGCACACCTGGGACCCCCAGTGATGTATCAGCAACTCCAAACCCGACCAATAGAAATTATTCAATTTGAAGAACAGAGAGAAAAAACGATTTTAAAAAATAAATGGAGTTTAACAATATAAGTGTCTAACACACGTGTATTTGGAGTCCCAGAAGTAGAGAAGAAAGACAATGAGGTGGAAACATTTTTAAAGAAATAACGGCCCTAAGTTTTATGAAAACATATATTTATATATTAAAGAAGCCCAGCAAATCCAAAGCAGAATAAACACTACACATGATAACTGCACATCATCACCAGACTCCTAAAAACCAAAAACAAAGAGAAAAATCTTTAGAGCAGCCAGGGTGAAATGACAAATCACACCAAGGAGAGCAATGACACGAATGACAGCCAACTTCTTCCCCTCGGGAGAGAGAGCAATGTCCTCAAGGTGATGAAGGAAAGACCCTTCAACCCCAAATTCTACATCCAGCAAATACAGCCTTTTAAAAAATAAAGGCAAAATAGAAATATTTTCTGATAAGTAAAAATTTAAAGAATTTGTAACCAGCAGACTTTTGCTCTAAGATACGGTAAAGGAAGTTTTTAGGCTGAAGGGAACTGACACCAGATGGAAACTGGATTTTCAAACCCGACATGAAGCACACCAGACACAGCAAGTACATAAGCAAATATAAAATATTGTATTTTTAGTCTCTTGATTCTTTAAAAGACATATGACTATTTCAAATAAAAATTATAACAGATTTTGAAGTTTGTGATGTAAGTAGATTTAAAATATATGAAGCAATGGCACAAAGGACAGGGTGGGAAATGGAGCTGCCCTGTTGTAAGGTCCTCACATTTGAGAAGTGGCTCAATATTAACTCTAAGTAGACTGTGGAAAGTTAAGCATGTATATTCTAATACTAAGAGCACACATTAAAATACTTGTGCAAAGAAGCAGAGGTGAAAAAGCACTAGGAAGATTAAATATATTTAATTAACTCTTTAAAAGACAGGAAGGAAGGAACAGAGAATAAAAAATAGAAGGGATGCAAAGGGAAGCAAATAACAGAATGATAGACATAGAGTCAATCTTATCAATAATTACATTAAGTATAAATGAACTAATTCCTCCAATTAAAAGGGAGAGGTTATCGGACTGAAGTTTTAAAAATAAAAAAGCAAAACCCAGCTATATGCTATTTATAGGAGAGACATATTTTGAATGCAAAGTGACATAGTGAGAAAGCAAAAGGATGAGAAAAGATTAAAGTGTCAACAAAAACATTAAAAACCCAGAGTAAGTATATTAACATCAGACAAAACGGATTTAAGACAAAGAGTATTACCAGAGATAGAGGGTCAATGTATTAGTAAGACATAAGAATCATAAAGGTGTATGCACCTAATGAGAGCACTTCAAAATACATAAAGCAAAAACTGACAGTATTAAAATGAGAAATATACAAATTCACAAACCTAGTTGGATATTTTCACACTCTTCCCTTACTAATGGATAAAACAAGTAGACAAAACAAGCAGTAAGGACACAGATCTAAGTAACACTATAATCCACATTGACCTAATGGCATTCACAGAACACATCGCCTAATAACTGCAGAATACACGTTCTTTCCATGTACACATTGAAAACTTGCCAAAATAGTTGATATGTTGAGCCAAAATCAAGTGTCAATAAATTTCAAAACATTGAAGTTGTATGGTGTGTTCTCTGATCACTGTGGAATTAAATTAAAAATCAATGCCAGTAAGATATCCAGGAAAGTCTCCTGCCCTGCCAGATACATGGCAATTAAGAAAAATGCTTCTGAATAAACTGGGTCAAAACAGAAAGATTAAAAAAAATTTCAAATTGATAGTGAAGATACGAGAAATGTCTTTTCTGTTTCATTTTAATTTAACTGCTTTAAAGAATGAAATTCAAAACCAATTTTATTAGTCAGGGTTCTCTAGATAAACATAACATAGATAGATGATAGATAGAAAGATAGAGAGACAGGGAAGGATGGATGGATGGATGGATACATGATTGATTATTGATGGAGAGAGAGAAAATCTATTATAGGAATTGGCACACATAATTATTAAGGCAGAGAAGTCCCATGGTCTGCCATCTGCAGGCTGGAGAACAGGGAGAGCTGGTCACGGTGTAATTCAGTTCAAGTTTGAAGGCCCAAGAATCACCGAGGCCAGTGTTTGAAGGCAGGAGAAGAGAGATGTTCCACCTCCAGCAGAGAGAGTTTTCCTGTCCTCCATGTCTGTGTTCTATGCAGGTCCTTGGCAGATTGCATGATGCCCACACTGGGGAGGGCAGACCCTCTTGACTCGGTCTATGGATTCAAACACTGATCTCTTCCAGAAACACACCCAGAAACAATCTTTTACCAGCTACTTGGGCATCCCTTAGCCCAGTCAAATGGACCTAAAATTAACAATGGCACCAGTAATCCACATTGTCACAGCCAGAGCTGGAAAACTGTAAGTAAATTTAAACAAAAATAAATATAATTAAGAAAATAATAAAAATAAGAATAGAAGTCAACAAAATAGAAAACAGAAAAAAGTTCAAATTGGCAAATCCAGGATTCGGTTCTTTAAAAAGATTAATAAAATCTTGGTATATCCTTATGATACGGAAGTGCTGGGAGGGGAAGGGTGTGGTCCCTTTAAATGATAGGGAAGGGGGAAGGGAAGTGCTGGGTACAGGAGGGTGTGGTCCCTGGCTAGGGCTCCACCCCCACGGACCTAGGTGAGGACAGGAATTTCCTGCCTAAATGTTGCATTTCCCAAGACCTCCCCTGGCCTGTCACACCCCTGTCACATCCTGTGCCTATAAAAACCCTGAGACTCTAGCAGGCAGGCACACAGGCAGGTGGACATCAAGAGGAGCACATCAGTGGAGGAACACACGGGCAGCTGGACGTGGTGAGCAACGCTCCGACAGTCACCAGCACGCCAGAAGGACACCGACCGATCGGCAGAACGACGTGGAGTTTGGCCAGGGCAGTTGGAGAGACCAGGCTGCCAAGTGGCCTGACTCCAGAGGAAAACCTTCCCACTCCATCCCCCTCTGACTTCCCCGGAGCTACCTCCACGCAATAAAACATTGCAGTCATTCTCCAAGCCCAGGTTTGATTCGATTCTTCCGGTGCACCAAGGCAAGAATCCTGGATACGGAATGCCCTCTGTCCTTGCAACAAGGTCTAATTGAGCTGGTGAACATAAGCCACCTATAGATGGCAAAGTAAGAACATATGGTAGCACATGTCCACTGCAGCGTCAGGAGCTGGAAACATTCACCCCTAGACACTGCCATGGGGTCAGAGCCCCCCAGCCTGCTCGTCTGTATGCTCCCCTGGCTAGTTTGAGCATCGGGGCACTGAAGAAGCAAGCCACACCCCCATCGCACACCCTGCAAGGGGAACAAGGGAACCTTTCCCATTTCACTTATAAGACTGATCATAAGACCGATCAGGGCCGGGCATGGTGGCTCACGCCTGTAATCCCAGCACTTTGGGAGGCCAAGGGGGGCGGATTATGAGGTCAGGAGATTGAGACCATCCTGGCTAACATGGTGAAACCCCGTCTCTACTAAAAATAATAATAATAAAAAAACTAGCTGAGTGTGGTGGTGCATGCCTGTAGTTCCAGCTACTCGGGAGGCTGAGGCAGGAGAATGGCTTGAACCCGGGAGGCAGAGGTTGCAGTGAGCTGAGATTGCACCATTGTACTCCAGCCTGGGTGACAGAGCCAGACCCCATAAGACTGATCAGGAGGCCTGGCACCGAAGCTCACACTTGTAATCCCAGCACTTTCAGAGGCCAAGGCAGGAGGATTGCTTGAGGCCAGGAGTTCAAGACCAGCTTGGGCAACACAGCAAGACCCCATCTCTCCAAAAAATATTTTCTTTAAGTAGCCAGGTGTGGTGTTGCATGCCTGTAGTCCCAGCTATTCAGGAGACTGAGGCAGGAGGATCACTTGAGCCCAGGAGTTTGAGGCTGCAGTGAGCTATGATTGCACCACTGCACTGCAGCCCAGGAGACAGAGTGAGATCCTGTCTTAAACAAACAAAAACACAAAACAGATCAACCAAGATAAAAGAAAAATAAAGAGGGAAAAGCCTAAATTGCCAATATCAGAAATGAAAGAGGAAATATAGAGATTCTACAGTCACTAAAAGGGAAATCAGGGAACATGATAAACCAGTTTATGCCAATACATTTGGCAATTACAATGAAATGGGGGAAAGTCCTTGAATAATACAATTTACCAAAACCACCTTAGAATAAAATGGAAAATCCGAACGTCAACCCAGACTGAGGGGCACTCTGCAAAGTCGCTGACAAACACTCACAAAAATGTCAAGGTCAAGAAATACAAAGAAAGGCTACAAGAACTGTTGAAGAAGGATGGAAATTAGGACTTTGAAAAGGTCATAGGCCCGCGGTCCTGGATTAGATCCAGGATGTAGTGGGAAAAAGCTAAAGGGATGTTTAGGCACAATTGATGAAATCTGAGTATGGACTCTGGATTAGATATTTCATTGGTGTGAACTTTCCTGATTTTGACAGCTATACTGTGGTAATGAAAAGAAGTGTCTTTGTCAGGAAGTACACGCTGAGGTATTTAGCAGTAAAATGGCATAATTTCTTCAACTCTCAACTCACCCTCCGTCGATTCAGGGAAATGCGCATATGCAGACACAGGCACATGCAAACACATGTAAACACATGCAAACACATATAAACACGCGTGAACGGCAGAACAGCAGGAAGGTAACGCCAGAGAGAATTGGGAACAGCAGGAAGGTAATGCGTGAGGAGAAGTGGGAATGGCAGGAAGGTAATGGCATGAGGAGAAGTAGGAACAGCATGAAGGTAACGCCAGTGAGAAGTGGGAACAGAGGGAAGGTAACGTCGTTGAGGAGAAGTAGGAATGGCGGGAAGGTAACGCTGGTGAGAAGTGGGAAAGGCGGGAAGGAAACACCATTGAGGAGAAGTGGGAACGGCAGGAAGGTAACGCCGTGAGGAGAAGTGGGAATGGCAGGAAGGTAACGCCAGTGAGGAGTGGGAACGGTGGGAAGGTGACACCGGTGAGAAGTGGGAACCGCAGGAAGGTAACGCCGTTGAGGAGAAGTGGGAACGGAGGGAAGGTAACGCCAGTGAGGAGTGGGAACGGTGGGAAGGTGACACCGGTGAGAAGTGGGAACCGCAGGAATGTAACGCCGTTGAGGAGAAGTGGGAACGGAGGGAAGGTAACGCCAGTGAGGAGTGGGAACGGTGGGAAGGTAACGCCAGTGAGGAGTGGGAACGGTGGGAAGGTGACACCGGTGAGAAGTGGGAACCGCAGGAATGTAACGCCGTTGAGGAGAAGTGGGAACGGAGGGAAGGTAACGCCAGTGAGGAGTGGGAACGGTGGGAAGGTGACACCGGTGAGAAGTGGGAACAGTTGGTGAATTCGCCTAAGGCTCTAATGGCAGTTCCTTGTCGTATTCTTGTGACTTTTACATATGTTTGACGTTGTATCAAAATGGTAAGTTGGGAAAAACCCTCAGAGCAGCTCATCCTCAGACCTGCTGAACAGTCTTCAAAGACGCCAAACGGTGGCAGCCGCGTCTTTGTGAGGCTCTTCTGGCGACGGCGCTGGCGCGGACCTGCCCCGGCAAAGTGTGCGTGTCGGGAGGCAGCACCCGCCCGCCAGGCCTGGCCACAGTGGGAGGAGGGAGGTGGCGCAGCAGCCGCTGGGCGTCCTGGGGGTGACCTGGGCTCACAGAGGGCAGGGCCTAGGGCCACGCCGATGAGCCTGTTAAAGTGCCTCACAGTGTCATTGCGACTCATAACCATTCTCACCGTTGCTTATTTTACGTGGCACTTGCTTGTGTCCACCCAAACTGCCTGACCACGAACCCAGAAACCATGAATATTTTGTCCCCGACCGTTGGCCGCGCCCTAGAACCAGGCCTGGCCCAGGCTGGGTGGGTGGGTGTGAGGGATAAGAAGAGAAATGGCAGGCAAGTCGGTTTTAACATACAGAACAGGTGGCCACGCGGGACAGACCCTAAAGCCAAGGTTCTTTCTGACCTTATCATGAGGCTGATCCTTGGAGCGCAGGGAGGCGGCCGCAGGGTGAACAGTGCCCTCTGTGTAGGCTCCGGAGCAGAATGGTCATCATGGACAGGCCGCCGGCTGCTGGGCTGTGACTGTTCTGAGGCTGAAATGGGCAAACAGCCTTGCCTCCTCTCCACCTGCAGCTGCAAGCCTGGACAGTCGAGGCACCCCGGGAACCTCCCCTACGCTCATGTCTTGCTCGTGCATTTCTGAGCTCCCCGGCAGTTCAGCCTCCCTTGTATTAAATCCTGACAGGAAGCTTGGATTAAGACCTCGGTAGTGCTAAAGCCGTTGCTCTCTGAACCCATGCTCATGGGGGATGAATCTTGTCTCCCCAAAAGATATGTTCGAGTCCTAAGCCCTGGTTCCTACAAACGTGACCAGTTTGGAAACAGGGTCTTCGCAGATGTAAAAAGTTAAGGATATCATGATGAGATCATCTTGGATTTAGTATGGGCCTGAAATCCGGTGCCTGGCATCCTTATGGGAGAAAGGAGAGGCTTGCAAAGATGGAGGTGGGGCTGGGCGATGCTGAGGACACCCGGAGTCACCAGAAGCAGAAGCGCCGAGGAGGGATCTCCCTGGAGCGAGCAGCTCTGAGGGAGCGCAGGCCTACACCTCAATCTTGGACTCTGGCTTCCGGAACCATGAGGGAACAAGTGTCTTGTTTTAAGCTGCAGCCCAGGAATCCGCCTCCCTGTGGCTCACCAGTCCCCTTGGGCACATCTTCCCTCTCCTAATGGGGTAAAATCAGGGGCAATGTGCTGTGACCTGTGGCTTTGGGGGTGCTCTCAGGAGCGGCCTGGGGCTGAGCAGGCAGGGAGCCTCTACCTGTACCTACTGTGCCTGCTCCCTGTGAGGGCTGGGATGCCCCCCCGATGCTGAGCAGGTGCCAGGAATGTTGATGGATGGATGGATGGAGAGAGGGATGTTGATGGACGGATGGATGGAGGGAGGGATGTTGATGGACGGATGGATGGAGGGAGGGATGTTGATGGACGGATGGATGGAGGGATGTTGATGGACGGATGGATGGAGGAAGGGATGTTGATGGACGGATGGATGGAGGGAGGGATGTTGATGGACAGATGGAGGGAGGGAGGAATGTTGATAGACAGATGGATGAAGGGAGGGATTTTGATGGACAGATGGAGGGAGGGAGGAATGTTGATAGACAGATGGATGGAGGGAGGGATGTTGACGGACAGATGGAGGGAGGGATGTTAATGGACTTATAGAAGGGATGAAGGGACGGCCAGTCCACCACCAAGCAAGGATGAAACCCTAGATGCAAATCAGGCTCCGAGTCAACTTATGGGAGTTCTTTGATAAAAACACATATTCATAAAATGAGTCACAAAGGCCCTTGCATTTTTCATTTTCAATCTGCATTTGTAAACATCTTTACTCAGCTTCACTTTGTACAGGGAGGTCTTCGAAATTTTAATTTCAAGCTCAAAACATGAGGGCTGTTATTCTGGCCCACTTTTTTTTTCTTGGAAAAGATAGGAAGCTCTTCGCCAAAAGAAAAATAAGTCACAAGCTTAATAAATAACGAAGCACAAAGCAAACCACTCATGCTCAATTTTTCATACTTCTATGAATATTTCAGGAAATAATAGATGGCCTTAGAAGACTATCATAAGGCTGGCAGGGACCCGGAGCTGGGGACAGCCACCTTCTTCTCTCAACCCTCTTGATGTCATTTGTGTAAAATTAATGCAGGAGTTGGTTTCATTTTCTAATTCATCGAGAAAGGATATTTCTATTCACAATGGCATCTTCCAGTTACCCATCCAAGACTTCGGTGGTGCGGGGCAGGGGAGCCCCCAGGTGGGGCTGAGCCCCGACGGTTCTTGGCTTTACCCTGGAGGGAATTCAAGGGCAAGCCGCAGGTAGAAGGAAAGAGCTTTATTCAGGCGGCCGTGCCACAGCTCACAGCTCCCTGACTGCTCCTGCAGCGGGGCCGCCCCGTAGGCAGAGAGCAGCCGCTTGGGGCAGTTTTGCAGTCACACTTATACCGCTTTTAATCGCATGCAGATTAAGGGGCGATTTATGCAGAAATTTCTAGGGAAGGGGTAGTAACTTTTGGGTCATTGAGTCATTGCCATAGAAGGGGGCGGTAACACCCGGGTGTTGCTATGGCAACGGAAAACTGACAGGCACTCGGGTGGGCGAGGCTTAGGGAAAGCTGCTTCCGCGAGCCCTGCTTTAACTAGTCAATCCGGTCCGGAGTCCAAGTACTGCCTCTGGAGTCGACTCCCACCTCAAACCTCACTCGAATGATGGCGTCCCAGTCCTCTCTCAGAAGACGTCCATCAGCAACGTGATTCTGTCCTCCCAGCCAAGCTGGCAGCTCCCGGAGCCCCTGCCCTATCGCTGGTCTCCCGGGCTGTGCAGGCCCTGCAGGGACTGTGAGCCCTCCTCACGCGGAGGAAGCAGAGGGGGCTGGACCTGCCGGCCTGGCACATGCACGTGGAGAGGCCGACTGTTGTGCACACTCACGCAGGCACACACACACTTGCTCACACACACACTGAACTCATGCTCACACATGCCTGTCAGGCTCACACTCACACTCGCTCATCCGTGCACTGACACTCATACACGGCCAGCGTCCTAAGGCGGAAGAGTGAAGGAGAAAGGCCTGCACTCCAAGGCTGGGCTGCAAGTGCAGCGGGGGTGAGGGGTGGGGGATCGCCGGAGCAGGTGTGCAGCAGGGGTGAGGGGTGGGGGATCAGGGGAGCAGGTGTGCAGCAGGGGTGAGGGGTGGGGGGTCAGGGGAGCCAGCATGTGGTAGGGGTGAGCAGGTGAGAAGTGCCGGGGAGCAGGCATGAGGTGGGGGTGAGGGGTGGGGAGCCCCCGGGAGCAGGTGTGTGGCAGGGGTTGGGGGTGAGGGGTCCTGGGAGCAGGCATGCGGCAGGGGTCACATTGAGCCGATCTTGATGTTTCTGGTTTTGCCTTTCTTAGCCCTCAGCCCCAAATTCTTGCTTACACTTCTAGAAATAAATTACAGCCAACCCGGTCAACACGTTTCCAAATTTTCCAAGACGTTTGCTGACGTCGTTAGCTGGTGACATCCTCTTCTTCACATTTTTAAAGCTTAAAAATAAAAGTCCTGGATCCAAGTCAGACGCCAGCATTTGCTGCTTCCCCTCCGTCTTCTGAGCAGATCTGAGCCTGGGGTTCCGGCTGGGTTTGTTGTTAACTCATAGATACAAAAAACGTCTCCCAGCCCTGCCTCCCTCCGCCGTCCGCCCACAGGGCCTGCAGCCTGAGGCTGGCTCCTGCCTGAGCCGCGCGCTCTCAGTGCGAGGGGCCGTGGGGGTGTCCCTCTGTGGTGTGGCTCCGGACCAGGGGCCTCTGTCACACTCTGGGGCAGCAGTGTTTGGGAAGAGCTGTCACCTGTCGAGGGAATGCCCCTCGGGATGGCACCACCCTGGTGGCTCTGACACCCACGGTGACCAGGGAGGGCTGAGGTGGGAGCGCGTTCTGGCTGAACCACGTGGGAGGCGGCATCTGGGGACGAGGCCTCGCCGTCTGTCACCAGTGACCCTTGGCCGAGCGTGAGGACGGCTGTGTCCCCAGGCTGCAGCAGCCACGCACCAGCACCACCTCCCCCGAGCCCCTCACACCCCCTGTCCACAACCCCATTCGTGGCACCCTCGTCAGTGGTGGGGCGATCGTCCCCTTGGGTCCAATCTGGACGCTGGGGCCGAGGCCACCGGACGCCAAGGCCACCCGTTGGCTCCAGGCCGGCACCTGTTCTCAGAAGAGATCTTGCCTTTGCCAAGGCTGGCCCTGGCCTCGGGCCTGAGACAAGAGCCCAAGTGGGAGTTGACTGGGGGGGGCCTGGGGGGCACCGGAGGGGTGGGGATGTCAGGAGAAAGAAGGTGATGGCCTAGGAGCCTCAGCGAGGCCTGGACAGGGGACGGGCAGAGGAGCCTCCTTAGTCCCCGTCCAGGTGAGAAAGCCGTGGCCTCCACCCAGGTGCCCACCTGCCCCGGGGGCCTGATTGTGGGTCCCCACCTGCATGCGGGGCGTCCTCTGTATGGCTGCCAGTTTGGGGCATGGCGAGGGCCCAGGGACCTGTCTGACTCGAATTCCTGGCGGGAGCCGGGTTTGAGGCACACAGGAGCCTCGGTGCTGAGTCGGGGGCAGGTCGGCCCAGGTGACATCACACCCACCCTTGTGTGAGCCGCCAGGAGGAGCCCAGGCAGGATAAGGACAAAAGGTCAACCCTGGGGCAAGGAAGCCCAGAAGGTGCCGGCATGTCTGTGCCTGGGGTGGGTCCACCCTTCCTCTCAGGGGCCGGCGATGAGTGTCCGGGAGGAGAGCCCTTGGCCTCAGCGTGCACTGACACCAAGGTGGCGGCGCCTCCTCGGCTTATTCAGACAGCAGGACGCGTCAGAGGAGAGGCTCCAGTTTGGGTTGCCTTTCAAGCAGCGACATCAGAAATGCCCCGTCTCTCCTGGTCTGAGGGATCAGGAGGGTCTAGACCAAAGGGCGGTTACCCACCCAGGACAGCCTCTGTCCCTCTGGGAAGGAGAGGTCGCCTTGGTCAGAATCCCACCCTCACCTGGCCAGCCCAAGTCTCCCCTGGGACAGGAGGAGTGGAGGCCACCCCTTTCCAGACCCTGATTGAAATACCAGCTGAGAAGGGAGACCGGCATCCCTGGAGTGTGGTGGCCCCCAGGAGAGATGCACCCAGCCAGGTGGTGAGCGGAGATGGTACTGCAGGCACACTGGGCAGGTGAGGCCCAGGAGTCCTGGTCCAGGCATGTTGCCTCCAGCGCCCACCTGTCGGTCTGTGCAGGAGGCCAGGCTGCCCTGCAGGGGGGATTGGGTGGGGAGGAGCAAAGGGAGAGGAGGGCATCGCTGTGGCCCTCGACAGCCTGGGGGTCTCCACCAGAGTTGGCGAGGCCGGTGCTCCAGGAGCGGCCGCGTCACCCCCTGCCTCCCCCTGCAGAGCTATTCTGCACCTCCTGACCCCCGAAACGTGGTGCAGAGGCTGCCGTGTGCCTCAAAGACCAGCTCCCACCTGGGAGATTCAGGTCAGACAGACCCCTGGGCCCTCGCCATGCCCGGAGCTGGTGACTGTTCAGAGAAGGTCCTACATGCAGGCGGGCCCCCTGTGCTGGCCCACAGGCTCCAGGGACCCGTGACCAGGAGATGCTGAGCTCAGCGTGTGGGGGTGTGAACATCTGTCAAGTAAGTAAAGGCACGAGGGGAAGAGGAACCCGTCAGAGGATGGGGGTCCAGGGCCAGGCAGGGGATGGCGCCACAAGGACTGAGGGAGGGAGGACGCTGGAATCCCGCTGCCGTGGGAAATTAACCTGAGCAGCTCTTCAAGAGGAGGAGACCTTGGGCCAGTGCCTGGAGAACTGGCATGGAGCCTGGGGCTGCGTTTCAGCCATGCCCTGGGCAAGGCTCAGAGCAGCTGGCTCTGCAGGGACCTTGGCCACGGCTTCCTCCTGCTGCTCCCCAGTCTCGCTGCCTCCTTCCGGAAGGTGCACAACTGACCCCCCAAAGTGCTCCCTAAAGGTGACCCTGGGCTCAGGAGCAGGAGCTCCTGGGTCCTCCCACTCGCCTTCCGAAGGGCCCTGCCCAGCCTGGTGTCAGCAGGTATCCCAGGGGGAGGGCCCCACGGCTCCGCACAGCCTGTCACCTGGCTGTGTGCAAGCCAGGGAGGTCACTGTGACGTCCCGATTTAGTTTCCAACTTCGCTGGTAGAGTTGTGACATTTTCTCTCAAATCACTGCATCCTGCCACAGCTGACTGATCTTGCATTTAAACAGCCGCCCGCTCTGTCCTGGTGCTCAGAGGAGGATAGGGCCTGCCTGTTCAATACCTAGACTGTGAGCACACGGGGCGCAGAGAGGCCCTTCAGAGCAGGACGCCTAAAATAGCACCACCGGCGCCCTGCAGGAGCAGGCCTGCCCGACTCTTCCTGAGCACAAGGAAGGGCAGTCGCCCCGACACCCTGTCAAACTGAATGTTTAAAGCTCTGATGTGAGCCACACAGGCGGCCTCCGTGCTCCGGGCCTCGCTGTCAACCCACAGGTCTGGGCACCAACATGTCCTAAAGTCCTGCCAGGTGTCGCGTCCTGCCTGCCCCACACCCCAGGTCCTGTGGGCATCCCCAGCAGATCCCTCCCCAGCTTTGTAGCTGTCCCGATGGGTGCGGGACTCCCTGCTGCAGCCCCCAGACACAGGCAGGACCCTCGATGTGGGTGGGGTCTCTGATTTGTGGACGGAGAGATCCAGCCTCGGTGGTCAGGTAAGGGGTCTGCGTTCATCCAGGAAGGAAGGGACCAAATGGGAGCTGAGCCCACTGGACCTGCCACCAGCCCGCAGTGACCCCCGGGGGCCTGAGCTTGGGACGCAGGAGTCCACCTGCCCCCAGCACACTGCATGCGGAGCTCTGCCCTGTTTGTGGAAGCTTGAGGAGGGCTGGCCTCCTGGCACGGCAGAGAGGGACCCCCACTTCAGAGTGGTGGGGGAAGGAGGGGCGAGGGCCCTAGGGTGTCCTCCCTCAGTCCTCAGATGAGGCCGCAGCGCCTTCAGAGACGAAATCCTCCCTCGGTCTTCAGATGAGACCCAGCACCTTCAGAGATGGGATCCTCCCTCAGTCCTCATATGAGACCCAGTGTCTTCAGAGACGGGGTCCTCCCTCGGTCCTCACATGAGACCCAGTGCCTTCAGAGATGGGATCCTCCCTTGGTCCTCACATGAGACCCAGCGCCTTCAGAGACGGGATCCTCCCTCGGTCCTCAGATGAGGCCACAGCGCCTTCAGAGAGGGGATCCTCCCTCGGTCCTCAGGTGAGACCCAGCGCCTTCAGAGATGGGATGAGACCCAGTGCCTTCAGAGATGGGATATTTGATGTAGGATGTGGCAGAGGGGCTTTCACAGGCCTGTTGGTGAACACAGGGTGGCCTGGCTCCTTTTTATATTTTCACTGTAGTGGATGTCGCTTAACCACAGGCCGATTCCACATGGCTCTCAGCAGGGCTGGGAGACAGCTGTTAGTGCTCCAGGTGCGGGCCCACCCTGAGGGACTGACAGGGATCTGGCCAGCCCCAGGAGCTCTGTGCTCAGCTGCACTGAGGTGCAGGGGCTGAGATTAGAGCGCTCAGCCACATAGCACTTCCCAGCAAGACCTCTGATCACCCAGACTGATACACCGGCCACTGCCAGCGCAGCCTGGCATGACGGACAGGAACTGCCATCAGGGCCAGGCAGGCAAAGCAGGAGTGGCTCGCCCCAAGGAGGGCAGCTGAGGACAGGGCCCGAGGCTGAGGCCTGATCTAAAGGAGGCCTCGGAGGATCCTGGGGAGAGATCAATAAGGGGGTCGATAAGGGAATTGGCCATGTATCTGCAGGAAACACTGCCTGCTGCCAATGCTTCTTCAGCAACACGTTTGCCTTTTTTACTTGTTTGCGGAGAGGTTTGACCATTTAGGGTTTTTATGTAGCTGTGTGACCACCCTGTGGGTTCACCTTGCCCGATGTCTAGACAGAGCTGATTTATCAAGACAGGGGAATTGCAATAGAGAAAGAGTAATTCAGGCAGAGCCGGCTCTGCGGGAGACTGGAGTTTTATTATTACTCAAATCAGTTCCCTGAAAACTCGAGGACCAGAGTCTTTTTTTTAAATATATATATATTTTTATTATACTTTAAGTTCTAGGGTACATGTGCACGACGTGCAGGTTTGTTACATACGCATACACGTGCCATGTTGGTGTGCTGCACCCATTAACTCGTCATTTACATTAGGTATATCTCCTAATGCTATCCCTCCTCCCTCCCCACAACAGGCCCCGGTGTGTGATGTTCCCCTTCCTGTGTCCAAGTGTTCTCATTGTTCAGTTCCCACCTATGAGTGAGAACATGTGGTGTTTGGTTTTTTGTCCTTGCGATAGTTTGCTGAGAATGATGGTTTCTAGCTTCATCCATGTCCCTACAAAGGACATGAACTCATCATTTTTTATGGCTGCATAGTATTCCATGGTGTGTAGGGGACCAGAGTCTTTAAGGATAATTTGATGGGCAGGGGCCAGTGAATCTGGTGCTGACCGGTTGGCTTGGGATGAAATCACAGGGAGTCGAAGCTGTCCTCTTCTGCTGAATCAGTTCCTGGGTGAGGGTCACAGAACTAGTTGGCAGTTTCAGGTGGGGCCATCCAGTTGTCAGAAATCAAAAACCTGAAAAGACATCTCAGCAGGCTGAGCTTAGGTTCACAATAGTGATGATATCCTCAAGAGTAAGTGGGGAAGTTGCAAGTCATATGACCTCCAGAATCATGGCTGGTAATATTTAGAATTCCAGCCTGTCTCATTCTAACTTGGTAGCTGGTGGCCTTTCATTCATTTTACAAGAGCAGTTTAGCTTTTGGGAAGGGCTATTATTTAAACTATAAACTAAATTCCTTCCCAAAGCTAGTTCAGCCTACGCCCCGGAATGGACGCGGACAGTTTGGAGGTTAGAAGCAAGATGGAGTCGGTTAGGTCCGATACCTTTAACTGTCATCATTTCCTTCGTTATGATTTTCAAAGGCAGTTTCAGTTGTGTCTGTCAATCTTTCATGCTCTCTGGGTTTTGCGTCATAGTCATTCCTCAAGCCAAGGATGTTTACAGTTCTCCTCTTTTCTTCTGAAATGCTTTGGATTTATTTATTTTTTAATTTAACTTGATTTTTCCAGATGCATTTGGTGCGAGCGTGTGAGGCCCAAGTTGGCTCGTTCCTAGCCCCGCTGTCACATGCTGCAGGACCCCCTCTGCAGTGAGCAGGGCACCTTTCTGGCCACTGCATTTCTGGGTGGCTCCACCGTGGTCTGGAGACTGCAGCGGCTCCACTGACCGGTTCATGGCTCTCGAACAGTGCTAACTTCCTACCTCGATGAAATGTCTGTTATCCGGTAGGACTAGTCCATCCTTGCTTCTGCCACAGAATTTTTTTGAATCCATGCATATTTGGTTTTCTAAATAAAACTGAGAACGAACTTGCCCAGTTCTTCACACATGAATACACACACACACGGACACGCACACACACTCGTACATAAGTTGGCATTGGTACGGAATCACACTAAATGTACCGAGTCACTTAGGAATAATTAATATCTTTGTAATACTGAGTCTTTCTACCCAAGAATGCGGCAGTCCTTCCTTCTTTTTTCCAGTCTTCTCTTCCAGTCGCCAGTAACATTTATGGTTTTCTTTGGGAATATCTTGTAGTTCCTAGGCATTTTATCTGTGCTGCTGCGGTTGTTGTAAGTGGGATTATTTTCTCATTTTTCTTCTAACTGGTCACTGCTTTCTAGGGAGTCTGTGGCTTGTCACCCTGTGTTATGCACCTGCTCTGAGGGCGCCCTCTGGTCAGGGATCAAGTCCTGGTTGTGCAGTGCACAACCTGACCACCCTGACATGCCAGTGCCTTCACCTCCACCTTTCTCAGATTTGTGCCTCTGATTCCTGTCTTTGATCAAATTTCGTCAAGGTCATGTCGAACATCCTTGCCTTGTTTCTGACAGTGAAAATGGCCATAATATTTCCCGTTAAGTGGGATGTTGTACATGCCCGTTCATTCCTAATTTATTTAGGGTTTTTACACAAGAATGGACGCTGGATTTTATCAAGTGCATTTTAGACATCTATGGAAGTAATCACATTTTTTCTTTTACAGCCGGCAACAGGAGGAATTAGAGTCATCAATGTCGTAGTGTTAAATCGTTGGCTGGTCCCAATGGGTCATTCTTTCTGATCCACTGCCGATTCTGCTGGCTAAGATCCTATTTAAGATTTTTACATTGACATTCACAGGCAAGACTGGCTTGTAGCTTTCACTTTTGTGCTACCTTCATCAAAATTGAATGTCAACATTATTCTGCCTTTGAAAATTAGTTTTGAAGCTCTCTTTCTTCTCCTATGCTCCAGAATCTTTTAAAAAGCAACAGAGTGACCATCTCCATAAAGATGATGCACATTTTCTCTGTGAAATTGTCTGGCCTGATTTTCTGGGCAGGGCTGGGTAGTTCTTAACAGTTTTCTCTGTCTCTTCTACAGTCATTGGTCCATTGAGAGATTTTCTCTCTTTTGGGGGAGTTTTCATACCTACATTTTCCTAGAAAAGATAAAATCCATAGCAGCAGAGTGCTGCCATAGGATTCTTCACTGTAAATGTGTGTGATGTCTCCTTTTCCATTTATTATTTTGTGATCTGTATTTTCTCCATTTTTCTTAATTACCAACAGGCTGATCAGGTGCTGGGTTTATTTATTGTTGCTTTGGTTCTTCTGTTTTCTAATTAACTTCTATTTTTATCTTTTTAATCCCTTCCTTGTACTTTTCTTAGAGCAATGTCATTTTTTTTTAATAAAACCTGAGTTGGATGGTTAAATACTATGTCTGGGTTATAATCATAAGTACTTTTTCTCTGAGCACTGCCTCTGGCAGTGATATGTAACAGCTTTCCTTCTTGCTATTTTTGAGATATTCTATTTAATTTATTTAAGTTTTGGTTTGTTCTTGAACCTAAAAGTTGTTTAAGACACAGGCCTTTTATTCAGCGAGTAGGGCTGTTAGTTTCCAGTTGTGTTTTAAATGTCTACTTTTGTTGTCTTATTGTAAATCAAAAATAAAATTCTAAGCCCCTCGACCATCTGAACAGACCCCTCCTTTTAGCCAGGGGCCAAAGTTAACCTGAAAACTTAGTTCAGGCTGTGATGGGAGCAGGGAGCTGGACGTGCCTCATTATCCCTCCTCCCTTTTGGAACTACTGATAGAACAGACTCGTTAACTCTGATAAGAAACATTTACAGTCTATTTTCTCTGAAGCCTGCAACCTGAAGGCCTCACTTGCGTGATAAAACCTTAGTCTTCACAACTCCTTATCTTAACCCAGATGTTCCTTTCTATTGATAATAACTGTTTCAACCAATTGCCAATCAGAAAATCTTTGAATCTGCCTACGACCTGGAAGCCCCCTCCCCCTTCTCATTGACCCACCTTTCCAGACTGAACCAACACATCTTAGTGTACTGAGATGCATCTCCTTTGAGTGTATAAAACCAGGCTGTGCCCCGGCCACCCTGGGCGCATGCCCTCAGGGTCTCCTGGGGCTGTGTCACGGGCCATGGTCATTCGTATTTGGCTCAGAATAAATCTCTTCAATTATTTTACAGAGTTTGACTCTTTTCATCAACAGTGTTAGCAGTGACCAGCCAGAGAGACAAGGGGAGGGAAGAAGAAATGAGTTCTCCCATACAGCCCACCTCCTCCACTGCCCACACGGCCATTCCCTGCTCTGACCAGTGTCCCCAGGCATCTGGGGTTTGGAGTGGAACCTACCATGCCTGCTGGTTCACTATTTTCTCAGAGCTGTTTAAAAAGAAAAAAAGAAAAAAAATGACCACAACGAAACTGCTAAACCACCTGATAATTAAAGCAAGAAAAACAAATCAAAGAAAATGTCAATGCACAAAATTAGGACTGGGAACGTGAGACTGACCACAGACAGAGAGAATTAAAGTGCTTGATGCTCAGATCCTTGGATAATGTTTTGCACAACTCTTTGCTAATGATTTGAAGTTAGGAGGCAATGCAGCTTTTAAGGAAAATTAAGATGGGCAGGGTGGACTTTTGGATGGCCCAGTGACTGTGGATAAACTGGGAGAGCTCCGGGTGAGACCAGAGCTGAAGAGAGGTCCGTGGATCTCACTTCCCCAGCAGGGCATCCACAGCCATCTCAAGAGGATGCATCCTTCCTCCATGGGACTCCGGGATTTTCTGGCTTTCCAGGGCCTGCATTTCAGAGGGCAGGCTTTTCCTGCCCTGCCACACCCTGCAGTACCTGCACCTGCACCCCTTCCTGCATGCCGCCCTCTCTCTCTGCACACCTCAGCTGGGAGGGAGGAGAAAGAACAGAGTGAGTGATCCCTATTTGTGGGATTTCAGGACATTGGCAAAAGCTTCCATTCCAAATACAATATCCAGCCCCCTCTGAGTGGTGTCTAACCTCCACACTTAGAGACTTTTTCCTTTGACTGAAGCAAAACCATGCTGCCACTCACTTCTCAGGGGGTGCCAGCCCTGGGAAGGGGTGTTCCTGGAAAGGTCTGCACACTGGGCTGCACAAGGTGTTTCCCTCCAAGAGTGGAGAAGAGTGGGGTTTGGAGTCCTCACGCTCCAGGGTCATGGCCGCTGAGACTGGAGGAGCTGCATTAGTCCCGTCTGAATTCCGTGATTTGGGCAGAATTGCACTTGCCACGTTGAGCACACGCTCCAGCAAACCCCTGTGCTCTGCGTTATAGGAGGTTCTACAACAGGCAACTCTGGTCTGTGGTGGCTGAAGTCAGAGCACAGGTGCCCCAGGGCAGGGTAGGGCCAACTGGGAGGGGCACAGGGGCCTCTGTGGGGTGACAGGGTGGTTTCCGTCCTGAGGGGTGTGGGTGACCACGTGCACACACTTCCAAAACTCACGGAAACGCAGCACTTACCACCTGTTCGTTTTGCTGCATGTAAATTATACCAAAATAAAGGAAGCAGTGAAGGAGCAGGGAAAAGGCAGGTTTGTGATCTTCCTCGCCAGGGCTGGCTTCAAGGAAACAAGTGCTGACCGAGACAGATGGGCACTTGGTGGTAGCAAAGGATATGAGCCACAGAGAAGCCCCAGCAAACCCCTGTGCTCCGAATGGGATGGAATTGGCATCTGCTGAGAGTGAGTGACAGAGCCAAAGGGTGTGCAGGGAGAGCCAGACAGACACTTCAGAGGCCTGAAGAGCGTCGTCAGTAACACAGTTCTAACCAATATTCATCGAAGGCCTTTCAAGTGCCCATGGAACAATCACAAAAATGGATGGCGTATCGAGGCCCAGAGGAAACCACGAATTCCAAAGCATACACACCGCCAGGCGACGTTCACCAATCCCAGCGCAGTACCACTGCCGGTTGAAGTCAATACCGTGAAGCGGAAAACCTCACCATCTGAACATTTTTTAACTCTCTAACATAACTATTAAGCCAAAAGAAAATAAAGTTCTCTTTACAGAATATCTAGAAAACAATGAAGAAGAAAATCCACGTTCAAGAAAATATCTCCAAAGTTTGAAATTGAGGAAAATTAGTGGTGAGTGATTTTAGTATCACAGCAGAGCACTCTCCCCTCCCTCGGAAAATGCGGCCTCACTGCCTTCCCGCTTACGGCCCCCAAGGCTGCCGTACTGCAGCCCCATGAAACTGGAGGGCGTCTTACAGAAAGGTGATAATGCGGAAATTTTTTTGGAGAAGATAACCCTAGAGGTTACGCTTTTTGTAGGACATGAACCAGGTTTGGACCTAACTTATCTAATGATCTCATAACCCCAAAATAAAATTCTAAGACCCCCCCCCCCAGTTGACTGGACTCCCTCTGGGCCAAGGGGACCCCAGGAAACCTGAAAAACTGGATTATTGATGAGAAGGGAGGCTGGGCTCCCCCTCCCTGTTGGAGCTTAGGCACAGCTGACCAGCATTTATACTAAAGTAGAGATCATAAGACTGACAAATAGACTTTTTGTGGCAATTAGATACCAAATTCCAACCTGACTCTGGCATAGCATTGCATGACAGCAGATAGCAGACCCTAAAGAAAAGCACAGTATTTTACTCCCAAATATGTTTCTTTGACATGTTTTGAAATGGCTGGGAAAAGTGCACTCTTGTAGGGGAAAATTGTGTCTATAGAGAGTGGCCTTCCCTTACTAGGTCCTTTCCTGATCCGGGAGAGATTTACCTAAGAGATTTATGGCACCTTTTAAGGTCCAGAAAGAGATGTTTATCATCTACTCTCTCTGAAGCTACTTCATGTATGAAACAAAAATTACCTTGACTTCCACAACCTCCGATCTTAAGCATTTCTTTCTGCTGACTTCAACTGTAAGCAAAGCTTAACTTTTTCAACCAATTGCTAATCATAAAATCTTTGAATCCACCTAAGACCTGAATGCCCCTGCGCTGCCTGGCTTCAAGATGTCTCACCTTTCCAGGCTGAACCAATGTACACCTTATATGTATTGATTTGCCTGTAAGTTCTGTCTCCCTAAAATATGTAAAATGGAACTGTAACCCAACCACCTTGGGTGCACATTTTCAGGAGCTCTTGAAACTGTACCCCGGTCCATGGCCACTCATATTTGGCTCAGAAGAAACTTCTTTAAATATTTTAGACTTTGGCTTTCCTCATCAACAATCTCTCTCCCATTTAATTTCAATTCCTCAAATACTCTGTGAAGTCATGCTGTCATTCTGTCCGTTACCTCATTCATGAGTTAAAAAGAACTTTGTCACATAGAGCAGCTATTTGTATAAAAAAGAGTTTTAACAGTTTGAGAATTGTGCTTTTACAAGACATGTCAGAAATTATTAGATACTGCCAAGAGTGCTCAGATAGAAATTCATAGTCTCATATGCTTATCAGTTAACAAGAAAACATGAAAATAGGTAAATTAAACATCCAATTCAAGAACTGCAAAACATAGCTAAGTGAGGCAGACAGAAGGACTTTGTAAACCAAAAATAAAATTCTAAGCCCTGATCATCTGAATGGACCCTGCCTCTCAGTCAAGGGCATTCCAAAGTTAACCTGAAAACCTAGTTCAGGCCATGATGGGAAGGGGGAGCTGGAGGTGTCTCATTATCCCTCCTCCCTTTTGGAATTACTGAGAGAACAGACTCTTTAACTCTGACAAGAAACATTTATGATCTATTCTCTCTGAAGCCTGCTACCTGGAAGCTTCATCTGCGTGATGAAACCTTGGTCTCCACAACCTCTTATCTTAATCTGGACATTTCTTTCTAAGTCTTTAGACAATAACTTGACTCAACCAATTGCCAGTTAGAAAATCCTTGAATCTACCTATGACCTGGAAGCCCCCCGCTTCCAGTTGTCCCCCATTTCCAGACGGAGACGATGTACGTCTTACATGTGTTGATGGATGTCTCATGTCTCTCTTAAAGATATAAAACCAAATGTGGCCTGACAACCACAGACACATGTTCTCAGGAACTCCTGAAGGCTGTGTCATGGGGCCATTGGCCACTCATATTTGGTTCAGAATAAATATCTTTAAATATTTTACAGAGTTTGATTATTTTCATCAACAACTTACTAAGGAATAAAGAAGAAATTAATGATTTGAAAAGCAGGAAATGATAGGATCAATTAATAGGCACCAAAGCTGGTTCTTTTAAAAAAAAGGAAAACAATAAAATACAGAAACCATCAACAAACCTAACCAAAAAGAAATACATAAAATCAGAAATAAGCATCAGAAAATAGCCCAGATGCAGAGTAAGTGAAAAACAACTATGATAAGACTACTTTGTTCAACACTATGCATATTGAAATCTGGATGAAATGAATGCTTTTTAAGGAAAATATTATCAAACTGATTTTGGAGGAGCCAATTACCACAGGAGAAGTATTAAAGAGCTATGAGAGAAGTGTTAAAGAGCTACGACAGTCAGCCACACATGCTTATGTTGGAGGAAAACTTGTCCTCTGTCATCTCAGGTTCTCTATTGGGGGCCTGCAAATGAAACAAAAGACGGTTTAGCAAAGGGTAAAGTTGATTCACATGCATACTCAGGAAGAAAGTGACTCAAAGAAGCAGCTAGAATTTGGGGCTGAGAAACCATCTTATCAAGGGGAAGGAGGTAGGACCCTGAGGGCCAGCATGTGGTGGGAAACGAGCGAGAGAGACACAGGAAGCTAACGGAGGGCAAGGTCCGCTTGGGAAAGGTCTGTGTGTGCCATTGCTCATCCCAGTGCTGACTTCTCATCTCCAGCAACTGGAGTTGCTCTGTCTCTTGGTACCAGAAGCCTCCTTTCAAGGGGCCGTGATGGCTGAGTCCTTGGGCAGTAATGGCCGAGTCCTTGGGCGGTGATGGCCAAGTCCTTGGGCCATGACGGCTGAGTCCTTGGGCGGTGATGGCTGAGTCCTTCTGGAAGCCTCTGCTTTTAGGCAGATAAGGCCGCTGTGGAGAAAGCCTCCTCCTGCACTGTGGATCCCCAAACACCATCAGCTCAAAATGATCCTTACACCACAAAGTGTGATCTGGATCCCTTCACACACCTGCACATATACACACACATGCATGTGCTTACACGTATGTACACTTGCACACTCAAACACGCATACATATGTGTGGTTACATGCACACACGTGTACACATACACATGCACACATGCACATACATGCATATAGATATACACAGTGCATGTATACACATATATATCCATATCCACACAAATGCACACATGAACGTGCTTACATATGGGTACACATGCTCACACATATACACATATCTCCATCTACACATATACATCCACATCCACATGAATACTCATGCATACACATGTTTACACACGTGCACACACGGACACGCAGGCACACACATACACATGTACACACATGACCAAACAACACACATGCATGCATGTACTTACATTTACACATGCACACATAAACACCCACATGAAGACAACATACATATACATATGCACACATACATGCTCACACATTCATATACACACACGCTATACACATACATGCAGCATGTGCATACACAAACGTACCCACACACACACATACATATACACACTTGCTCCAAATGAGAAAGAAAAGTCCACCTTACAAGTTCTCGCAAACCTTAAGGAACATGTAATTACAATGCTATGAACCAGTTCAGGAGCACAGAAGGAAAGATCAAGCTTCCACATTGTTTGTTTGAAAATATCACAGAATCACCTTCCTTATCAATATCGAGGCACAAATTCTTAGTATTAGCAAGCAGATGCACACCGAAGGCAAGCGAGTGAGAAAGCCCACTGCGGCTGGATCAGAAGACACACGGTCTTACGGCAGTTCTCTTTAAATCAACCTGTACCGGAGAAAATGCCAACAGTGTGCTTTTGGCTGTGTTTTGTGTTTATTTTTTAAACTAGACCAGATGTTTCAGCATTTACATAAAAATAAACATGCAAATACAGTCTTACAAAACGTTGAAGAGAGAGGCCTCAGAGAAGAGAGTGCTGCCGCTGTCCAAGTGTGCCATGAGCTGCAGCAGCCTCTGCAGCAGGGCCTGCTGGACCAGGAGTTCAGAACGAGGCTCTGCTCTAATGACACAGCAAGGCTTCAAAAATATCTTCCAGTGAATGGATGGGTAGTTAGCTGGAAGCCATGATGCTAAACAGGTATGATGCAACTGCCATTTCTGTGAACCAAAAAAGAATATACATGTACACATCACCTGTGCACGGTGTCTGCAGAAGGCAGAGGGAAGGCAGGTAGAAGCATTAATTAAGAGCTGCAGATTCATCAGATAAAAATGTGTGACCCCAGGTTAGGTGCTGGGATGCAGCAATGCTGAGTTCCTGGGATCCTGGGATGCTGGAGGTACTGGGGGTAGTGGGATGCTGGGGTGCTGGGATACATGGAGGCTGGGATGCTGCAGTGCTGGGATGCTGGGATGCTGGGGTGCTGGGGTGCTGGGGTGCTGAGATGCTGGGGTGCTGGGGTGCTGGGATGCTGGGGTGCTGGGATGCTGTGGTGCTGGGATGCTGAGATGCTGGGGTGCTGGGATGCTGGGATGCTGGGATGCTGGGGTGCTGGGATGCTGAGGTGCTGGGGTGCTGGGGTGCTGGGATGCTGAGATGCTGGGGTGCTGGGGTGCTGGGATGCTGAGATGCTGGGGTGCTGGGATGCTGGGGTGCTAGGGTGCTGGGGTGCTGGGATGCTGGGGTGCTGGGGTGCTGGGGTGCTGGGATCCTGGGATCCTGAGTGCTGGGTGCAGGGCTGTTGGGGATGACAGCCTGGGGTGCTGAGTGCTGGGCTGTTAGGGATGATGGTCTGAGGTGCTGAGTGCTGGGGTGCTGGGTGCTGGGTGCTGAGTGCTGGGCTGTTGGGGATGACAGCGGATGTTCTCCTCCCTGTCTTTTCAGGGCATGTGCACACCACCCTCGGCCGTCATCCTGGAGACGCGGGAGCTCGGCTGCCAGGTTGCTGATACGCTCCATGTTCAGGAGCTGTCCCACCGGGAAAGGTGTCCGTGGGGGTGAGGAGCCCTCTTCTGATCCTCCTGCTTTCCTGGGGGGTGAAGCTGCTTTCCCAGAAAACACCAGGCCCCCCTCCCAGCTGCCGGACCCCACAGTGTGGTCTTTGTCCCCAGGGGCAGTGCTTTCTGCCCCTTTTGTTCTCTGCTGATCCCCAGAGCCTGGCCCTGCACAGGTCGTCGGTGATGTCTGTGGATTAGAGACCTGCTCCCCTGTGCCTCCACAGGGGAGGGCCACACATGCATACACATGCACACTCAGACACATGGTCACACACATGATCATGCTTACATGTCACACACTATACACACGCACTCTTGTGTACACATGGCACACACTTACCCTAACGCAGCCACACAGTTCACACACACCCACCCCCTCCTGCTGACACTCTCACAGTCACACACATGCACTCACCACACCCTCCCCTAGTGGGCTCTGGGGTTCCACCAACCGTAGCTGGGTGGCCACCCCATGGTCTTCACCACTGCGTGGCCCAACACACAAAGGTGGCCTGGGGTCTCTCCCGACTCTAGGTCAGTTCTTCCTGGTTCCCTGGGCCAACATTCTCCTGCGGGCCCAGTCTCAGTCAGCCCTCACACGTGGGGATTCCAGCCCAGCCCCCTTTCCCAGACTCCACACTTGGATTCTCAAGCCATAGGTAAAGTAGCCGTGCCGGCACCGACTGGCCCCAAAGTGGAGCCGATGCCACAAAGCACTGCCGGGCCAGACACCAGCCAGGCAGAGTGAGGAGAGCACAGGCCCCTGGGACAGCGGTGCAGGTCGGCTTCCAGCCAACTTTGGGGTCCCCAGGACCCCGCCTTTCTGGAGGGGTCACCAAGCCAGAGCTGGGCTCCACCTGGCCATTTGTGAGATGTGCAGCTTTGTGAGCTGGTGCTGCCCCTGGGGCAGTTTAAACAGCGGTGGTGGGAGGATGTGCAAATGCTTCCAACCAGGGGCTTCATTTTCGCTTTTCCCTGGAGAGCCTGCTTGCCAGCACCCCGCTACCAGGGACCCTCCGTGCCTCCCCAACTCCACCTAACCCCTTCTCCAGCTCCCCTAGTGGGGGGCGGCACCTTGCTCTTCTGAGCGGAGCCGGGGAGAGCGAGGACCCCGCACATCACCACGTCCCTCCTGCCCCCGGCTTCTGCTTGCCTGTCCCCAGGAGCTGGGATGCCAGGTCGATTTCAACTAAGTTCTCTTTTACGGACATACACACCAGTGGGATTTGATTACTGGCCTCACCTGCGCTGGAAGAAGCTCTATCTTTAACTTCTGTTCTGCTCATTCTGCTCATGTATATATTCTGAGATGTTTTAAACAACAATTCACCCATCTTCCTGGCTTTCACCTGATGAAATTACAAATGTTCAGAATTCTCACCACCTTCTGGTTAAGCAAGTGTCATGGATTGAACTGTGTCCCCCTGAAACTCTTATGCTGGAGTCCTAGTCCCACGGCCTCAGAATGTGGCCTTATTTGGAGACAGGGTCTTCACAGAGGTGATCTATTTAACAGGAGGTCCCAGGGTGGGCCCTAAACCCCATGGCTGGTGTCCATATAAGATGGGCACATTTGGACACCGAGACACAGACAAGAAGACGACCACATACGGCCACGCGGGGTGCCCTCCAAGGAACCAACTCCGGCCGCACCTTGTTCTCGGCCTTCCCGCCTCCTTTCCCGCTGTTTAAGCCGCCCATGAGAGTGCCCCGTGATGGCAACGCCAGCGGGCGCATATACAGCAGGCCTCTGGGGTCCAGCCTGGGAGCCCAGACACAGACACCGTCTCTACCTGGCAAGATGGGGTGATGAAATGAGAAATGAATAGATCTGGTCTCTGCTCCCGAGACCCCGCACAGGGCTCCAAAAGCCCTCGAATTTCCTGGGTGATGGCAGCAGATTCTTCCATTCAAATGAGGTGAGGCTTGGTGGCTCCTGGAGGGGGTCCAGTCACCAGAGAGACCAGCCAGGATTAGCACCTGCAGCTCTCAACCCTGCACCCACCCTCCTCCAGGGATCATCCACCATCATCCTTCATGTCTGCGATGGAGCCTCCATAAGAATGCCTGGACTATGGGTCCCGAGCAGTTCCAGGTTGCTGAACACATCCACGGGCCAGGAGGGTGGTGCCCCCCACTCCACGGACACAGAAGCTCCTGGGCTGGGGACCCTTTCCGACCCTGCCCTGTGCCCCGGCCCACCTGGCTGCCCATCTGCGGCCTTTCTCATCTCCTTTTCCTGCGTTCTGTGATAATTTTGTGTTGCACTCTTGATATTTAAGGCTAATGTGTAACTAGAAAACTGAGTTTTAATATTTAATGCCCTTGGATTTGGGAAATCTCTTACTACATTATGTTTGGATATACTTTCTCTGAGGGGATAAATATTTTATCGAGGCTGTACCCATGTGTGGAGTGTCTTTACCAACAAAGGCCCATCTGAGAACTGTCTTTGGGAAGGAATATGGTCATTTAGCAGGGATCTGAGGCTGCCAACTTCAAGACGGGGTGGGGCTCTAGGAGCCTGAGAAACATACGACGTTCAGGTTTCAAAACTATGTCCAGGCAGCTTATTTGATCCCATGTAGGTATGGTGGCCTCTCCCGGGTGGAATTCCACTCTCCCAGGTGGGCCTCTCCCAGGCGGTCCTCTCTCAGGGGGTTCTCTCCCAGGTGGGCCTCTCCTGGGTGGAATTCCACTCTCCCAGGTGGGCCTCTCCCAGGCGGTCCTCTCTCAGGGGGTCCTCTCCCAGGTGGGCCTCTCCCGGGTGGAATTCCACTCTCCCAGGTGGGCCTCTCCCAGGCGGTCCTCTCTCAGGGGGTCCTCTCCCAGGTGGGCCTCTCCCGGGTGGAATTCCACTCTCCCACGTGGGACTCTCGTGGGTGGGCCTCTCCCAGGGGGTCCTCTCCCAGGTGGGCCTACCCCAGGTGGGCCTCCCCTAGAGCTCCCCTAGTGTGCCCACCCCGGGGTGAGTCCCGGGCCCTCCCCTCCCCAGGCCGACCCAAGTCCTTCAGTGGCTCCGGCTTCCCCGCGCGGGGGCTGCGCGCCCCGCCAAGCCTCCAATTCGGGTCGGTCGTAGGCGCCGTCCGGACCCCGGCCGGAAAGCAGCCCCGGCTGGGAGGTGGGGAGCCCCGGGGGGCAGGTGGCTGCGCTGCTACCCTCTCCGTGGGGGCCGGGGCTCTGCGTCTGCTCCTCCCGCCTCGGCCACCCCCTGCTGCCAGGTCTTAGCTCGTCCCCAGACCCGGCGGCCCCATCCACGCCCGCAGCCCGCATTTCCACTGCGCGACTTTCTGTGCCCGCTGCACTTCCAGCACCGTGGCAGGGGCAAATCACCGCCTGTTAAAGTAATGACGGAATGAATGAAAGAACGAAAGAATGAAGGAATGACTGACTGACTGACTGACTGACTGACTGAATGGATGAATGAATGAATGAATGAATGAATGAATGAATGAATGAATGAGCCGACGAGCGCAGGCGCGAAGGACGCAGTCGGAAGTTCCCGGGGAAGGTGGAGGGTGAGCCCGGGGTCAGGACCAGAACCCGGGCACACAGGAGCCCTGAGCGGGGAGAGGAGGCCCGCGCGGAGCCCCCGGCGTCCCCCCACGCCGCCTTCCCTCCCCTTTCTTCTTCCCGCCCCTCGCCGGGGGTCGCTGCCCTGGTGTCTCACTCCCGCGGAGCTGGCGGGGGGCAGGGCGGGGGCGCGGCGTTGTTCGCCTTCCCCGAAGTGTGGCCCCGCCGCCGACCCGTAGCCCCGCGTCCGCGTCCCTTTCGGTCTCCAGGCAACCGTGGCCGGGTCCTCGCGGCTGGAGAACCCAACCGACAGTGGGCGGCAGGACGCACCGCGGACCCCGGAGAGAGCGGACGAGCAGGGCGCCGGCGCCATGGACCTGGTCATCACGCAGGAGCTGGCCCGCGCCGAGAGCCAGCAAGGTGACCCCAGGCCCGCCACGACCCCCGCCCCGGGGAGGCCCCGGGACCCGCCACGACCCCCGCCCCGGGGAGGCCCCGGACCCTCTCATCCCAGCCCGCCCAATGGGTGATCCCTCGAGGGCCACAGCCGGAGCCCCCACCTCCCGATCGTCTGACCAGAGCAAACGTACAGGAAGGCGCCCACACCGCTGCTCCCTGGCGGCGACAGGTTCTGACGGTGGCTGTGGCCCGGGGGCCCAAGGCGGCTGCCTGGGGCCTTCGGGATGGCGTTGCCCGGCTCACTTCTCCCAGCCCAGTGACCAAACCTTCCTCAACCACCCGTTTGGGACAGATGCTGCGTCCTTGAAGAAGGCCTACGAGTTGATCAAATCGGCCAACCTAGGGAAATCGGAGTTTGACCCCTCAGAGAGCTTCAGCCCAGACCTGTTTGTTCTGTGTGCAGAGCAGGCCCTGAAGGTAACTAGTTCCCGGGATCCTCGGTCAGGGCAGCTTTGACAGGGAGAGGGAGGGCCTCTGGGTGTGCAGCGGATGCAGAGTGGGGCTGGGGAGAGGCAGCTCCTGGCCGGGCAGTCAAGGGGCCAGGATGGAGGATGGGGCTGGAAACAGGCTCCACCTGTGCTGGGGGCCTGTTCTGAAAGCGGGCCCGTGGTGCTTCTGGGCAGGGAGGCCACCCCTCCGGGTCTGTGATCTTCTGTGGTGGTGTTCTCTTGCAGATGAGGCAGCCAGAGGTGAGCGAGGACTGCATCCAAATGTACTTCAAGGTGAAGGCGCCCATCACCCAGTTTCTGGGCCGAGCGCACCTGTGCAGGGCCCAGATGTGTGCCCCGAAGTCGGCAGAAAACCTGGTGAGAGGCGTCCTGTGCCCCTTATCCCCAACAGTTCAATTTTCACCCCATCTCCAGAGCAATGCCAGGCTAGACCAGGCTTAAAATCGTTCTTAGGGTAGTAGAGTGAAGGAATTCCTTTCCAGAGTGACACGAAACTTGCACCATTTCCTGTCCATGCTTTTTGCTCAAGTGGTGATATCTGACACACAGGACCCCTGGACCTTTGCCTCGTAGCAGCGTGGTCTCTGTGGCATCTGCGCCTGCAGCTGCCCCGAGTGGGCACAGGGGAGCTGGGGTGGGGCGGGCGTGCTGGAGCACAGGCACTGCGGTTTCTGCTGCCTCGCTGTGTCTGCGGGACGGGAACCCGGGTGCAGGTCCAGGACCTCGCCACGACACTCAGGCTGTGTCTGCCACACCGTCACCTGTGGATACACAGGTGACACACAGGGGGTACCAGGCCAACCGTGAGGGAGCCGTGGCATCCGCAGATGGGGCAGTGAGCAGGGGTCAGTATTTCGGTCTAATTGTGCTTCTTTATGTTGCCTTAGGAGGAATTTGAAAATTGCGTGACTGAGTACATGAAGGCCATAAACTTTGCCAAAGGAGAACCGAGGTAGGCAAAATTGAAGTGGCCGTTTCTCACTGACTGGGTGAAAGACTTCAGAGCCAGAACTTATCAAGTGGGTGTATTTATTTGAACTGTGGGGTTTCCCCTCGTTTGTGGTCTGTGATTTTCATGCACGTGTGATCACTCCCTCATCTCGTCAGCGTGTGGACAGGCCACATTCATGCCGAATTCCGAGTAACAGCCTCTTTTGCACTCGGCGGTTTTCGTGATTTTAGATGGCTGTGAAGAGTCTGTTTTCTGCCGGGCGTGGTGGCACATGCCTGTAATCCCAACTGCTGGGGAGGCTGAGGCAGGAGAATCACTTGAACTCGGGAGGCGGAGGTTGCAGTGAGCCCAGATCACGCCACTGCACTCCAGCCTGGATGACAGCGAGACTCTGTATCAATAAAAAAAAAAAAAGAGTCTGTTTTCTCCAGGGCCTCCCCGGGCGCACCCCCAGGGCGCCTTCTCCTTCCCCACGGTTCCTTCTTCGGCCCAGCGTGCCTTTGCTGCTCCCTAGCGGACAACTTGGCCAAGGCCGCTGTCCCTGCGGAGGCGACTCCAGCACTTTCTACAAAATCAGTGCTTTCTGCACAAAAACAAATATCATGCTTCAAACTGTTAAGCTTGCACAAAACTGATTCATATCCTATTCAAATCAGTTTTGTGCAAGCTTGACAGTTTCAAGCATATTTGCTTGAACATATATCACATATTCAAATAGGATACAATGTTTGGAGGATATTTAAATAGAAGCTGTGGGTTCCCTGGTCTGTTCTACCCACATCGGCCTGCTTGTCTGCTGGTGGCCTTCTCTGGTCACACCCTGTTGCAAGTGCTGGGGATGTAGGGCCCAGCCCCACAGATCCTCTCTGCATGGGGACAGGGACGGGGAGGCCCCACCTCAAGCCACAGATTCTAAAGACAAGGGGTATTTCCAAGGGTGCTGTGACGCGGGAGTGGTGGGTACCATGGGAAGGAGGCTGCTCTGCTCCAGGGCCCTCAGGGGCACTGTGGACGGGTCAGGGGGTGACAGAGCCTTGCCAGAGGTCAGGACCATCTTTGGGAAGGGTCCAGGTTGTGTGGAGAGAGAGGGCAGCGCTGGCTTGTCCAGGGCAGTGTCAGTGGGACAGGAGACTGTGAGCCCAACCACGGGCATGTGGAGGCCACAGTGGGAATTTGGGGAGAGCCACTTACAGGGAGGAGACGGGTTCCTTTCGAGACGCAGCACTCAGGGAGACGCAGCACTCAGGGAGACGCAGCAGGCCGCTGGAGTCCCATGATGACCCCTCTGACTCAAGCAGGCGTGACCGTCTGGTCAGGACACCCCGCACCTCCGCTCCTCTCCTGAAAACCTGGAAACAGGATGAGTCCTGTCCTAGGGTCACGTGGTGGCTCTGAGTAAACTCAGAGGAGTGGGCTTGCCACAGCCACCCTGGTGTCCTCCTCCCACCTGGGCATTGAGCAGTGCTGGTCCACCTGGTGGCCGGCCCAGGACCACAAGGCACACAGGCCCTACATGGCAGAGCTGGCCTGCCCCACTGTGGAGTGGCCCTAGAGTGAGAAGGGCAGATGGGCCCGGATTCCCTTACTTCAGTCCCTGCAATGCTCCCTGCTGCCCAGGGAGAGGCCCAGACCCCTGAGAGGGGTCTCTGCTCACTCTTCCAGCCCACCCTCCTCCACTTCACACTCTATGCTGGCAGACGGGAACTTTGTTTCCCAAAGGTTCCTCCCTTCTCCTCCATCTTCCTGACCTTCTTTTCCTCTACTACTGTCTTGGCTGCCTCCTGACATCTTTCAGGTCACAGCAGGCATGTAACCTCCTCCAGGAAGCCTTCCTTGATTCCCTCTGTCCTTGCCCATTCTTGTCTATCCCTTGAGAGTCAGAGGAGGCCTTGCCCAGTGGTGTATTTTCATGGGAGGGGGCCGATCAGTTTGTGGAATAATTGATGAAGAAGGCCCTGGTCTGGACTCGGGAGCCTGTGGCCGGGTCATCACAGCCGGGCCTGCGCTGGAGCCATGGCACGTCGGACGCAGGGTCGCCCAAGGCTGTCCCAGGGAAGGGCTCTGCATCCTGGTGCTCCTGCAGGCTGGGCCAAAGCTTCTCAGGTGGGGCTGCTGCCATCTGCTGGAGAGGACCTGAGGCCCCTCCTGGGAGGGGCTCCGGAGACACAGCGGCCCCTTGGTTCTGCAGCTTGGGCCGGCTGGGCTTTGAGCGTGCTCTCTGCTTCCTCTGCTCGCGCCGCAGGTACTACTTTTTGGTGTACAATGCATCAGTCCTCTACTGGCAGATGGTGAGGCCGTTCCTCAAGCCTGGATATCGTCACCATCTGATCCCCAGCCTTTCCCAAATCATAAACGTGCTGAGTCAGACTGAGGAGGAAGACAAGGAGTGGCGTGCTGAGCTGATGCTGTGAGTTGAGCTCGCCGTGCCCTCTGTGGCCTCCCGGTGGGCCGCCCTCTGGCTCTGAGGCCACCACCCCTTCTCCGGGGGGGGGACGGGAGTTCCACATCACTGGGGCACACTCCATGTGCGTTCTCTCCCACAGTCACAAGTTTCTGTGTGTCTTGTCCGAAGGTCGTTTCCAAAATCTGTAGATGACATTTGCCGTGCCCTGGTTATGAGGTTATGACAACAGAACAAGATACTGTGTTTAGACTCCCAGCAAAGCAGATATGATCCTGCCCCACGCAGCCTGGCTCACGGTTTTACAATCTTAGTTCTTAAAATGGTAACGCAGTAGACGTTTTAACAGCGTAAAACTAAGCAGAGTCAGCACATGCGGAGCCCAGGCAGCCCTGCGAGGAAGTTGGGGCAGCACAGGGCAGGCCGGCCTTGCTGGGTCTCAGCCCTGAGGGGTCACCGCACAGGCTGTCACCAATGCTTCGGTCACTGTGCCGGGCGGCGGAAAGGAAACGGGTCCGAGCCTCTCTGTGTCTGCGGCACTCTCTGTGCAGGCTGGGGACGGGTGGATGTCCCCATTGAGGATTCCAGCTGTGCCAACTCCAGAGCAGCTCCCCTCGGCACCAAGCCCACAGCCTGCAGGTGTTGGTTACTTGCCATATGGCCGTTTGGGGAACCTTTGAAGAATATCAATACAGATCTTTCATTTCAAAATGCCCCGGTGCTAGCGGTAACGAGCTGTCTGGCACCTGCTGGCCCTTCCTGGTGAGCCACACAGCCTGGTTCTGGCTGAAGAAGCTGACCCCAGGGTAGCTTTTAAACTTTGTGAAACACAAAATATGTAATGGTTTAATAACCTGGTTATTAGATAGGAGAAAACAGTTTCAACCAGGTTGACCAGTGGTGTGTTTCTATTATCCAGGGAACTTCTGGAGTGTTATCTGCAAGCCGGAAGAAAGGAGGAGGCTGCCAGGTTCTGCTCCACGGCAGCTCCGTTCATTAAGTCTCACGTGCCACAGAAATACCGGCAGATATTCTCTGTTATGGTAAATCAGCGTATTAGAAATAGAGACGTAAGAAGTAATTTTCTTAAAAGTCATTGTTCAGAAAACTGCGTAGAAATTACATAAGTTTGCTGAGAGATATAAAAATCTATATGCATACATACATGAACAAAATTACATAAGCATATTAAAAAGAAATAGCAGTTCATCCAATGCAAAGATGTATAGAACTGTGACATTTAGAAAACAAAACAGGGTCTTTTGCCTTTATCGTCGCTCTTTAAATATTTCCTTTGTAATAGCTTTGAATTTTTTTAAAGTTAATAGAAAATTCACAAAGATACAAGTAATTACTACAAGAATATGTACCAAAAGCATTCATTCATCAGCAGTCCATTTTGACATATGGGGAATCAGCTTAAGTTGTATCTGAAAAGCTAGATACAAAATTAATGAGAAAATAAAATCTAGACACAAAATCTGAACCTCTACCGAATTGTTTGAATCCAGATTAATAATCTGCTCCATTTTATGACAGGTTCGTCATGAATTAATGGACGAACTTCAGTTAAAGGAAGAAAAGAAAAATTCCATTAGCCTGTCAGTCACTTTCTATATTAATATGCTAAAGGCGTAAGTCGTTTTGGGAGGGAGAGCAAATACTGAGTTTCACAAGTGCTGGGCTTGGGAGAGCTCTGTCCCCTCCATGGGGGGAGGTCCTGTGTCCAGGGGCCTGTGAGTCTGGAGTTGCAGTGAGTGGGGCTGGAGAATAGGAGCCTGGGAGACCTCAGGGTGTGGGGATCCGAAGGCCACCCCAATTCCTGGCCCTGCCTCCCTCCCAGCACAGAGGAGAGGCCAGTGAGGCCACAGAAGGGAGAGGGCGGCTTTAAGCCAAGTGCAGAAAGAGCCTGTAGGAGGAGATCATGGTGTGTTTGGATGCCGAGGGGAGTGAGGAGATCATGGTGTGTTTGGATGCCAAGGGGAGTGAGGAGATCACAGTGTATTTGGGGGCAGAGGGGAGTGAGGAGATCACAGTGTATTTGGGGGCTGAGGGGAGTGAGGAGATCACAGTGTATTTGGGGGCCGAGGGGAGTGAGGAGATCACAGTGTGTTTGGGTGCCGAGGGGAGTGAGGAGATCACAGTGTGTTTGGATGCCGAGGGGAGTGAGGAGATCACAGTGTGTTTGGATGTGAGGGGAGTGAGGAGATCACAGTGTGTTTGGGTGCCGAGGGGAGTGAGGAGATCACAGTGTGTTTGGATGTGAGGGGAGTGAGGAGATCGCAGTGTGTTTGGGTGCCGAGGGGAGTGAGGAGATCACAGTGTGTTTGGATGTGAGGGGAGTGAGGAGATCGCAGTGGGTTTGGGTGCCGAGGGGAGTGAGGAGATCACAGTGTGTTTGGGGGCTGAGGGGAGTGAGGAGATCACAGTGTATTTGGGGGCCGGGGGGAGTGAGGATATCACAGTGTGTTTGGGTGCCGAGGGGAGTGAGGAGATCACAGTGTGTTTGGATGCCGAGGGGAGTGAGGAGATCACAGTGTGTTTGGATGTGAGGGGAGTGAGGAGATCACAGTGTGTTTGGGTGCCGAGGGGAGTGAGGAGATCACAGTGTGTTTGGATGTGAGGGGAGTGAGGAGATCGCAGTGTGTTTGGGTGCCGAGGGGAGTGAGGAGATCACAGTGTGTTTGGATGATGAGGGGAGTGAGGAGATCACGGTGGGTTTGGGTGCTGAGGGCTGTGAGGAGATCACAGTGTGTTTGGGTGCCGAGGGGAGTGAGGAGATCACAGTGTGTTTGGATGTGAGGGGAGTGAGGAGATCACAGTGTGTTTGGGTGCTGAGGGCTGTGAGGAGATCACAGTGTGTTTGGGTGCCGAGGGGAGTGAGGAGATCACAGTGTGTTTGGATGTGAGGGGAGTGAGGAGATCTCAGTGTGTTTGGGTGCTGAGGGGAGTGAGGAGATCACAGTGTGTTTGGGTGCCGAGGGGAGCGAGGAGATCACAGTGGGTTTGGGTGCTGAGGGGAATGAGAAGATCGCAGTGTGTTTGGGTGCCGAGGGGAGTGAGGAGATCACAGTGTGTTTGGGTGCTGAGGGGAGTGAGGAGATCACGGTGTGTTTGGGTGCTGAGGGGAGTGAGGAGATCGCAGTGTGTTTGGGTGCTGAGGGGAATGAGAAGATCTCAGTGTGTTTGGGTGCTGAGGGGAGTGAGGAGATCACAGTGTGTTTGGGTGCCAAGGGGAGTGAGGAGATCACAGTGGGTTTGGGTGCTGAGGGGAATGAGAAGATCGCAGTGTGTTTGGGTGCTCAGGGGAGTGAGGAGATCACAGTGGGTTTGGATACCAAGGGGAGTGAGGAGATCTGAGGTATTTGTGTCCTATGGGCAGCATCCCTGGGAGAGAGCAATGCTGGCCCAGGTCCTATCGCCGTTGAGCAGAGAGAGTGCCCCACATTTCCCGTGTTTGGCTCCTATGTGGGGTGCTGACTCTGGCGAGGGGTCTGGGCCCTCTGAGTGTTTCTATTCCAGCCTTGTAGGAAGGCCGGGCATCATGGAGGGAAGGAGGACCAGAAGGGGTGAAAAGTCATCTCAGGAATTTGAGGAAAGAAGGCAGGAGGGGTTATTTTCAGTCTCCTCTTCAGTGAGAAACACAATTTCATACACGCAGAGTTTCTCTTAGAAGAATTTGAATAAATCTGACAGGATCTTGTGCTGAATTACTCTCTGAATTATTTCTAGAAAAGCGGAGCAAAATGATTTACCAGGTGACATCAGTGTCATTCTGAGGAAGGCCTACAGACACTTAGGTCATTACAACCACCAGCGCTTTCCCTCTATCAGTGAAGAAAAGTAAGTGTTTGTATTTTTCCAATATCACATCTTCATAATCGTTGTACAAAATTTAGCAGGCACTGAAAAATGTGAAAAAATGTAAAACAAGCAACTAGAACCACCTTTGCAAAAGCCAGCCATTGTGGAGGTTTTAGTAAGGTCCTGTCTGGTCTTTTGTGGCCTGAGATTTGTACTGTCTTGCGAATACTTTCATACCCTACTTTTTAACATGAGTTTAGTTTGTAGGCATATGGATGGTTAGGTCACTGTGGCACCTCTCACGGTTCTGGTGGCTGCGTGGCGTTCCATGGGTGGGAAAACACAGGTTTCTCTGGAGCCTTTTTCAGGCTGGTTTGTTTGGATTCTGTGCTTTCTCGAATCCTCCAGGCACTGTTGAGAGTTTGGGATAAGTCCTGGGCTGGTATCCTGGAAGCAGGAAGCTGAGCCCGAGGCTTTCAGAAGCACATGGAAAGCACTGGCTGGTTTTGCCTTCGTGGGCACGGGGTGGGTGGGGGGGTTTGTCCCCTGCCCCTGGAGCGATTTTGTCACCTCCTTAGTAGCACTGTGTATATTTTTAAGAAAATGGGAAACAAGTAAAGCTTGTTGATATGGGAGGCTGAAATTATCTGTTTGGTTTTCTGGTGGCCATGGGAAACTAACAGAGAAGGTGTATTAGTTATCTGCAGCTGCGTAACAAGTACCCACAAACTTAGGAGCTTGAAACAACACAGGTCCATGACCTCACCGTGTCTGCGGTTCAGGTACCCGGGCACAGGTCCATGACCTCGCTGTGTCTGCGGGATGGGAACCTGGGCACAGATCCATGACCTCCCTGTGTCTGTGGGACGGGAACCTGGGCACAGCAGCAGCCACAGTGTTGACTGGTCTGGGGTCTTTTCTCGAGGCTGGACTGGGGAAGGGGTCCCCCAAGCTCACAGGGGTGTTGAGAGGACTCGGTTCCTGTGGGTTCAGGCCTCGGTCCTGGTGGGACAGCTTGCTTCATCAGTGCTAGCGAGGGGCGCCAGACGCCAGCACGTTCGTGGTCTCATCAGGGAGGTGGCACCTGCCCAACATTGAGGTCTCCGCTGCTCAGCTGCAGGCTCCTCGAGGGAGGGGCCCCAGGACCGCAGGGTGGCTGCTGGGCCACAGCCTGGGCCGCAGGGGCACAGGGCCAGCCTGCTGGTGGGTCTGTTTTTGGGAGGGGTATGAGTGCATGTGTACATGGGGATGTGTGTGGATATATTGTTCTGGAAGGAGTTTACGTCTTCCATCAGACCCTCCAGGTTGTTCTAACTGAAGTCCGGCCAAGCGTGGCCGTGGCCCTGGCCGAGCATCCCCTTCTGTGGCCAGGCGCTCCGACGAGAGGTCTTGGGACCAGTGTAAATAGCCCTGTTCCGAGGTCTGTCCACAGGCGGCATTCTCAGGCACTTTTACGGATTCTCTCTTCCCGACCTGCCCAGCAGGCCTGTGCGCTGGAGCTCAGGTAGGACGGAGAGGCCAGTGTTGTGATGCCAGGCCTGCCAGGACCTGAGAGGGCCCAACAGCAGAGCAGGGGGAGGAGGAGGTGGGCAGGGACGAGGGGCGGAGAAGCGTCCGCACCCCACCCCAAAGCAGCCTCCTGCCCACAGCTACCCAGGGATGCAGGGAGGATGGTCACACCACACTGAGGGCCGAGTTGAGTCGCTGCCAGCAGCCGCCAATTGTGTTCCCGGTAAGACTGTGATTACTCCCCGGGAAACAGCAGAAGACATGTAGACCTGCTCCCCAAGGACATTTGGCAATGTCTGGAGACACTGTGGGCGGCTGCTCTTCATCTAGCGGGCAGCTGCAGGGACACAATGGACAGGCTCCTCCTGGAAGAGAGGCGTCCCGGAGGGAAACCCTGGCCTAATCTCCACCGGAGGAGCGTGATCCTGATCCCTGCAGCTCAACAGGAAGCCTTAGAGTGGAGAGCTGAGAGCACCCGCTGTGCTCTTTCTTGAAGTTGTCTGGAGCACTGTGGGTCCTTGCATGTGGATACAAATTTTAGCCTCAGCCTGTCAGTTTCTGCAAAGACCCTGATTGGTGACTGCAGGTGCGGTTGGCGGCACGCCTACGGGCTTGTCGCATGGTAGGAAGGCCCAGGCTCTGTGTGGGGAGCGTGGGGAAGCCCAGGCTCTGTGTGGGGAGGAGGAAGCTGCAGGATCTATGTGGGGAGGAAGAAGGCCCAGGCTCTGTATGGGGAGCGTGGGAAGACCCAGGCCCTGTGTCAGGAGTGTTGGGAAGGTTCAGCCTCTGTGTGAAGAGGTGGAAGGCCTAGGCTCTGTGTGAGGAGTGTGGGGAGGCCCAGGCTCTGTGTGGCGACAAGGAAGGCCCAGCCTCTGTGTGTGGAGGAGGAAGGCCCAGCCTCTGCGTGGGGAGGAGGAAAGCCCAGGCTCTATGTGGGGAATGTGGGGAGGCCCAGGCTCTGTGTGGAGAGGAGGGAGGCCCAGGCTCTGTGTGGAGAGGAGGGAGGCCCAGGCTCTGTGTGGGGAGGAGGAAGGCCCAGGCTCTGTGTGGGGAGTGTAGGGAGACCCAGGCTCTGTGTGAGAAGTGTGAGGAGGCCTAGGCTCTGTGTGAGAAGTGTGGGGAGGCCTAGCCTCTGTGTGGGGAAGGCCCAGGCTCTGTGTGGGGAGGAGGAAGGCCCAGGCTCTGTGTGGGGAGGATGAAGGTCCAGGCTCTGTGTGGGGAGCAGGAAGGCCCAGGCTTTGTGTGAGAAGTCTGGGGAGGCCCAGCCTCTGTGTGGGGAGTGTGGGGAGGCCCAGGCTCTGTGTGGCGACAAGGAAGGCCCAGCCTCTGTGTGTGGAGGAGGAAGGCCCAGCCTCTGCGTGGGGAGGAGGAAAGCCCAGGCTCTATGTGGGGAATGTGGGGAAGGCCCAGGCTCTGTGTGGGGAGTGTAAGGAGGCCCAGGCTCTGTGTGGGGAAGAGGAAGGCCCAGGCTCTGTGTGGGGAGGAGGAAGGTCCAGGCTCTGTGTGGCAAGGAGGAAGGCCCAGGCTCTGCGTGGGGAGTGTGGGGAGGCCCAGGCTCTGTGTGGAGAGGAGGGAGGCCCAGGCTCTGTGTGGGGAGGAAGAAGGCCCAGGCTCTGTGTGGGGAGTGTAGGGAGGCCCAGGCTCTGTGTGAAAAGTGTGGGGAGGCCTAGCCTCTGTATGGGGAAGGCCCAGGCTCTGTGTGGGGAGGAGGAAGGCCCAGGCTCTGTGTGAGAAGTATTGGGAGGCCTAGCCTCTGTGTGGGGAGGGTGGGGAGGCCCAGGCTCTGTGTAGAGAGGAGGAAGGCCCAGGCTCTGTGTGAGGAATGTGGGGAAGGCCCAGTCTCTGAGTGGAGAGTGTGGGGAGGCCCAGGCTCTTTTTGGGGAGGAGGAAGGCCCAGGCTCTGTGTGGGGAGGAGGAAAGCCCAGGCTCTGCGTGGGGAGTGTGGGGAAGGCCCAGGCTCTGCGTGAGGAGTGTGGGGAAGGCCCAGGCTCTGCGTGGGGAGTGTGGGGAAGGCCCAGGCTCTGCGTGGGGAGTGTGGGGAAGGCCCAGGCTCTGTGTGGGGAGTGTGGGGAAGGCCCAGGCTCTGTGTGGGGAGGAGGAAGGCCCAGGCTCTGTGTGGCGAGGAGGAAGGTCCAGGCTCTGCGTGGGGAGTGTGGGGAAGGCCCAGGCTCTGCGTGGGGAGTGTGGGGAGGCCCAGGCTCTGTGTGGAGAGGAGGGAGGCCCAGGCTCTGTGTGGGGAGTGTGGGGAGGCCCAGGTTTTGTTTGTGGAGGAGGAAGGCCCAGGCTCTGTGTGGGGAGTGTAGGGAGGCCCAGGCTCTGTGTGAGAAGTGTGGGGAGGCCTAGCCTCTGTGTGGGGAAGGCCCAGGCTCTGTGTGAGGAGTGTGGGGAAGGCCCAGGCTCTGCGTGGGGAGTGTGGGGAAGGCCCAGGCTCTGTGTGAGGAGTGTGGGGAAGGCCCAGGCTCTGCGTGGGGAGTGTGGGGAAGGCCCAGGCTCTGTGTGGGGAGTGTGGGGAAGGCCCAGGCTCTGTGTGGGGAGGAGGAAGGCCCAGGCTCTGTGTGGCGAGGAGGAAGGTCCAGGCTCTGCGTGGGGAGTGTGGGGAAGGCCCAGGCTCTGCGTGGGGAGTGTGGGGAGGCCCAGGCTCTGTGTGGAGAGGAGGGAGGCCCAGGCTCTGTGTGGGGAGTGTGGGGAGGCCCAGGTTTTGTTTGTGGAGGAGGAAGGCCCAGGCTCTGTGTGCGGAGTGTGGGGAAGGCCCAGGCTCTGTGTGGGGAGGAGGAAGGCCCAGGCTCTGTGTGGGGAGTATGGGGAAGGCCCAGGCTCTGTGTGGAGAGTGTGGGGAAGTCCCAGGCTCTGTGTGGGAAGAAGGAAGGCTCAGGCTCTGTGTGGAGAGTGTAGGGAAGGCCCAGGCTCTGTATGGGGAGGAGGAAGGCCCAGGCTCTGTGTGGGGAGTGTGGGGAGTCCCATGCTCTGTGTGGGGAGGAGGAAGGTTCGGGCTCTGTGTGGGGAGTGTGGGGAGTCCCATGCTCTGTGTGGGGAGGAGGAAGGTTCGGGCTCTGTGTGAAGAGGAACCTGCCTCTTCCCTGCATGGCCTCTGGCCTCGCTGAGCTGCAGATGTGGGTCTGAGCTGCTGTGCAATGCAATGGCTTTGAGTACGCATGTCGTCATCCCTGTGCTTCTCCTGGGTTCTGCACATGACCTGAAGCCTGGAGAGCGAGGAGCAGGGTGTCCAGTAGGGACGTGGCCCTGGGCAGCCTCCACAACTGTGCTGGCCCCGGGAGACTGCTGGGCTCCGGTGCTGTAGCTTGAAGCCCTGCTGGGGCCTCCCCACAGGGCTTCTGTTCTAATTAACTTAATTTTATTTATTTCTTATCCTACCTTTATTTCCTGCTTCTGCTTGAACGGGGGACATGGATTCTCGCCTGCAGCCATGTTTCCTGTGCCCCCTATTGAGCCGGTGCTGGCTGGTTTGTTTGTTTGCAGAATGCTTTTGCTTTTTGAATTGGCGCGTTTTTCCTTGACCTTGAAATGCATGGAGATCTCCTCTGCCTGCCTCTCAGACCTGAAGAAGATGGAAAGCAAAGTAAGTGGCTTCATGACACTGCTGCCTGGGGATGAGGCGCTGCTCACCGTGCAGTTGGACAAAAGGCAAAGAAAGGAAGAGCAGTTCACCAGGCCACGGCCCCCAGGGCTTCGGTCCGTGGTTGGCACATTGCCGTCTTTCCTACCTGTGTTTTGCACAGTTGCAGTTAGATGGTGTTTGCAATTTTACACCTGCCCGTTTCTCTTTACCTTTCTTGTGGCCACGGGTCCACAGCACCACAGTTGTTTCTAGAGTCCAATTTACGGACGGCGTAAAATTTCATGATGCTGATGATCCAGAACATCCTCCACCAGTCCCATTATTGGACGTGTAAATCACACCGGCAGTGCCTCGTTACCCGCAGTTCACTTTCTGCAGTTTGTTACCTGCAGACAGCTACAGTATGAAAATATTAAGCTATTCTGAGGGAGAGGCCACAGCCACATCACTTCTGTTACAGTATAGTGTTATGATTGTATCTTATTATTAGTTATTGTTATAAATATCTTATTGTGCCTAATTTAGAAATTGAAGTTTATCGTAGGGATTTCCGTCTAGAAAAATCACAGTATAATCGGGTTTCGGACTACTCCACGTTTCAGGCCTCCACTGGGTTGGGGGGTCTTGAAACGTATCCTCTCAGAGAAGGGGGGGCTACCGTATAATTTTTTGCTTATTACATAAAGGGCTGCAGTGAACATTTTGTGCCTAAAACATTTTTCTGCGTTTAGGATTTTTCCCTAAGATGAGTATATTTACATGAAATGACTAGGGAATTTTCACTTTTAATATTTTAAGAATACACGTTAGAGTATTGCCCTCCAGAAGAAGCTTCACACAACGACAAGTGTGTAAGACTGCATACATCAGGTTTGCCGATGCTTTCAGGAACTGTGACAGGCTCTTCCACAGAGCAGGGAAAATGTGATCAGTTTATCAGGGATGGTTTTGAGCAAACTGAGTGTCGCTTTACACACAGAGAGTGAAGAAGGGGGACCCTCGGATGCACAGCCACATGCTGGGGCCTCCCTGTGTGCTGTCTTCATTGAGCACTTGCTGTGTGCTTTGCCCAGGTTACCTAAGAGTGAACGTAAACCAACCATCAGTGGCGCAGGAGACACGGCCATGGCTCAGCACGGGGGGAGCCGTCCAGTCACGCTGAGGGCTGTGCTGATCTGGAAATGGTTTCAGAATAGGAGATGCAGTTCACGTGGCCTTGACAGCCAGGCAGCCCTTGGAGGGACCGCCCACCAGGGTGCAGGTGGGAAGCGTGGTCAAGGCTGGAAACAGCAGCCCATGCCGCACGGAGGATGGGAGCAGCGTGGGAGGCTCCTGTGTTTGATGCCCTTTACCGGCTTCTGTGGGCCCCATTTCCATCTTCTGGGTTTTCACGGCACGGTGTCCCCAATTCAGAATGACTATGGAACGCCTGGGTCCGGCCCCACTTCCTCCTTCCCAGCAGCCCTTCCTTCAGCTCCCTGTGCCTCAGGGCTTGTCCCTGCAAAATGGCAGCAGTAACAGGACCCATCTCCAAGGGCTGCTGTGGAACTGAGAGCAATGTTTTGTGTATCCCAGGTTGAGGCTCTCGGGTGGGCCCCTGCTGACGTGGGGTCGCTGTTAGGGAGGCTCCTGTGGCCCAACTCTGCCCCCACCGCCCGTGGCCCCTGCACAGCATGTTCCTCTGCCCCGGCTTGAGGACACTGTCCTGGCCCTTTGCCCGGTTGGCCTCTGCCCATCCCTCAGGCCCCAGCCCTCCTGTTACCTCCTGACCACTGGTCGAAAGCGACCTTCTCTAGGTAAACATTCTACCAGGAGGCTCATTATCCCCGCCAGCCTACTGTTAGACATTCAGGATCTCACGAGATTTATTTTAAATTAAAAGCTCACTAATGTTAAGGATATGAATAGTTTTTAATTTTGAAGCCTTGGTGCATTTTTAAAGACTATCCACTGTAATACATTTCACAATTGCCTGAGTGAATGGTGGAAATGATTTAACCAGGCAGACACCTGGACTTGTGGGACCACATAAAGAGTTTTAAGATCCGTGAACGTGTGGGAAGCACGGAACGCTTTTTCTGACCTCTGTGAAGCCTGGCATGGCTTCCTTAGTGGCATGGAGGCTTGCAGCCGCTGGACAGGCCGGGGCACACAGCCTGGGGTGGTGGCCTCCTGCGCTCTCCATCCTGGCCGGCACCGAGGCCCAGACATGCAGGACTGCGGTGCAGCCATCCCGAGGTGCTGCGGGTACTTCCCGTGCTTGTGGACGTCTGCCGCCGAGGACCTGCTCCCCGGGACGGAGGCGTCTGCCGCCGAGGACCTGCTCCCCGGGACGGAGGCGTCTGCCGCCGAGGACCTGCTCCCCGGGACGGAGGCGTCTGCCGCCGAGGACCTGCTCCCCGGGACGTCTGTGTCTGATAGTTGTGAAGATGCTTCACCATCATCAGCGCCTGCGCTCACAGACTAGGAGCTTGAGTCTCCTGTGTCCAGAAGACCTGCACCCCTCACGCCAGGGCGGGTTTAGGGGTGTCACCCCTCGAGCGGGGTGGGTTTAGTGGTCTTTGGATGACAGCCACACGTTGCTCCCCAGCTTTTGTAAGGCCACCGAGGCCTGGGAACATCTTCCCCGAGCTCAGCAAGCCCCCAAGAAAGGAGAGGTAGAGTGCCCTTCTTCCCGGTGTGACGTACAACACATTGCTTCCCAGACTTCAGCGCAGCCCCGGGCCGCCAAGCAGCCTGGCTGAGGCCTGGGTACCAGGTGTTGGGGGCCGGGACAAGGCCCCTGAAAAGGGCAAACTCAGGACCCTCCCGTGCCGCTCTCAGGTGGTGGGGCCCGCAGGCAGACAAGGAGTTGGTGTAGCTGAAAACACGGCTTCCTCACTTAAACCTCTGCGTCATAGGTGTCTTTGTGTCATCGTGTGACTTGTATTTGTTAAACCTCTACCCAGTAATATTTTAAATGCCTTTGAATTTCATGAATGTACACAGCTGCTTCCCTTACAGATCTCCATCTTTTCAAAAACTGTTTATATCTGCAGGATCCTGGGAAGCTTATTGAAATGGAATGTCTGGAGTGTGAATCGGAAGCTTTAAGACTTGAAAGTAAGATGAAAGTGTACAACCGAGCGGCTGTTGAGGTCAGTCCTTACGCAGGAGTCATACACCTGGCATTATTTTGCAGATTCCTGGAGCTTGGTGCAAGTTGAGTGTGTCCCAGGCTTGAGGGTGCTGGGGACATGGCCTGGACCCCACTGCTAGACTCGCCCTGGCTCCCGTGACAGCGGGTGTGAGTCCAGCCTCCAGTGCCACACTCCCTGTCCTGCGCACAGGGGCCTACACGCCGCCCTGGTGGGGTGGGGTCGTGCAGGTGGGGGCTGGGATGCGACTCCCTCTGACCCTCCTCCTGCAGCCCCCACGGAGCTGCCCCCTCCCCGCCGTGTGGTGATGCCTGCCTGGGAGGACGGGGGACGGCCACGCGTCCCATGAGGGCTTTCTGCCAGCCTCACTTGAGTCCGGGAAGGCGTCCTAATGATGAGGGGCAAAAGCCACCGCCGGCCCTGGCGTCAGGTGCCAATTACAGGCACTTGACCCACCTCTGTCCTGCTGTCTGAGACGACAGGCTCTGGAATAGCAGCCACTACCAGGAAAGGAACTAGGAATCCTTTTAGACTCTTCCTCAGTAATAATTTCCCAGTTAAAAGATGAACAGAAACCTCACAGGATGGTGGCCTGCAGCCCTGATGTGGTACCACGGCAAGTGCCACAGGGTCGGCTGGGAACCCTCAGGCCCTGTCAGCCAGGCAGTGCGAGGCTCCGCTGGGTACAGAGGAGCCAGGGGCGTGCGGGTCAGTGCCAGAGGTGCCGTGGCAGGGGATGAGCACGGCAGCTGGGAGGCCTTCCCCATCCCCACTCCTAACGCATCCATCCTCAGCCCGCACTGCCTGGCACACGTGTCACAGCCCGGCGGGTGCCGATGCCGCTGTGGACTTGCTCCTGGGTCTGCCTCCGTGGGGCTGAGCTTCTCGCGGGAGGTTTTTGACTGCTGCTGTGCGCTGGTGCCACACGTGGTAGGCGCTTAATGAGTGTTCGTTTAAGGAATGATTTCCAGACGCTTTGGCTGTTGCACTTTGTTGTGAAAGTGAACAGAGGCTGCTTGTGGCTGTGGCGCTGTGGGTTGTGCGGCTGCTTCCCCGACTCACCTGCTGAGGACCTCAGAGGGGCCGGCACCGGCGTACGAGGCTTTCAGACCCAGCAGCCAAGTGGCAGGATGGAGTTGTGAGGTTCAGGCCCCACCCAGCCCAGGGGCAGCGTGAGGGCTAGGCCCCCGTGGAAGCCACAGGCTGTGGGGACGTGGCCAAGTGAGCCCAGGACGGTGGGCGGTCCAGCAGGGCTTGTGGGAGGTGGGAGTGTGGGGAGACTGCTCCACTGAAATCCTGGCCAAAGCCTTTGTCCTGGGAAGGGCCCGTGTAGCACAGACCGGAGGAGGCATTCTGGGGGTGGGAAGCGTAGCGAGCACAGGCCCCAGGAAAGAGACGGGATCAGGAAGGGAGCAGCGCCCGCTGAGTCCACACGGGGGAGGCGGGCGCAGCCACGATGTGTGGGCACCGCCAAGCCTCCTGCATGTAATATCTTGTGAGACGTCCACTTCCTCCTAGAAAGAGTCACTCTGGCCATTTTCACGGACAGATTTGAGCATGACGCCACGCAGGGTGATGAATTTAGGGCCTGCGTTCTCAGTGTGCCCTGCACGCAGGTGCCGCCCCAGCCCCGCAGCTCGAGCCAGCAACCTCCCTAGAATCCCCCACGTCTTCTCCGCAGGCCCAGCTGGATATCATACAGAGGCTAGACGTCGCGCTGCAGCGAGCCGTGCGCCTGGGCGACCCCCGGGTCATCCACGTGGTGTGCGCCACGCAGTGGAACACCTGCCTGCCCCTGCTGCAGCACAACCTGCGGCACCACCTGCGGAAGCCCCTGGCTGGCGTTGCGGACGTGCTGGAGAAGCTGGACAGGTGGGGCGCTCACCTGTGCTGTGTCCTCCACAGAGGGCGTGGCGCATAGGAGGAGACAGAGGAGGAGAAGGTGGCCCAAGCCCCCTTGCCATGACAGTGCCACAAGCAACAGACTCCCCCTGTACTCAATAAGGGCCACCCTCTGTCCCAGCTCCGGGCCAGGCACGTCGGGTCCTCTGTGGTGCATTGGCGGCGCCAGAGGAAGAAGCAGGCTCGGCCTTGCCTCACGGGCATCTGTGTCCCTCGAGCCTCCATGGAAGGGGCCTGTCATGGCCACAGAGGCCGGGAGTGGGGGGCTGGTTGTGGCCCCGTGGGACTTGGGCCATGCTGGGTGAGACAGGAGTGCTCAGAGGGCCCAGCGTCAGGGAGGAGCACGGTGTGTCCTCAGGGGTGACAGGAATGCAGGGGCCAGCGTGGCAGCAGGCGGCAGGCATCACGGTGGACCATGGCAGGCAGGCGGCAGGCATCAGGGTGGACCATGGCAGGCAGGCGGCAGGCATCAGGGTGGACCATGGCAGGCAGGAGACAGGTACTGGGGGTGAGGTGCAAGGGCAGCCACAAGCTGTTGCAGAGCCTGGGCCCAGGGTGGCTGGAGAATCACAGCCCTGATCTCAGGACCTGTTTCTTGTTGGGAGGGCTCAGCCTCTTCGTTGCCGTCAGCACAATCTTGACTCTGAGTCCGCCGGCTCAGCCCCCGCTCCCTGTCTGCTACCTTCCTGCACTGCCAGTGCTCCTTCCCACCTTCTCTGGGGCTCCCTGAATTTTTCTAGAGTTCTATTTAGTTTTCTCTATTGGCTTCTTGGTTTCTCGACTATACCTTTTGGAGGAATGGAAGATTTCTCTGGGGCTAAGAACATGCACCCTTAACTTAGCACAGTCTGTGTCAGGCCAGCATCACTCCAGCTCATTTCACACAGACACATACCCTAAAACATGGTGACCACACCCCTCACACCCCTGCTGGGCCTTCCTTCGACTTCCCACAGCACAGAATGAACCCTGGATCCCGGCTCAGCTGTGTCTAGAACTGCTTCTCAAGCCTGGGGCCATCAAACGCAGGCTCCTGTCACACACAGCCTGCTCGAGGCCGGGGGTCCGGGGCACCCCCACAAGGGCTGCGTGAGGCCAGGGGTTCCAGGGCACCCCCACATGGCTGCTCAAGGCCAGGGGTTCCAGGGCACCCCCACATGGCTGCTCAAGGCCAGGGGTTCCAGGGCACCCCCACATGGCTGCTCAAGGCCAGGGGGTCCAGGGCACCCCCACATGGCTGCTCAAGGCCAGGGGTTCCAGGGCACCCCCACATGGGCTGCTCGAGGCCAGGGGTTCCAGGGCACCCCCACATGGCTGCTCGAGGCCAGGGGTTCCAGGGCACCCCCACATGGCTGCTCGAGGCCAGGGGTTCCAGGGCACCCCCACATGGCTGCTCAAGGCCAGGGGTTCCAGGGCACCCCCACATGGCTGCTCGAGGCCAGGGCGTCCGGGGCACCCCCACATGGCTGCTTGAGGCCAGGGGTTCCGGGGTACCCCTACATGGCTGCTCAAGGCCAGGGGGTCCAGGGAACCCCCACACGGGCTGGTTGGGCTGCTCCGCACGGCCCTTCCTCTCCAGACCCTAGCCTCCTTCGCAGCCCTGCACCCCGACCCCTGCCGCCGTGGCCTGTGGGAACCACACCCCACACTTCAGGAAGTTGTCCCCAGGCAGAGAGCCGGGCAGTCTTGCACTAGCGCCCAGGTTTCCTTCCAGGGGCTGCCGTCGTGAGCTGCCGAGGCCTCTGCGGTCTGCAGGGGCTTCTCTCCTTGTCCCCATTTGTGAGTCCCCAGGGCCAGGTAGGGACATCACTGGAAGGATGGCAGAAAGCCAGGGGCACCGGGCACCAAGCCTGCCCTACACTCTGGGGCCACTGCAGGCCTTCCTCTGGAGGGTGTGACCCCAGCCTGACAGAGGCGCAGCGCCGCCAGGGCCCCTGATGCCACGCCACCCCCGCAGCCTCATGACGCTTCTCCGCTGTCAAGTGCACATGGAGATGGCGCAGATCGAGGAGGACGAGGACCGGCTGGAGCCCGCCACGGAGCACCTCCGGAAAGCCGCGCGCCTGGACAGCCTGGGCCTCTACCGGGACAGGATCCAGATGGCCTCCACCCGGCTGCGTCTGTGCACCACGCTATACCAGGCCCCTGAGCGCGCAGAGGACAAGGCCATCATGGCCGTTGAGCAGGTGCCGCCCCGGGGAAGTGAGGGAGGCTGGGTGCTGCAGCCCCAGCATGGGGCCGGGGCGGGGCTCTGAGGGCACAGCAGGGCGGGAGCCGCCCAGGGCTGCCTGAAGCAAGGAGGCCTGGGACCGAGCTGTCACTGTGTCTATGAGCACGAGGACCACACAGGCCCCTGCCAAAGGCCAGGAGGCTCCAGAAGTTGGAGAAGGTGCTGTGGAAAGTCCAGCGGCCCCTTGCTCATCAGTCTCTGCTTTTCACAGGCAAAAAAAGCTACACCAAAGGACAGCGTCAGGAAGAAGCGGGCCCTCCTGGTGAATGCAGGCCTGGCCTTAGCCCCTGACGCGTTTCAGATTGTGCTGGACAGTGAGAATGAGGCCAAAGGTGAGCTCTGCACTGGGCTCTCCCAGCCCAGAACGGTCCACCTTGGAATGGCTCCCAGGCTGCCCCGGGGCCTCCCCAGTCCCCATGCTCCCTGCCACCGCCCCCTGGATGCACAAGGACCTTGCACCGGCAGTGTCCTTCGATCTCGGCCCGCCGGGTCTGGCAAAGCCCAGCGACGGTCTTCTGTGCACACGCCAGTCAAGTCGGGTGCCCTGTGTGCCGGGACAGACCCCACAGGCTCCGCTGCTTAGACTACGGGAACTTACTCCTCCCAGCCCCAGGCTGGAAGTCAAGGCGTGGGCAGGGCTGATTCCCCCTGAGTGCTCTTCCTTGGCTTGTGGACGCCATCTCCTCCCCGCATCCTCACAGGGCCATCCCCTCTGGGGGTCTGTGTCCTCGTTTCCTCCCTTTGGAAGGACACCAGTCAGATTGGACTAGGGTCCACCCTGATGACCTCATTTGACCCAAATTACCTCCAAAGAAGGTCATACCCTGAAGTCCTGGGGGCGAGGACTTCAACACACCCTGCTCTGGGGAATGGGGTTGAGCCACTGCCTGAGGCACAGGACGGGGCTCCCTGGATCACGGGGGTCAAAGCTGAAGCCATCACATCTGTCCCAGGGAGACCCTGAGCTGGCTTTGGGTAATGGGACACGGGGCCGTACGGCCCATGTGCGGGGACTGAGCCAGGGTTCGGCAGGTGTGTTGCATCCTCACTGCCCGAGCTTCTCTGGGCACTCGCCAGTGGCTCTGGGAACGCAGGCGGCCCCACTCTCTCCAGCCCAGTGCAGGGGCCAGGCTGGGCCTGGCTTGGGAGCCCTTCCCGCTGGTCCCCTGAGGGTCCTGCTGGGGGCTGCTGCCAGGCCTCCCTCCAGCTCAGTGCCCAGCAGCCGGCGGCTTTCACCCAGCACGACGAACCAGGTGTCACCCAGACTGCAGCCTGTGGAGATGGTGGTCGGGAGTGGAGCTGCTGGGTCATGTCTCGGGTCTGAGACGAGGAGATGGGCAGACGCAGGGTGGGTCGCGCCCTGCAAGGGAAGGTTGGCGACTCTTGGAGCGGGAAGGGGCTGCCGCCCTGTCATCCACCGCCCTCAGATGCTGCCGCACCTGTGCTTTCATTTTGCCCTAATGAGTTTGAGGAGCAGCTGCAGATCCACCAGTAGGACCCAGACTCACCTGTTTTGCCTTCCTGACTCCTTTCACTCATGGGCGTGTGCTGCTGGCTGCCTGGGGGTCAGGTGCATGTCCACTGCTGGCTGTGGGGCCGAGACAGCACCTACACCCAGCAGGAGGTGCTGCGGGGCCCTGCCCAGGGGCAGTGAGGGCGGCACGGGCTCCAGGGGAGGATGCCGTTGAGTGGCTCCTGAAGGTGAACCCCTGTGCTGGCCGAGAGGGTGGACACCAGCCAGGGGAGGCCCAGCCCCCGGGGTCGCCCATGCACAGGAGGCCCCCCAGGGTGTGGAGCTGAGTTCCGGGTGCTCGTGATTATTTGCCAGGAAAAGGAGCGGTGATTCGGAACATCTGGCGTCATGCGGATAAACCTGCTGGGACTTGGGGTGCTACGCAGGGGCTGGGTGGGAGCTCGGGAGTCTGAGGCCGGGTGCCTCTGCTTGGAGGGCAGCTGGACAGCGCAGCCAGCAGAGCAGCAGGAGGGTCTTGGCAGACTCTGCTCCAAAGTTCCTGGAGCCTCCCCCACTCAGAGGAGCACTGGCTCGGCCTCATCGCCGGCAGGAGACACAGGCAATGCCACTCTGCAGCTCTGTGAGGAGCTCGGCTTCTGGGAGCCGGGGATCTAGGGCCCCTGGAGCCGCTACCTGTGGGTGGCCACCCCGGCGCCGGCGCAGGGCATTGGTTACTGATGGGCACGTCCCCGGCCCTTGGCCAGCAGCTGCAACACCTGCCTTTGCATTTCCGCCCTCAGTCTCCACCGGGAAGAACAGGGGCCGGTTCACCTACCTCTGTGCGAAGGCGTGGCACCACACCGTCAGCGTGGACAAAGCTGCCGGGCACCTGCGGCGCCTGGGCAACGAAAACGACAAGGAGAGGTGAGTGAGGAAAAGGCCAGAGCGCCACGCACAGCTCAGCCCGGGGGTCGCTCAGCCCGAGGGCCAGTGTCTGTGGCGGCTGAGCTGACCCTGCATGTGGCCGTCTGGGGACTCGCCAGGCCACCTGCTCCAGGATGGTGGGACGAGGTCCCTGCCTGGGAGTCCCGCCACAGACGGGACCCCCCAGCCTGTGATGACAGCCACGGCCTATGAGGTGTGCGGCTGCCCTGTCCCGCCTGTCACTGCTGTCACTCGGAGGACACGCAGCGCCTGTGACCAGAGCAGGCTGATTTTTGGTACCGACCCTGCGGTCGGTACCATCCCCGGGAGGCCTGTCCCGTGCACTCCCCCGGGGAGTGGATTGTGTGGCCTTTCTTCTCACCACAGGGAAGGGAGGTGCCGCGCACAGCTGGCTGGCAGGGAGAGCGGAGAGCTGCGCCCGACCCTGGGACATGCACCCGCCAGGCCGTACCCAGCGCGAGTGCCGGGCTCCTTGCCACCTTGAAACTGCAGAGCCACAGTGGCCTTTTCTCAGGCAGCCAGCCCAGGTGTTTTCTAACTTCAGCAACCACACTTGTCTACTCACCTTTCACTCGTTTGGGTTCTCGGTGAGCAGGATACAGATTTGGGCAGAGCTGGCCAAAGTGGCCCGGAAACAAGGCGTGTGGGACGTCTGTCGGACGGCGAGCCGCTTCTGCCTCCTGTATGACAACGTCAAGGTGAAGAAGTTGAGGCTGCGGCGAGGTTCGTACCCGCCCTCACGAGTGTGTCCCAGCCTGGCCACGGCCGCCCTCTGGGTGTGGGAAGGGTTGTGGTTCGTGCAATGACAACCCATGGGGCCTTCGCATGAGAAAGCGTATTGCTAAGTCACAATGGTAGCAGTTCCCACTAATTATCAGGACCGCCAATCATGGGGCGGCGGCCACATCTGGCTGTGTCGGCCGAGCCACGAGCACCGTCGTCACACTCCATCTTCAGTCACTGGGGGCCTCGGAGGCTCAGGCAGGGGCCACCACAGCCAGTGAGCAGATGCCCATGCGGGGCACCTGCAGGCAGAGGGCAGTGGCCACAGGCCCAGCGTGGAGCGGGACATGGGTGGGGCAGGCTCATCAATCAGCACCCGGCCCTGGAGAGGCTCCTGTCTCAGGGACAATCAGGACCCGGAGGGACGAGGGAGGTGACAGAACGGGCACAGGGGGTCTGGGAGTCCTGCAGGAGTCAGGGAGGGCACCCCCCAAGAAGGCAGGGGATGCAGGAGGAGTTGGGAGAGCCACAGGTGCCAAGAGCATCTGCAGGGATGTGGCCAAGAGCAAGCCCTGGCTGGGAGCCAGCACTCCACCCACCTCCGCCATCCCACGGAGAGCTCCTCCAGCCTCTTCCTGGGCAAGCTGCCCACCTCCCGCCTACCCGCCCACCTTGGCGGACCCTACACGGAGCTGGGGAGAGGCTCAGGCACTCCAAGATGGTTCAGGAATTCTTGTGTTTTTATTTATTTGCTAGAAAAAAACATGATCCTTACCTGCTGCCATTTCTCTCAGGGAAGAAGAAGCGAGGTAGGGACGGCTCGGTGCAGGACACCTGGAGCCAGCCTGAGGTCGTCCTGCAGAGGCAGGTGTGCCCCGACCTGCTGCGGAAGTTCGCGGAGGTGGGGTTCATCCATGCTGAGGTGCGTCATGGAGAGGGGGGTTCATCGGTGCTGAGGTGCGTCGTGGAGAGGGGGGTTCATCGGTGCTGAGGTGCGTCGTGGAGAGGGGCGTTCATCGGTGCTGAGGTGCGTCGTGGAGAGGGGGGTTCATCGGTGCTGAGGTGCGTCGTGGAGAGGGGGGTTCATCGGTGCTGAGGTGCGTCGTGGAGAGGGGGGTTCATCGGTGCTGAGGTGCGTCGTGGAGAGGGGGGTTCATCGGTGCTGAGGTGCGTCGTGGAGAGGGGGGTTCATCGGTGCTGAGGTGCGTCGTGGAGAGGGGGGTTCATCGGTGCTGAGGTGCGTCGTGGAGAGGGGGGTTCATCGGTGCTGAGGTGCGTCGTGGAGAGGGGGGTTCATCGGTGCTGAGGTGCGTCGTGGAGAGGGGGGTTCATCGGTGCTGAGGTGCGTCGTGGAGAGGGGGGTTCATCGGTGCTGAGGTGCGTCGTGGAGAGGGGGGTTCATCGGTGCTGAGGTGCATCCTGGAACTGGGGCTTATCAATGCTGAGGTGTGTCCCTGCACCACAGCGTCAGAGGGTTGCTTTCCTGCATCCACACAACCTGCTGTGGGGCAGGTGTTGGTGTCCACGTGGCCTGTTAACCCACTGCAGATATTTATTGTCATAGAACCTTCTGTGCTTCAAACAAAATGAATATGAGGGAGGGAAAACTTCCTGGATTCTTGGGAGATTTTCTAGGAGAAAAATATAAACCAAAGTGTGCATGGGTGTAAATTTCTCTTGGGAATCATTTCTGAGTGGTGAATCTGCAGTTGTGTGGATGACACACGGCAACCGCCACTCGGTGGGGAGATGGTACCTCGGCATTTGCTGCAGAAGCGCATTGAATGTGGCGTGATGTCCAGGGTCCCTGTGATGGGGCCGCCAGGCCTGTTCCTCCCACGCAGGCTCAGAGACTCCCGGGCTCGCCCTGCCCAAAGTCAGCAGGTAGAAATGGCGGAGTGGGATCCAAACCCAGCCCTGGGACCTCGGGTCCGAGCTCGCAGCCACCGCGCTGCACCAACACAAGTGTGGCCCTTGTGACATTGTGTGACTTCAGAGTTCCCAGAGCCACTCTCGGTTAGGTTTCTGTGGACTTTCTCAGTGGGTGCGTGGCCATCAGCCCTGGAGGACAGGGCACCTGCCGATTTAGGCAGTATGTCTGCTGAGTGGCTCCCAGGTGCCAGGCCCATGCCCTCAGCTGGGGTCAGGGTGAGAAGCGGCACAGAACTCTCTGCTCAGGGAGCCGGAGGCCACATGGCAGAACCAGAGCCAGCGGCGGCCACGGGGCTGTGCCACATGGTCATCCACGCCCCGGAGGCCAGCGCAGACCTTTCCCCTCAAACATTTAAAACGTAATGATTACGTAGGGGAGGTGCAAATGCTGGCCGGTGTCTGCTGATACCGGGAAGCCACTGTTGGTCCTTCGGGGCTGCTGGGGTGTGCGGTGCTCTGGAAGGACCTTCTCTTCCCTGACCCTTGTGCTAATGGGTGGAGAGAGTCTGTGAGGAGCTGGCTTTAGTCCCTGGAGTGGCTATTGGGGCAGGCCCAGCTTGCAAAGGGCACAGCAAACGGGTCTCACAGCCTGTGCTTGGCATTTTCAAATCAGAGCTGAGGGAAGGGCGTGTGTGTTTCCTATCTGGTGCTGGGCCCGTGCTCCGCCCATGACCCCTCCCACCGCATGTGTGTTTTGCAGGCCACGGTTCATTTGCTGCGGTCAGAAGGTGTAGAGCTGAATGACCGGGCCATCCCCCCCGAAGACCTGAGCCAGCACCCAGCTGGCTACGTGCCTGAGCCCCCGGAGGTGAATGCTGAGTGGATCACATACAGGTGGGCAGAGGCGACAGTGGCCTTGAGCACCGCCCGGGGCCGTGGGTCAGAGTGTCCCCTGCACTCAGGCTGGCGTGGGGAGGGACACCCTTTGCATTCGTAAGGACACCGGCTTCTTGCGTGGGGGACGTGTCCATCGTCACGTAAATGACTGAGACCATGAAAGAGAAAATGGGGTGACGTGGCCTCTCCTGTTTTTAGCCGTCGTTCCTCGCAAGACCCCAGGCGTAGTTTGCTGTTACTACGAGGAAACGTTCAGGAGTGTCTTTTCCAGCGTCCTGTAGTGTCCCTCTTGCTCACCCTCGTCAGGCCCTCTGATGATGCGTGAAAGGCAGCTGCTAGGGAGGTGGTCTTCGTGGCAGAAAATAGAAGGAGCAGCTTCTGTATTTGCTCAGAGGAAAAGCTGTGCTCTCCCTCCTATTGTGGGAAAAGCTATCGAGGACTGCCTTGGCCTCGAAAACGCCTTGTGTGTCAATAAGAAAATTTAGTTTGTACAGAACATCTCACAGGATTTGCTGACGTGAGGTTCCAAGTTCAGAAAGAATTGAAATTGGAGTGCTTGTACCAGCAATGATGGTTTTTACCTATTTTTAATATAAAATTAAATATTTTTAACTTATTTTTTTAATTGACAAGAATTTTACCGTTTTTGGGGTGCATAGTGACGTTTTGATCTGTGTAACGTGGTGATCAGATCTGGGTAATCAGCGAATCCGTCACGCTGGACGTGCGTTGTTTCTCCATGTTGGGAATGTTCGATGTCCCCCTTCCAGCATCCCTGTAAACTATAGTCGCTCGCCGTGCATAGGACACGGGAACTTATCCCTGCAATGCAGCTGCGTCAAGCACACGAACGTGGTAAGCTCGGGTGTCCCCGACTATCCATGCATCAGAAGCTGGGCACGGCACCCCGCCCTCGCCGGTCCCTCGGGGCAGAAGCTGGGCACGGCGCCCCGCCCTCACCGGTCCCTCGGGGCAGAAGCTGGGCACGGCGCCCCGCCCTCGCCGGTCCCTTGGGGCAGAAGGAAAGCCAGCTGTCCCTGCTTGCCATGCACGCCTGGAGCCACCCGGCCGAGCTCTTTGGAGGGAAGAGGTGGTCAGGCAGCAGCAATGACGATGACGGCTGCAGGTGGCCTTTGTCTTGGCCTCTTGGGATCCCTCTCCTGCAGCAGCTCCGGGCTCTGTGAGGAGCCACCGGGCCCAGGCCCACCCCGGGCCTCCAGCCCTCACAGCCCCGTCATTTCAGGCAGGGGCTCCAGATGCCTTTCCAGGACCCAGGCCCAAGGCTGGGCAGAGCTCTGCACTCCTGGTGGGCCTGCTCACAGACAGAGGAGGGTCTGAAAATTAGGGCTCAAGCCGTTTGCAGCCTGTGAGCTGAGAGTGGCTTTGACACTTTTAAATTTGTAAAACAAAATAGAAAAAATATACAGTGAAGACTATATGGAGCTTGCAAAGCTCAAAATGCTATTTGGCCCCTTATAGAAAAAGTTTGCCCAGCCTGGTCTAGCGGGACGGACAGACCCTGTCCACGTCCACACGGCTGAGTGAGGGCTGACTGCCCTGCGCTCGGTGTGACGGCTCCCTGGGGAAGGGCAGAGCCTGCATGTGATTCAGGTGGGGAGGAAGAGGGAGACGCTCACTTGGGCAGAAGGGAGGGCGGCGCTTCACAGTGTGGAGCGAAGCCAGGAGGCTCAAGGGAGCTGCAGTGTGGCTGGACACAGCCTCGGGCCGGGGTGCAGTGTGGCTGGACACAGCCTCGGGCCGGGGTGCAGTGTGGCTGGACACAGCCTCGGGCCGGGGTGCAGTGTGGCTGGACACAGCCTCGGGCCGGGGTGCAGTGTGGCTGGACACAGCCTCGGGCCGGGGTGCAGTGTGGCTGGACACAGCCTCGGGCCGGGGTGCAGTGTGGCTGGACACAGCCTCGGGCCGGGGTGCAGTGTGGCTGGACACAGCCTCGGGGCGGGGTGCAGTGTGGCTGGACACAGCCTCGGGCCGGGGTGCAGTGTGGCTGGACACAGCCTCGGGCCGGGGTGCAGTGTGGCTGGACACAGCCTCGGGCCGGGGTGCAGTGTGGCTGGACACAGCCTCGGGGCGGGGTGCAGTGTGGCTGGACACAGCCTCGGGGCGGGGTGCAGTGTGGCTGGACACAGCCTCGGGCCGGGGTGCAGTGTGGCTGGACACAGCCTCGGGCCGGGGTGCAGTGTGGCTGGACACAGCCTCGGGCCGGGGTGCAGTGTGGCTGGACACAGCCTCGGGCCGGGGTGCAGTGTGGCTGGACACAGCCTCGGGCCGGGGTGCAGTGTGGCTGGACACAGCCTCGGGCCGGGGTGCAGTGTGGCTGGACACAGCCTCGGGCCGGGGTGCAGTGTGGCTGGACACAGCCTCGGGCCGGGGTGCAGTGTGGCTGGACACAGCCTCGGGGCGGGGTGCAGTGTGGCTGGACACAGCCTCGGGCCGGGGTGCAGTGTGGCTGGACACAGCCTCGGGCCGGGGTGCAGTGTGGCTGGACACAGCCTCGGGGCGGGGGCCAGAGGTTTGCAGGGGTGAGCGGGGGTCCCATGGCAGGTGTGAGCACTCGTGGCCACGGGAACCAGCCAGGGGCTGTTGGAGGTGTCCAGGGAGGATGAGGACAAACTGGAACGAGGGGGCTGCTGGGAAAGGGGAGCACCAGGCCAGGCTTCAGGTGGAGCGCGCAGGCCGGCGGGGGGCTGGGTGGAGGGGTGGGGCAGAGACGCTCTGCCCCATGCAGCCCCCACAGGAGCCCCTTTCTGAGCCCAGGGCTCCACAGACTTCCGGAAACAAGAGAGTCTCATAGGAAGAGTCCACACTCTCTTTAGCGAGGGCGGGTGGGGAAAGACCGTCTCACACTTAGACACCATCCAGCCGTCCCAGCGGTTTCAGCCCCAGGGACTGGTTTCGTGGGAGACAGTTTTTCCACGGACTGGCTGGGTGGAGGCTGGTCGCGGGATGAAACGTTTCCACCTCAGATCATCAGGTGTTCAATTCTCGCAAGGAGCACGCGGCCTAGATCCTTGGAATGCGCTGATCGCAATAGGGTTCGCGCTCCTGTGAGACTGGAATGCAGCTGTTGATGGGACGGGAGGCGGGGCTCAGGTGGGAGTGCCAGCGGCGGGGCGACTGTAAATGCAGATGGAGTTTGGTCGCCGCCCACCCGCCCCTCCCACTTCTTGCCCTGCAGCCTGGTTCCTAACAGGCCCCGCAGCCTTCCTGGTGCCTGGCCCCGGGGCTGGGGACCCTGCATTAAGGGCTTGGTGGTGCTCGTTTTGCAGAACCTGGATCGAGAGTCTGTCCCGGTGTGCCATGAATAACTGGCTGCGCTCCGCAGAGATCGGACAGGAGATCCAGGAGGCGTGGATTGTGCAGAACGCCGTGGTCTACGTCCTGAACCACAACCACCACCTGATCCTGGCCGGGCGGCAGAAGGAGCTGGTGGACGCCCTGTACCACCTCCTGAGCATCGTTAAGGCCACAGGCCACAGTGGGTGCGTGTGGGCTGTGCTGCGTTCACGCAGGGAGGGGCTTCTTCCCTTGGGAGACCCCAGAGCAAAGGCAGGCAGCTGCACTCCATGGCCCTCTGTGTCCCAGCAGAGGAGGGTCGTGGGCACCCGTGCATCTCAGGCCTCTTACCGTGACCTGAGGACTCAGCACATGGGATCGGGGCGAGGCCTGCGGGGGCCAAGGTTCCCTCTGACAAGCATGTCTCCCAGGGACCCCGTGATGCTGGTGACGCTCTGCAACACCTTGGCGCGAGGCCTGATCATCAGCTGGATTCCAGTCCAGGCTGCCGAGAAGTCCAGGAAATTCATGCGACCAAACGCGTTTCACAGCCCACTGGACGCAGGAGCCACTTCCGAGATCAAAACAGCGGTGGAGGTACCACCTCCATGATGCCGAGAGAGAGAGAGAGAGAGAGAGAGAGAGAGGAGAGAGGAGAGAGAGAGAGGAGAGGAGAGGTGAAAGAGGAGAGAGGTGAAGAGAGAGAGAGAGGAGAGGAGAGAGGTGAAGAGAGAGAGAGGAGAGGAGAGAGAGGTGAAAGAGGAGAGAGAGATGTGAAGAGAGAGAGAGGTGAAGAGAGAGAGAGAGGAGAGGAGAGAGGGAGGTGAGAGAGAGAGATGAGCAGAGAGAGGAGAGGAGAGAGAGGCGAGAGAAGCAGAGAGAAGAGAGGAGAAAGAGAGGAGAAGAGACAGGAGAGAGAGAAGAAGAGAGGAGAAGAGACAGGAGAAAGAGAGGAGAGAGAGAGGAGGAGAGAGGAGAAGAGAGAGGAGAGGGAAGAGAGAGAGAGGAAAGAGGACAGGAGAGAGGAGAAGAGAGAGGAGAGGGAAGAGAGAGAGAGGAAAGAGGACAGGAGAGAGGAGGAGAGAGAAGAGAGAGAGGAGAGAGAGAGAGATGTGGGGGTGGGGGGGTGGGGGTGGAGGGAGAGAGCAGGGAGGCAGCTGACCTGAGACAGAGCCCTGCAGACCTGTAGCTGGAGGCTGGGGCTGAGCTTCTGAAGGCTCCTGGAAAGGCCCTGGGAGAGCAAACTGCCTTCAGTGGAGGCGACAGACGTGAGAACAATCTAGGAAGTAAAACGTCAGGGGCTCCAGTTACTGGGAAATAAGGCCAGGGCTGGAGAGAGGAAAACAAGACCCGTGGGTGGGTGTGAGGCCTCCCCTCAGGGCGGGCTCCAGGCCTAGAGGAGAGTGGAAATAGAACCAGAAACGGCGGATTGGAACGGCGAGAAACAGGGACCACACCACCCACACATGCAGCCGTCCCAGTAAAATGCAGCAGACCCAGTGTGTGGGACGATCCTGGTGGCCCAGGCGGATCATTTATCCCATGGAATGTGGATTTTGTTGTAATCCAAAAGGAAGGGAAAAGAAATAGTGTTCTCGTTGACAGATGCTGCAGAAGTGTTTGATGAGCCATTGCCCATTTCTAACTCAGAAGAGCCTCAAAGAACCCGAGAGAAAGCCGGTTTCCTAATGAGTCAAGGGAGTCTGTGGGGAACCTCCTGGAGCCTGTGTGTGGAGCACCCGCGGTGGGGCGGGGGCAGGGAGGCCTTGAGTGTCTCCGCAGGGGCACGGGGCGGGGGAGCTGTCCCCACCCTTGCGGAAGACTTTGTGCTAAAGCTCATCCTGCATGACCCTTTCTGGGCCATGGATAAAACCGCGGGCTGGAGAGTCTTGAGCCTGCGGCCCGGCACTCACAACGCTCACAGTCAGCTGCGCCAGGCCAGAGCCAGAGAGGGCCCTAGTGCTCCCAGCTCCCAGTGGGGACGGCTGGCCCTGGGCAGTCAGTGTGGGCCGGCCAGGAACACCGGCTGTGGCATCAGGTGCAGGTCGTTCTTCCGAGAAGGGACAAGGGGCCGGCTCCGGGGACCTACAGGGATCAGGCTGGAGGCTGCGGAGGGGAGGGCGCCGTGGGCGGCTCAGGCAGCTGTGGGTGCAGCTGAGCCTGCTGTGGGCCCTGGGAGGCAGCTGGGGGGTGCAGAGGAGCTTCCCTCTTAGATGTGATGATGGCTGGATCCAGATGCTGAGAGGAAATGCCAGCACCGACTTGGCAGCCCGGGAACACGGAGTGAATGGCGGAGAGTGTGAGGAAGCCGGCTTGGGCGGTGCCTGGACTGGGCATGTGCACAACCGCACGGGGAGTCAGGTGGTGAACAGGGGAGTGAGTGCTCCCCAAACACATTCCGATGGGATGGCTGTGTGGAACTTGACAAATGTTTGGAAGTTTATCCAGAAGGAAGGATGGAGGGGAGGAAAGGGAAGGACGCTGCCCAGTAGGTGTCTGTGCTACCAAGACGTTTTGCAAGGAGCAGGTGTTCACAAGGCAGCGAGAGATGGGACATCCCTGGGTTAGCAAGAGGTCACTCCCGGTGGCCAGTGCTTCCTGCACCGGGCGAGGCTCTGAACAAGGACTCACCGATCCTCACGACGACCCATAGACTGGGTTTCATTTCTACATAGAGATGAGGAAACTGAGGCGCACAGCATGAAGAAACTCACCTGGTCACACGGCCAGCAAGACAGGGAGCTGGGGCGCAGCCCAGGGGCTCAGGGCAGCAGCCCACATGCCCGTCACTGCAGGCAAAGCACGTGGCAGATTTCACGCCCCCACTTTCGGGGCTCCGTCCTTGCTGCCCCACCCCCAACCGATACCAGCTGCAGTGGGGGAGGGGTGCTGGCTCAGCTGCTCCTTCCTGCGGGGTCCCAGGCCCATGCCGTGGGGACAGCTCAGGAGTGAGGGCCGGGGCGCACTGGAGGCCAGGTGGCAGCTGCGTCCTCGGCGTCTGGGGGTGGGGCTTCATCTGCTGGGTTTGTGGTGCAGCCGCTGGTGGGCCTGAGGTCTCGTGTTTAAGGCCCTTCACGGGCTGGATCAGGAGCGGGCTCCATCCATCTTTTAATGGTTCGGATCTTGGCTCAAGGTCCCCTGTTTAGAATTCAGGTTTCGTGACCGAGAACACGTCTGTCCTAGGTCTGCGAGTTTGCCCTGAACCTGACCAATGGGAGTGCGCCCGAGGAGACGGTGCCCACCGGCACCCGGCAGCAGCTTATCGCCACCTGGGTCAAGGCCAAGCAGCTGCTGCAGCAGCAGATTGGGCCACGGCTGGGCACCGAGGAGCAGGTGGGCGCCCCTGCCCACATCTGGGCTCTGACTGAGGCCCTGTGGACATAGAGATCTGAGACAGCCGGGGGTGGTGGGGCCCCCGGGACCACTTAGCTCCAGATGGAGCCATCACGGATGGCCTGGGCACTCCCTTTTCCCACTGAGCTCACCGCCGCTGGCTGCCCTTGAGTGTGGCACGGGGCCTCCTCTGCCCACCCGTCCACGGGGTCTGTGAGCTGCTGGGCCTGTGGGGGTGCTGCGCTCTCCCAAGGAGGAGTGGGCCCAGGGCCGGCCCCATGAGCTCCTGGAAAGCCAGATGGAGGAGGGGCCTTGGAGCCTGGCCAGGAGCCAGGCCCTAGTGGGGCCCAGGGAGGCGGGGAGGGTCCAGGTGTTGACCTGCCTGCCCCAGCAGCCACCATGTCAGGCCCACTGGTCCTTCCCTCCTCGGGGGTCACCCAGCCTTCAGACAAGGCTGCCTCACACATGGGGGCCGCACGGACTTGGGGCTCCTCGTTGTATGAGAAGATGACCTGCAGGTCAACAGTTACAAAAACAGCCTAAGGTATAAACGCTCCCAATTTTGTGGTCTGATTATTGCCATAAAACTAATACCTTGCAGTGTTAAATTCACGCATATTCCAGACTCCCCCCGCACGCTTGGGCTGATACACTCAGGGCATCCTCCCCACCAGGGCACCAATGAGGATGTCAGCTCGGTGACCAGAGTCCTCGTTGCCTTGGAAATGTACTCATGCAACGGGCTGGGCCTCATGGACTTCACTGTCCCCTCCCTGGCCCAGGTAGGTGTCCCCAGGGGTCCCGGGAGGCCAGGGGCCAAGAGGCGAGGACGCCGAGGCTCTTGCCCTAGGTGGCTGGAACTCGAGCCCCATCGTGCATGCTCACCCCCACTCTGCCCCGCTCTCCCCCACCTCCCAACGGAGCTGCGCCCCCTCGACGCACTTCCTTCAGCTCCATGCTCAGAGCATCCCTGTCTCCTGGTGCGAGGCAAACGCTGTTTGAGCGGACCCTCCATTCCCACCCAACCCTGAGCCGCTCAGGGGCAGCCAAGGGCTGCACACGCCAGTCCCGTGTCCAGGACACCCTGTGGGGTGTGGGAGCTACAAGGACATCAGGGGTCCTCACAGGCACGGACGTGGCAGCTCAGCTTTTGTGGCACGGTGGCCCTTCACAGGCCACGCCTCTGCTTAGGATCACATGCGCTGCGTGGTCCGTGGGGGCTGCAGGCCGTGGGAAGTTCGTTGTTGCTAACACGGTGCCCCTTCTCTTGCCACCCACCGGAAGTTGGTGAAAATGGCTTCCGAGTGCAACTGGTCGGACCCCCTGGTGGAGCTGCAGACCCTGACGCGGCTGACCCACTTCGCCCATGCAGCGCGTGACCATGAGACCACCATGGCCTGTGCTCACAGGGCTCTGGAGATGGGCATCAAGTACCTGAAGAAATTTGGGCCGTAAGTAACCCTCATGACTGGACAAATTCCCTCAAAACGGGCAGGGAGCGCAGGCCTGGGCCTCAATCACAGATCAGGGAGCAGGTGAGCGCCCCACCAGTTCCCCAAAACGGGCAGGGAGCGCGGGCCTGGGCCGCGATCACAGATCAGGGCGCGTGTGAGCGCCCCACCAGGTCCCCAAAACGGGCAGGGAGCGCGGGCCTGGGCGGCGATCACAGATCAGGGAGCAGGTGAGCACTCCACCAGGTCTCCAGGCCCAGTCCAGAAAGCTTCCCACAGGCCTCAGCCATGTGCACAGGCAGCCTCCGTCCTGCCGGCCCCGTGCCCTCATGGACAAGTCAGCAGTGGCCCCGTGGAAAGCTGGTCAGGAAGGATTCTGAAGTCACGTGGGCCTCAGCAGGAGGGGTGTGTGGCCTGCTGGCCGCGTGTGCATTGTAGGCACAGAAAGGGGGGGCCTCAGCCTTCAGAGGCTGGGACAAAGGGCCACAGACCGGGGGGCTCCCACCCCAGATGGTTCCTGCTCACAGTTCCGGAGGCTGGAAGTGCCATCGAGGTGTGGCAGATTCGGCGTCTGCGAGGGCCCCTTCCTGTCTCACAGACGGCGCCTCCCGCTGTGTCCTCACATGCGGGAAGGGGCAGGGCTCTCTGGGGTCCCTTTCATAAGGGACTAACCCTGTTTGTGAGGGCTCCATCCCCATGATCCAACCCCCCTCAAAGGCCATCAAAGGCCACCCCAACACCATCACTGTGGGGGTGAGGATCGCCCAGCATGGGAATTTTGAGGGGACACGGACACTCCGCCCATGGCAGGTCGAAGGGAATTTTGAGGGGATAGGGACATTCAGCAGGTAGACAGCTGCCATTTCTAACGACATACAGCTTTGAAGTAATTTTGAATAGACAGATATGCACGCTAATTAAATTTGAAAATAAATAAGGGTAATTTCAATGAAAGAAAATGGCCTCTGACTTGGGTCCCTCGCTCACTCTCCAGAGTCAGCCGTGCCGCCAGGTCCCCGTCGTCAGCATAGCTGGACACAGAACATTCTCATTCTTTAATTTTCACGGATCTCACTTTTAGTGGCTTACCGTGTTCCATCCAGTTGAGCAATTGTTATCATCCCTAATCTTTCCCCAATTTTTGAATATGAGGCTGTTTTCCATCTGTTGCTATTGTAAATGTTTCTGCAGTAAAGGTTGTTTTCCTTGAGGTTCTTTTTGGCTAATTTCCTGGGTCTAATAATCCTGGAAGATGAAACCGCTGACCCAAAGGCTGTAACGATGTTTTCTGTGGCCAAATGGCCAGCGTGGGCAGCACCTGCCGGAGGCAAGGAGCGCCCCAGGCCCACGCCCCATCTTCCCACAGCCCTGCACACCAGGACGGCTCCAGGGCCTGTGTCGGCCACACCCGTGGGGATGCGAGGCCAACATAGGAACGTGCCAAGATGCCTTTCACGTCGGCAACTTCCACGTGTCCGGGGTCTCCTGGGTGCTCAGAGGCACAAGCAGGCCAGTGCTCAGGACTGGATACCATGTACCAGGCCCCCCATTCACTCAGTGCCCAGCACGGGGCATCACGCGCCAGGACCCCATTCACTCTTCTCAGTGCCCAGGATGGGGCATCACACGCCAAGACCCCGTTCACTCTTCTCATTGCCCAGGATGGGGCATCACGCGCCAGGACCCCGTTCACTCTTCTCGGTGCCCAGGACGGGGCATCACGCGCCAGGACCCCGTTCACTCTTCTCAGTGCCCAGGACGGGGCATCACGCGCCAGGACCCCGTTCACTCTTCTCAGTGCCCAGGACGGGGCATCACGCGCCAGGACCCCGTTCACTCTTCTCAGTGCCCAGGACGGGGCATCACGCGCCAGGACCCCGTTCACTCTTCTCAGTGCCCAGGACGGGGCATCACGCTCCAGGACCCCGTTCACTCTTCTCAGTGCCCAGGATGGGGCATCACGCGCCAGGACCCCGTTCACTCTTCTCAGTGCCCAGGACGGGGCATCACGCGCCAGGACCCCGTTCACTCTTCTCGGTTGGCAGGCACTACTGTTCCCAGGCTCTAGAGCAGGAAATGGGCAGGCAGAGGCCAAGTTGCTTCTGAGGCCACCCAGCTGGGGTGAGTGGCAGAGCTGGGACTGAACCCAGGCGATGGGCTATAAGCACTGCCTTGGCAGGGGTGAGACTGCGAGTGCTCAGGAGGCTGCGAGCCCTGCCAGGAGCTGTGCACCTGGGACCCTGCCCTGCTGGCCTGGCACTGCCATGCGTGGTGCCCCACGTTCACAAGGGGGGCTAGAGGGAGAGCGTGGCAGCAAAGGGCCGGAGCAGAGTTGGTCTGGAGCCCAGTCCCGCTGTTTTCTCTTTGCCAACATCGACGGGCTTTTCACTGCAAATGATCTTTCTTCCAAAACAGTATGGACAGGATTCCATGCCAGGCCCCCCTCTTTGGCATCCCTCTGTTGGAGGCTAGAGGTTACATTTTCCCTGCAGCCTGTAATAAAAATCAATTTGCTTCCAAAAGGAAAACTCACCTCCTTTGATGTCCCTCCCTAGCCTTCCTTGCAGGTGGGGCTGGGGGTGCGTCCCCAGCCCTGCAGCTCTGGCATAAGCAGGAGATGCCTGCCACCCACCCTGGCCCCTCAGGCCCTGGATGTGCTGAGGCTGAAAATACATCTGCCTGGCTCTGGACATGCTGAGATACCAGGCCAGGATCAGAGGTGTCTCTGGAAGTCTCTGTCTGACACCAGGCTGAGATCAGAGGAGCAGGAAATAGAACTGCCCCAACCTTCTCAGCAGCCACCACTTGAAGCAAAAAGAAAATAGAACGTTCCACGTGGAGGTAATTGTCAGCCTGGAATTCAAGCTCACCCAAACCATCAGTCACATATCAGGTCAAAATAAGCCATTTTAGACAAAAGGACCCAGAGAGTGTACTTCCCATACACCATTTTTAGAAAGTTTCTTGAGGATATGATCCAGAAAAACAAGGAAGTAAACCAAAAAAAAAAAAAAAAAGGAAAGATATGTGGGATGCTAGAAATAACAGATTCAACCTAGAAAGGTAGTCAAGAGCTGTCCCCAGATGGACGCTGTGCGGAGAGAGCTGTCTGACTGCATTGGGTGGCTCAGGAGGACCCTGGGGAGGGCGGGGAGACAGAGTCCCTCATAGGACGGATGGGGACAGTTCAGAGGCGTACACCAGTTAGAGAGTCCGGGAAACCAAGTCATTTACAGCCGGACTCTCCAATGAGAAACATGGTGTTCACTGATATTCCACTTTTAGGATTAACTTGTTGACAAAGAAAGAAGCATTTTGACAAAAGGAAAGGATTGATTTTGACAATACAAAAGTGAAGGAAAAGCGCAGATAACATATGCTGGTAGAGCAGGAAGGACGAGCTAAGGGAAGCGTGGGTGTTGTGGTCCTCACCGGGAAGGTGAGTCACCAGGGTCACAGTGGGGACCAGAAGATGAGAGGCTGGCGTGACGTCGTAGGTGCCAAGGTGATAGGTGGGGATTAAGTGTCATGCGGTCACTGGCCACACAAGTCAGTTGGAAGGGGCTGCAGGGGGTCTGAGTGAGCTGAACTGCATTCACCCTCGTAAGGAGCCTGTAGGTCGAGGCTGCAGCAAGCCGTGATTGTACCACTGCGCTCCAGCCTGGGTGACACAGCGAGACTCTGTCTCCAAACAAAACAGAACAAACATTATTTCTAAGAGAAATAAACTACAAAGACAGCGTCATAGAGGTGAGGGTGCAGAGTGCTGCTGCATAAAGCCTCCTCATAACTGAGTTACAATTACTTCCCCAAGTGTGGAGGGCAGAGCGGCACACAACAGGAGGATGTGGGGGCTGGGCGCCCTGGCCGTGCCACTGCTGTGTAAATTGACTTAAAAATCATTTTTTCTGTTAAATTAGCTAAAGCTGTAAATTTAAACATATGGTGACAGGGAAAAGGAGAAGTCATATGAGACTGGAAAAATTGGATTTCCACGTTAAGACTTTGGAAAGTCCTTTGTGGACCATTGCTGTCCTCTAGTGGCCCTTGGTGTCATTGCGTCCCAGCGGGAGCCCCTCTGCCCTGGGCGCAGTGTTGGCGCCTTTCCACCAACCGCAGGTGGGTGCTCCTGTGTGCAGGCAGCCTGGGTGCCAGGAGACTGGAGAGAACCCGCAGGCGTGCTGCTCAGCAGGAGATGATGTGGTCACCTCGCTGGTCACTGTCAGAGCCACAGGCCCTTCCCCAGTCCAGCAGGACCCATGCCCACATCCAGCAGACGACCAGCCTTTGTAAGAGATACTTTAAAAAGTTTACACATATTTCAGTTCTTCATTCTAATTTCTTTCCGTTTTGAAAATTATGTGTAGAAACTCTAGCATGGAATTTGCCACAGAGTAGCTTTTATGATAGCATTTTACACTAATAGCAAAAATGGCTTTCTGTTCTTGGTGAAAAGTACAGCAGTTACGAATGAGTTCATATTCTCAATTGTGACTGTGTGGTTGCCAAATCAGTTTCGCATTTATGCTATTAGTGTCAAGGAATATATATTATACATTTCATGTAGATTATTAAAATACACACAAAATGGGTAAAGAACAATAGTCTTAAGAGTGTCATTTGGACCTTCCAACTCAGCTCAACATTTTTATTTAACGTAATCACCAACAGTGATTTTATATATATTCACATATCATATATTTATTATGTGTAATATATTTATATTTAATGTTGTTAATAATATAAATTTAAAAGTCACCTAGTTCCGGCCTTGAAAGCATAATGGGTATCGTACTCTTGTGCTGTGAAAAAGAAAAACTGTAAAACTTGAAAATATACGTGAGACAGTTGTTTTTAGCTGTTGGACAGCAGGCAGTACCAGGCAGCCATTCTTGCTAGAAGGAAATATCGGAAGTGGGCTCCGCATTCTGCCTAAGGGAGCTTCACATGCTGCAGCCTGGAGAGCGGGCCCAGATGGAAGAGTCGCGGGGAGAAACGGGTCAGGGCTTGGGCCCAGATGGATGGAAGAGTCGCGGGGAGAAATGGGTCAGGGCTTGAGGCTGTAGCAGCTGAGGTGTCCAGGATGTGACGCGGCAGGTGGGGTGGGGCCCTCGTTCTGTGGAGCCACCCATGAGTCTGTGCCTGTCTGGTGGTAAACTGTGTGTGCACAGGACTAGATTCCAGGCCTGGCAGAAAACAGGGATGGAGGGGTCTGTACGCTGACAAGATGCCAGAGGCCATCCTGCGCTAGAGAAGTTGGAGCTGTGGCCAGCTCACATTGGGGCGTAACTCACTGAACTCCAGGCATTCAGAAAGACACACCTTAGCAATGGGGTGAGAGAAGTTGGAGCTGTGGCCAGCTCACATTGGGGCGTAACTCACTGAACTCCAGGCATTCAGAAAGACACACCTTAGCAATGGGGTGAGAGAAGTTGGAGCTGTGGCCAACTCACACTGGGGCGTAACTCACTGAACTCCAGGCATTCAGAAAGACACACCTTAGCAATGGGGTGAGAGAAGTTGGAGCTGTGGCCAGCTCACATTGGGGCGTAACTCACTGAACTCCAGGCATTCAGAAAGACACACCTTAGCAATGGGGTGAGTGCAGACTCACCCCAACAAAGCCTAAACCACATCTCAGTAGGATGAAGCTGAGCCACCAGTAATTAACTGCCTGTCAGAACAAAACCCAACACTCTTTAAAGGAAGTGGACACAATCCACACTTTCAGCAGCAGAGCCCTCACGACGTCCAGCATAAAGTAAGAAATTACTAGATGTGTGCAAAAGCAAGAAAATGTGGCTCATAACCAGGAAGAAAAGAGTAGAATAGAAAAAACAGCCAACAGACCCAGCTGTGGTGTATGTTGACATGAGCAGATGAGGAGTTGAAAACAGCTACTGTCAATATAATCAGATTTTCAATGGAAATAACTAGTGTACAGACAGGAATTTCAATAAAGAATGGAACCGATAATAAAATCACTGAATGGAATTCCTAGAAATGAAAAATAAAGTGTCTGAAATGCAAACGCCACTGGAAGAGTGTTATCATCAGGCTGGACGCTGAAGAATGATCAGTAACTTCGAATCCAGGCCAGTGGACTATGAAAACCGAAGCACAGGGAGAAAAACGGAGAAACTAAATGAACAGAGCTTCCCGTCTGTGACCCGTGGGGCCACAGAGCTTTCCGTCTGTGACCTGTGGGGCCATAGCAGGGGGTCTAACCTGAGTGTAACTGGAGTCTCAGGAGGACAGAGGCAGCAGGGGGAGGCCAAAATACACACGTTTGAAAACATAATGGCTGAAAATTTTACAAGTTGAATTAAAAATATCAACCTGGAGATCCAAGACTTTCAAGGAATCCCAAGTGGGATAAACGCAAAGAAAACCACACCTGGCTCCATCGTGGGGGAATTGTAGTCACATTGCTGAAGACCAAAGACCGGGAGCAGATCCTGGAAAGGAGTTAGCATGGGGACGGATTTGTGCATACAGGAAAACCAGGGCAAGAGCTGCTGCTGACTTCTCATCAGAAATGATGCAAACCAGAATACAAAGGATGACAGTTTTTAAGTGTTAAAAAAAGAAAACCTGTCAGTCTAGAATTCTATATCCGCCAGCAATAGTCCTCACAAATGAAGACAGAATCAAGACATTTTAAGATTAATAAGAGCTAAGAGGATCCATTCCCAGCAGATCCTCAGAAGAGGACATGCTAGAGGAGATGAAAAACACCAAAAATGGTAAATTTGGGGGTAAACATAAAAGACTTTTTTCCCTTTCAGTTCTTAAATTCTTCAAGAAACACTTGACCTTTTAAAGCAAAAATAGCATCCTATTGTGGGATTTTTCATAAATATAGAGGCAAGATGCAGGGCAGTGGAAACACACAGGGCGGGCTGAGAGGCAGCGATTCCGAGGGCCCTCGTGCCACACGTGACGTGGAGTAGGACTCAGGTGAGGTAGAGCCGTGGTTGGTGAAGGATGCACACTGCAATCCCTAGAGCAAATGCTAACAAATGGAATAAAGCAAAGAGATGTAACTAAAAATCTAATAGAGGATATGAATTGGGATACTAAAAAATATTCCATTCATGCAAAAAAAGGGAAGAAAGGAACAAAGAACATGTAAGTCAAAAGGAAAGCAAGGACCAAATGGTGGATTTGACCCATATCAGTCATTCCATTAAACGTAAACGAACCAACACTGCAGTTAAAATGCAGTTTATCTCACAGAACATAGGAGCAAGACCCAATGATAAAGTACGTACAGGAGACCCTCTTCAAATGTAAAGACACAGATACAGAACATAGGAGCAAGACCCAATGATAAACTACGTACGGGAGACCCTCTTCAAATGTATAGACACAGATTGAAGGTAAAAGGATGGGAGAGAGGCACTCTGCAAGTGCCAACCACAAGAAAGCTGGTGTCCGGTTAAACGGCCCAGGCACGCGATCCGAGGTAGACATTCCTCATGATGAAGGATTCAATCTTCAAGAAGACATAAAAATGCTAAATGTGTGTTCACCTAATAGCAGAGCTTGAAAATACAGGAAGTAAAACATGGATACGTCTACGATTCTAGCTGTAGATTTTAACATTCCTCTCTCAGCAGCTGACAGAACAAAGTAGGGGGGAAGTCACTGAGGCTACAGATGGAAGGAACAGACCTCACTCATTGGCATTTATGGAACACTCAACAACTGCATAACCCAGATCAAAATGTTTAGGACGGCAGTACCCAGGAAACTGAACTCTCCTTCCTGCCCTGCCTAGGTCGCCATGCCCGCCTTAGAAGGTGGTTTCAGCTTCAGACCACCGGCTTGCATTGGGCACTGCAGGCCCATGCAGGCCAAGGGGCAGCGCCTTCCTCCTTTGACTCCTTTGGGACAGAGGGGCAGAAGTGGCTGTCTGCTCCTGCAAGCAGATTCCTGGCTCTGGGACCCTGGCCCATGAGGGGAGTCTACCCGTGAGCCAGCATCTTTCTCATAGAATAAATCTGGTGCCTCCTCTGAGCTGAGCCGCAAGGGCGTGCTCCCCCATCCATGGCGAGAATCCTGCCTTAGTGTGTGTGGCGTTGCAGCCCCAGCCACGGCAGCCCTGGAGCAGCGAACGTCCAGGGATGAGGAGCCGTGGAGCTGATGCTGCTGTTGACACCCAGGAGTGTGCACCTGGCCAAGCTCTGGGTGCAGAGTGGACCTTCTGGGGCCAGACTTCCATGTGGGCTTGGGCAGCAGGGCTCTTAGAGGGGAGAGGCCCCAAAAGAGGGGCTGGTTCTGTGGATCTGTTGCTGCACAAGTCCCTCTAAAGATTAGTCATTAAAAAAACAGTTAATGATTCTGCCCCATGGTTCTGGGGGCTGACTGGACACAGCTAGTTAGTTTTGGGTTGGGGTCGCTCATAAGGTTACTGTGAGAGTCAGCTGGGGTGACAGTCTTGAGGGTCCACTAGCTGGATGTCCCCATAGCCCACTCCCACCCTTGCCATGTGACTGCCAGCTCCGTGGTTGAGAGCATTCCCAGGGCGGCTGTCTCCGGCACCCAGGCCACACGTGGGCACTCCAGGCCTCAGAAGACCAGGAGCCCCTTGCCCTGCATCCCTGCAGTCTAGCAAGTCCCTGAAGCTGACTCAGATTCGGGGAGGGCGGAGCCCTGTGCACATGTGCTTGTGGGCCAGGAGGTGCCCCATCTTAGAATACCACCTGTGTAGTCCACAGTTCAAGACAGTGACCCAGGGAGGGAGGACCCAAGGTGGGCCACAGTGGCCTCCCTCCTCACTGGCCCTGTTCCTGCAGCGAGGAGTCCCGGCTGGTGGCAGAGATGCTGTGCACAGCCACGGCCATCCAGGGCAGGAGCATCATGGAAAACCTGAAGGGCCGGAAGCAGCTGCGACTGGTGGCAGCCAAGGCCTTCACGGAGAGCGCCAGGTGTGTGGCTCTAAGGGGCTGGGGTGGGCTCTGTCCCTCCCCGGCCGTGCGGGACCCCTGTGCTCACCAAGGCTGTGGCCCATCCTGTGGGCCCAAGGGAGGGCTCCTGCCGGCGAGGGGAGGTGGCCGGTGCGGCCAGTTCAGGGCACAGTCTTCAGGGAGGTGCAGCGGCCCCCTCTTGCCCTTGTACCCACCTGGGCTCCTACAGCCTGGCCTTGGTGGGGGTCTGACCTCGTGCTGCCCAGAAAGGCCCACTGGAAAGGATGCAGCAGGGACTCCTGAGCAAGCCACATGCCCAGGAGGGAGCGAGCGTGTGGCTGGGCCCTGGGCGCCCGACCTTCCTGTCCCTCCTGGTCCAGCAGCTCCAGGTGGGCCCAGGTGGAGCCACCGCGTCATGACCTGCCCTCTTTTAGGTTCGGAGGCATCGCGGGCAGCAGCGCCCTGGTGATGCTGGCCGCGCGGCATTACTGGAACGCCTGGCTCCCACTGCTGTCCTCAGCCGTCTACAGGAAGAAGGCCAAGGGTGCCCTGAAGAGGCTCATCGGCATCATCAACAAGACAGAGGCCAGAAAGCAGGTGCACCAGCCCTGGAGGGGGCTCCTGACTCCCACTGAGGCCTCTAGTGGGTCTTCCAGAAAGGACCGGAGAGACTCCCAAAGAAAGACAGACCCCACAGGCCTCCCAGAGGGTGCACCAGCACCAGCCGAGGAGGGGAGGGGGTTAAGGGGGGTCTCCAAGTCCCAGCACTGCGGGGGCCCCTGCTGGACTCGGTGCTCAGACCTGACCTCTCCCAGCAACACACATGCACCGAGGGGCTCTCAGCCCTGGAGACACACAGCAGCGGGTAGAGTGAGGCCAGCACAGTCCCTGCCTTAAGAGGCTTGGATTCTAGGCAGGGAGGACAGGCCCCACCTGCCATGAGAGAGGGTGGCCCTGAGAACAGCAAGCAGAGGGCAGGGCAGGGGGCGGGGGCTGGGCCACAGGTGCCTCTGGCGGCTTAAGGCAGAGTGGGGTGGCGGGGAGTGGAGCCCCCAAGGCCCAGGGGATGGGGCAACCCAGGGAGGACGGTTGAAGGAGAGGGGCCAAGTGGACCCAAGAGTGCACCTCCTTCTAGGGCTGTTGGAGGGAGGCTAGGCATGGGTCCTGGAGTGGTCCTGCAGGCCTCTCCAAGAGCAGGAGCCTGGCCAGCTTCTCGCTGGGCACAGACTGGCAGGACAAGCCTCAGCCTTGTGGACTGGGCTTCCTGAGCAGGCGCTGGAGTTGGTGAAGGCTTCGTGCTCCTGGCTCACAGGTCTGTGGATGCAGCTCCCTGCTGGGAGATGGGGAGGCATCCCGCTCCTCCTGGAAAGAGGCTGAGACTCTCGGGTTGGGGTCAGTCTCCAGACCAGGGCTGAGCCAGACCAGCCCACTCTGAGCTCTCTTCTGCTGGCCTCAGCTGTAACCAGGAATCAGGAGTCAGCCACAGAGAACCCACAAAACGGGGCCCTTCTAAGAGAAGCAGAGCTGCATAACCCAAAGCTCCAGTGGGAGGAGGAGGACGGGAGTGGGGCACCAGACAGCAGGCAGAGACAGTGGGTGCGGCTACAGAAGCCGCTGCGCTGGATCCTCAGATGCATGCCCAAGGCAGCTTCTTGGCCTGACTTTGAAAAGGCTGTGTCGGGGCCTCTGGGCTGTCCAGCCCACCCCAGCCTCTCTCCCCATGCTGGCCTCCTCCGGGGGACTGCCTCCTCATCCAGTGTGGTCTAGGCAAAGGGACCCTCCTCGGCTGGCTCCCCCAGGAAGCCTGGGTCTGAGCTCTGTGCAGAGCTGCCTCTGGAGCCAGACTGGAGAGTACGGAGGCAAGCCAAGGCTGCTCCACCTGGCCTGCCGACCTGCCAACCTGCCAACCTGCCAACCCACACATGGCCATCCTGTGGGCCAGATGCAGCTTCCTGGCCCCAGGGCTTAGCCTCCCACTGGCGCTGCCCAGCACATTTTCTGGCTGCCCAGGAAGACCAGAGTAGATTTTTACTGCTTGTGACCAAGAGTCCTGGCTGACCTAGATATGCGGTTCCTACCAACCTGCGGTGTGCGGCGGGGCCTGTGAAGGGAGAGCCCACGGACAGTGAGGGCCGTAGCAGACGGAGGTTCATGCCAGAGAGCCTCAGGACAGAGCCTGCATATTAATCCCTCAGCAGATACCTGATTTGCAAGTATTTTCTCCCATTCTCTGGGTTAACTTTTCACTCATTTGATCATGCCATTTGATGCATAAATGTTCCTAATTTTTAAGAGGTTCAGTTTATCTATTTTTTCTTTTGTTGCCTGTGTCTTTGGTGTCATATCCCTGGTCCTGCTACATCTAATACCATGAGGATTTTCTCCATTATTTTCTTCTAAGAATTTTGTAGCTTTAGCTCTTAAGTTTAGATCTTTGATCCATTTGAGTTAAGTTTTGCATATGGTATTAGGTAAAGGTTCAACATCAGCCTTTTCCATGTGGATATCCAGTTTTTCCAGCACCACTTGAAGAGACTGTGCTTTCCCTAGTGAATGGTCTTGGCACTGTTGCTGAAAATAATTTGACCAGAAATGCAGGGATTTATTTTGGGGCTCTCTATTCTATTTCACCGGCCTGTATGGTATCATTTTGCCAACACTATGCTATTTGAGTCACTGTAGCTTTGTCATATGTTTCCAAGTTGGGAAGTGTGGGTCCTCCAACTTTGTTCTTTTTCAAGATTGTTTTAGCTGTCTGGGGCCCCTTGCAATTCCATATGAATTTGAGGATCAGTTTTTTAATTCCATATGAATGTGAGGATCATTTTTTAAAATTATATATATTTTTAAAAAGACTATTGTAACCCATAGGGATTGCGTTGAATACTGCTTTGGGTAGTATTGACATTTTAACAATGTTAAGGCTTCCTATCCATGAACATGGTCTATCTTTTTGTTTATTTAGATCTTTAATTTCTTTCAGCAACCTTTTATAGTTTTTAGCATGTAAGTCTTTCACCTCTTTGGTTAGATTTATTACTAAGTATTTAATTTTTTAAGGTGCTGTTATAAACAGGAATGCTTTCTGTCTTAGCTTGGGCTGCCATAACAAAATACCATAGACTGGATGGCTTAATTTATTTATCAAAGTCTGGATCTGGAAGTCTGAGATCAGGGAGCCAGCGTGGCTGGGTTCTGGTGAGGAACATCTTCCTGGCCATCAATGCCTGGATGCCTTCTCACTGTGTCTTCATGTGGCACACACAGCCTGGCTGCCTTCTCACCATGTCTTCATGTGGCACACACAGCCTGGCTGCCTTCTCACTGTGTCTCATGGCACACAGAGCCTAGCTGCCTTCTCGCCGTGTCTCATGGCACACAGAGCCTGGCTGCCTTCTCACCGTGTCTTCATGTGGCACACAGAGCCTGGCTGCCTTCTCACCATGTCTTCATGTGGCACACAGAGCCTGGCTGCCTTCTCACCATGTCTTCATGTGGCACACAGAGCCTGGCTGCCTTCTCACCGTGTCTTCATGTGGCACACAGAGCCTGGCTGCCTTCTCGCCGTGTCTCATGGCACACAGAGCCTAGCTGCCTTCTCGCCGTGTCTCATGGCACACAGAGCCTGGCTGCCTTCTCACCGTGTCTTCATGTGGCACACAGAAGGAGAGAGCAAGCTCTCTGGTGTCTTTTCTTAAAGTGCACCAACTTCATTGTGAGGACCCCACTCTCGTGACCTTATCTAACGTCAATTACCTCCCAGAGGCCCTGTCGCCAAATACCACCACAGTGAGGGTTAGAGTCTCAGGATATGAATTTTGGGGGCACACAGCTCAGTCTATAGAACTTTCTTTCTAATTTCATTTTTGGAGTTTTCATTCCTGGTGAATAAAAACACAGCTGATTGTTGTGTGTTGATCTTGTGCCCTGCAACTTTTCTGAATTCATTAATTGGCTCTAATAGTTTTCTTGTGGATTTGTAAGAATTTTCTCTGTATAGGATCATGTCATCTGTGAATAGAGATAGTTTTACCTCTTCTTTTCCAGTATAGCACACACAGCCTGGCTGCCTTCTCACCGTGTTCTTTCTTGTTGTTGTCCAGTAGCTCTGGCCAGAGCCTCTGGTGGAATAGCAGCAGTGGAAGCAGTGGCCTTGTCTTGTTCCTGGTCTTAGTGAGAGAGCTTCAGCCTCACCATTGCATGTGACGTGAGCTGTGGGTCTTTCCATAAGGACCCTTTATCATGTTGAGGAATTTTCTATTTCTAGTTTTCTGAGAGTTTTTATCATGAAATAGTGTGGGTCTTGCCAAATGCCTTTTCTCTGTCAATTGAGCCGGTTGTGTGGTTTTTCTCCTTTGTTCTGTTAATGCTGAATACTGTGCATCACGCTGACTGATCTGCACACAGTGAGCCACCATTGCATCTCTCATAAATCCTACTTGGTCATTATAAGTCATCTTTTTAATATGCTGTTGGATTTCATTTGCTAATCTTTTGTGGAGGATTTTTGCACCTGTATTCATAAGGGATATTGATCTATAATTTTCTTTTCTTGTGATGTCTTTATCTGGATTTGATAGCAGAGTAATGCTGGCCTCATAGGGTGAACCCAGGAGTGTTTCTTTTTCTTTAAATTTTTGAAGAGTCAATAAGGATTGTTGCTAATGCTTCTTTAAATGTTTGATGGGAGTCACTGATGAAGCCATATAGTCCAGGATTTTTCTTTATTAAGAGGCTTTTGATTACTAATTTAATCTCTTATTATAAGTCTGTTGAGATTTTCTATTTCTTCCTGAGTCAGTCTGGGTGTGTTTGGAGGGATTTGTTCATTTTTTCTAGATTATCTAATTTGTTGGTGTGCAAATGTTCATAGGATTTTCTTATAATCCTTTTTATCTCCCTGAGGTCGGTAGTAATGTCTCCACTTGCCTTACTTATTTTAGTTATTTGAATAGTCTTTCTTTTTTTTTTGTCAGTTAGCTAAAGGCTTGTCAATTTTGTTGATCTTTTTGAAGAACCAACTTTTAAACAGTAGATTTTCTTTATTGTTTTTCTGTTATCTATTTTTGTCTGTGCTCTGATCTCTATTATTTCCTTCCTTCTGCTAGTGTTTTAGTTCCTTATGATGTAAAGTTGATTATTGAGTTGAGATCCTTCTTTAATACAGCATTTACAGTGGTGAACTCCCTCTGAGATTGGCTCTCACTGCCTCCCGTAAGTTTTATCTAATGTGCTTTTCATCACATTGATTTAGAGCCATGAAACCAACTTAGATGTTCCATGTCATTGAAAAAGCTCTCAATTATGTTAGGGGAGCAGTTGCAGACTTTTTGTGACTTAGTATTTCAGAAATTTAGCTGCAATATCTGTAACTAGATAGAGCCAAATTCTTAGCAGCAGATATATTTGAGTCACACACCACCAAAGTACATTACCAGCGGCAAATCCACAGGGGGCTGCAGCAACCTCAAAGCGTGTTACCAGCGGCGAACCCTCAGGGGGCTGCAGCAACCTCAAAGTGTGTTACCAGTGGCAAACCCACAGGGGGCTGCAGCAACCTCAAAGTGTGTTACCAGCAGTGAACCCACAGGGGGCTGCAGCAACCTCAAAGTGTGTTACCAGTGGCAAACCCACAGGGGGCTGCAGCAACCTCAAAGCGTGTTACCTGCGGCAAACCCACAGGGGGCTGCAGCAACCTCAGTTCTTGCCTCCTCAGAAGAAAGACTTCAACTGAGGAGCATAAAGCAGAAGGAGAGACAGAGGCAAGTCTTAGAGCAGGAGTGAGAGTTTATCAAAGAGCTTTAGAACAGGAAAGAAAGTACACTGGGAAGAGGCCGAGCGGGAGACCTGAGAGATCACGTGCATGGCTCACCTTTGACTTGGGGGTCTCACACTGTTGCGGGACTTTTGCTCAGTTCAGCTAAAGACGGGGTCCTTGTCACATTGCCACAAAAGATGAGGCTCATAGACAATTTGAAGGGTGAGAAAGGCAGGATTTTATTGGGTAGAAAGGAAGAAAAAAGGGAAACAGAGACTCTTAGTGAAGCGAGAGAGTGTTTCCTGCCAGTGCACTTCCCACCTCACCAAATGAATCCCAGGTTCACCCAGGAGGAGGAGGGGCCAGGCTCCTCCCCGCTGCAAGTGGCGTGAGCCTCTGTGGCTCCACCCCAGTGCACATTCCTCCCAGTGAGCAGCTGATCAGAGATTCTCTGGGGACCCCTTCCCACCTGGCTGTCTCAATACATTGGCTGACTTCCAGCGTATTGCATGATTTCTCCCCAGATGCTTCCCTTGCAGTGGACTGTCCACGTGTACGGTGGCTGCCTGCACTTGGGAGGGGCCGCATGCCCAGTGTGTTTACTGGAGTTTTGCACGTGCTCAGTTGAGGTGGTCCCTTACCAGTCACGGTGTTCCTAGAGGAAGGTCATAGACCAGTGAAACTCCGCCATTTTGCCTCTCAGTGTGCGTGCTTGAGCCCGCTCACCCAACTCCTGAGATCTTATCGGGAAGCTACTCATTACCAGTTTTAGGTTTTTTATGTCTCTTGGGAGATGGCCTTTCCCTGGTGCTGGCTGAGACCAGTTATTATTTTAGAGAGACAGTTAACAGCTGCCTGACCATCACCTGATGGTTGCCTGAAGTTCCTGGTGTGGGGCGGGGGGCCTCTCCTGCCCCACTCATGTTTGACTAGCTACCTACTATAACAAAATGAAAAGCAAAATGGTGTCAACCTAAAAGGAAGAAGCTGAGGCAAAACTGGTGTAAATAGAGAGTTTACCTGGGCCAAGTTTGACGGTTGTAATCCGGAAGCATCGATTCAAGCGGCGCTGAACGTGCACTCCAATCAGAGGCAGTTCCAAGTGGGTTTTTAAAGGGAATTAAGAGGCAGTTCCTGAGTTGTTTGCCAAAAATTTACATTAAAATAACTTAAGTTATTAATTGGCTGTAGATTGTTAAGCTTTAGAATTTGGCAATAGTGGCCGGTACAACATTGTCAGGTTAATTTACAGCTGCTTATGGCAATAGCAAGCAGTTTAAGGAGAGGAACACAGAGCTCAGAGGGGGAGTTTCTTATCTCATGGTGAAAGACTGTCTTGCAACTTTCAAATATACGTGTCGTTTACTTGCGTTACTTTAGGAGAAAGGAAAGACGCTGCTTCTGCACCAGTGGCCCACGGCCGACTTCCAGGGTGGCGGGACGACCGAAGGATATTTTCTTCCAGGTTTGTAGCAGGACAGACAGACCCACAGGCTCCAGGTACAAGGAAAGGGAAGGACTTGAGCCAATTTTAAACGTGGTGCTTTTAAATTCCCATGCCCTGACGTGAAGCCACTTGGCAGTAACTCCAGATAATGTCTGTTCAGCATCTGATGCATGCCAGGCGCCTGAGTGCTCTTCAGGAATGAGCCCATGAAATTCCCTTTCAACGTGCAATGAAGCCAGAGCCGGGACCTTCTGACTGTCCATGAAAACAGTCAAACTCTGTAACTATTGGAAGAGATTGATGCTGAGCCACGTGTGAGGAGCATGACCCGTGACACAGCCCCTGGAGGTCCTGAGAACTTGGGCCCAAGGTCGTTGGTTTATAGCTTGATTTTGTACATTTTAGGGGAACAGGAGTTACAGGCAGAGACATCAATGCATGTCTGGTGCACATTGGTTTGGTCCAGAAGGTGGGACAACTCAGAGGGGAGGCTTCCAGGTCACTGGTAGATTCAAGATTTTCTGATTGACAATTTGTTGAAAGAGTTATTATCTAAAGACCTGGAATCAATAGAAAGGAATGTCTGGGTTTAGATGAGGAGTTGTGGAGACCAAGGTTTTTATCTTGCAGATGAAGCCTCCAGGTAGCCGGCTTCCGAGCTCTTCTCAGACAAAAAGGCACCAGACTCTTGGTTAATTCTCCCCTGGCTCAGGGAAAAGCCCTGGAGAGGGAAAAGGGCATTCTCCACAGCATGTGGATTTTCCCCACAAGAGACAGCTGTGCGGGCCCCTTCAAAATATGTCAGAGAAAGATACTTGGGTATGAAATACTTGGATCTCTTTCAGGCCTGCTATCTGTCATGCGATGCTATGCTAGAGTCAGGCTGGAACTTGGTGTCTTACGGCTACAAAGCGTCCACTCTGTCAGCCTTAAGAGCTCTGTTTTCATGTGGATGCTGGTCCATTGTGCCTGAGCTCCAAAGGGAGAGGGGATGATGAGGCCTGTCCACCCTTGCCCCCTACCACCCCCGACCCCACCAAACTCGTTTTTCAGGCATACTTCAGAAGGCCCTTGGCCGAGAGGAGGGCCCATTCAGTCGGTTGGGGGGCTTAGAATGTTATTTTTGGTTTACATGAACCTTGTCCAGGGCCACACACCCCTGAGTGCAGAGTGGGCACTGTCCCCCTGGTCGTGGCTGCCGCGAAGTCTGGCCTCTAGGCTGTGCTCACAGATAAATCGCATTTTTCTACTTCCACAAAAAACGTGGACACACACTCCTGCAAAAACAAACACACAAAAACGCATACTGACTTCAGAACAATAGAACCATATTAGAATACCAATTCATGTTTATAGAAAAAAAATTGTCTGCTAAAAAAAATTATCCCTGTTAAGAGTCCTAAGGTGTATTTGGGAAATCTTTAAATGCTGTGGAATAGAAAAGTGGAACCTACCTTGAGCATTAGAGTCTATTTAGAGAAGCAAAGTTGATTTAAAATAATAAACAAAAGTGTGGCCATGTGTAATTACTAAGGTGAGTACTAACCCCAGCAGTGTGTGTGGTTTGCTGGTCCTGCAGGCATGAGCCCGACGCACACGGCAAGTCCGTCCACTGAGAGGCTAGGCTGCAGCAGAGGAAGGGTTAATCCTAGGGTTGCTGAGCAGGAGATGGGGATACAGCCTCAGACCCACCTCCCTGAGGAGTTTGGGGATAGGGGTCTCGAGGGTTTTGGAGAGGACGGAAGTGTGGAAGAGCGCAGGGTCTTGGGAAGGCATTCCTGGGCCAATCCCTACCCGCTCCTCTGGGGGGGACTCCGCACTGGTTGCTGGCATTCAGGGTCTGAAAAATATCCTAAGTGATCCTTCAACCAAAGCCTTAGGGTTCTGACGTCAGAGGCCCATCATAGGAGTGACGGGGGTCCAAGTGACTTTTAGCAGCAAGGATGTGTCCAGGGTGCAGCCTGGTTACTGCTCAGTCATAACTACTTTCTGTCCACAACCCGGCATGTGATTCTTGTCAGCCCTGTGGGGTGTTTCACGAGGACAGAGATGTGGATCAGGGCACTGGGGAGGCAGAAGGCAGCCCAGACCCCTTCAGTACGTGGCTCGGGCAGAGGAGGCTGTGGAGGGTGTTTTGTGCCTCTGGGCAGCCCAGACCCCTTCAGAATGTGACCCGGGCAGAGGAGGCTGTGGAGGGGGGTTTTGTGCCTCTGGGCAGAACCTGGAAGCCACGCTATATTTTACTCCTTTCACCAAAATAAACATCAGACAGGTCGAATAAGTCGTTTTAAAAATTCAAATTCTAGAAAAAAATCAGAAAGTAGAATTGAGCATAGCAGAGATTTTGTGGAAAGGAGCACTTTTCACAGATACGAAAATGTACGCTCCTGAATCCTGATAAGTGCAGAACAGTAAGAAGTGAACAGACGGGAAGATACTCACACCACGTCTGGCAGCTAAATGCTTAGCGTCCAGGCCGCATCAATACTTTAATCAGGCGGGACGGCCATGCTGTGCTGTGGAAACACGAGGCCCAGAGCTCAGCACAGGCACATTCCTCCTCATGCACAGTCCACGGCCCTCACCCACCCGGAGGCACCATGGAGCTGACGGCCTCCGGGGAGGAGGAGACGGTCCACAGGAATGCATGAGGGGTGGGGTCCGGCTGCAGTGCCTCCGCCCGTGAATTGGATGTGTACTGGGTGGTCCCAGGACATGGCTGTGGGTCAATCAGGAGGTCACACCTCAAAGTGAGCCCTCCACTTAGGCAGGATTGAAGAGGACTCCCTGCGACCCTATGTGTGGTTTCCAAGTTCATTGGACCCTGGTTTAATGAATTCAAGCAGGAGGAAGCAGGGCTCAGGGTTCCCAAGTTTCAGACGCAGACCCGCTTCTCTGGCCAGTGCCTGGGTGAGGAGGGCCTGGCAGAGTGTGAAGGCCACAGTGAGCCCACAGATCCCAGCATCCAATGGGGTGCCGCCCTCCTAGCCATGGGTGCCTTCCTTCCAGCCATGGGCACCTCTGCTCCCTAGACCCAGCCGGTCGGCTCTGGAGAATGCAGTCTCATGAAAAATGAGTCAGAGAAGGGAAAGAAGTCTCCACACTCTGTGACGTAAGCCTCGGTGGTCCAGGTGCTGGCACCAGAGGCGGGTCCTGCTGATAGCATGACGGGGCTGGTGCAGGATGACACGGACTCCAGCCCTCAGCACTGTGGCCTGCAGAGTGCTGGGGGAGGGCGCTGGGAGAAAGGGGTTTGTCTTTCCTTGGGGTCATACTGTTTATCTTTAAAATTACAGAAAAGCACCAGACTTCTGAAAAGAGAAAGGGCGTGAGGGGCTGCGTAGTCTGAGAAGGCTCCAGAGGGTGGGTGGAGGCGGGAGCCTTCCTGACCTGGCCCAGAGACCCGCAAGCAGCACAGCAGGGCCAGTGGGGGTGGCAGGTGCAGGCGGCAGGGGTGAAGGTGGCAGGTGCAGGCGGCAGGGGTGAAGGTGGCAGGTGCAGGCGGCAGGGGTGAAGGTGGCAGGTGCAGGCGGCAGGGGTGAAGGTGGCAGGTGCAGGCGGCAGGGGTGAAGGTGGCAGGTGCAGGCGGCAGGGGTGAAGGTGGCAGGGGTGAAGGTGGCAGGTGCAGGCGGCAGGGGTGCAGGCGGCAGGGGTGAAGGTGGCAGGTGCAGGCGGCAGGGGTGAAGGTGGCAGGTGCAGGCGGCAGGGGTGCAGGCGGCAGGGGTGAAGGCGGCAGGGGTGAAGGTGGCAGGGGTGCAGGCGGCAGGGGTGCAGGCGGCAGGGGTGCAGGCGGCAGGGGTGAAGGTGGCAGGTGCAGGCGGCAGGGGTGAAGGTGGCAGGTGCAGGCGGCAGGGGTACAGGCGGCAGGGGTGAAGGTGGCAGGTGCAGGCGGCAGGGGTGAAGGTGGCAGGGGTACAGGCGGCAGGGGTGAAGGCGGCAGGGGTGCAGGCGGCAGGGGTGCAGGCGGCAGGGGTGAAGGTGGCAGGTGCAGGCGGCAGGGGTGAAGGTGGCAGGTGCAGGCGGCAGGGGTGAAGGTGGCAGGGGTACAGGCTATGGAAGCACCCAGGATGGGAGCCAGGTGAGGGGTGGCAGGGTGTGGAGACAGCCAGGAAAACCCAAGACCCGCTACCATTAGACGGGGTGGAGCCCGCATTGGTGCCCACTATGGTTCTCGGGCGCTCGATGCAGCAGAAATTGACTTGAGATCCAAAGAGTTTTCCAGACGAGGCTTCACTGAAGCTTATTCCTGGGATGAGAGAGGGAGAGGGGAGAGGGAGAGAAGAGGAGAGAGAGAGGAGGGGAGAGGAGAGAGAGAAGAGGGGAGAGGAGAGAAGAGGGGAGAGGAGAGAGAGAAGAGGGGAGAGGAGAGAGAGAGGAGCGGAGAGAGAGAGGAGCGGAGAGAGAGAGGTGAAAGAGGAGAGAGGAGAGGAGAGAGAAGAAGGGAGAGGAGAGAAGAGGAGAGAGGAGAGGAGAGAGAAGAAGGGAGAGGAGAGAAGGGGAGAGGAGAGGAGAGAGAAGAAGGGAGAGGAGAGAAGAGGGGAGAGGAGAGAAGAGGGGAGAGGAGAGGAGAGAGAAGAAGGGAGAGGAGAGAAGAGGGGAGAGGAGAGAGAGAAGAGGGGAGAGGAGAGAGAGAGGAGCGGAGAGAGAGAGGAGAGGAGAGAGAGAGGAGAGGAGAGAGAGAGGTGAAAGAGGAGAGAGGAGAGGAGAGAGAAGAAGGGAGAGGAGAGAAGAGGAGAGAGGAGAGGAGAGAAGAAGGGAGAGGAGAGAAGAGGGGAGAGGAGAGGAGAGAGAAGAAGGGAGAGGAGAGAAGAGGGGAGAGGAGAGAGGAGAGGAGAGAGAGAGGAGAGGAAATAGGCGAGAGGGGAGAGAGGAGAGGAGAGAGAGAAGAGGGGAGAGGAGAGAGAAGAGGGGAGAGGAAAGAAGAGGGGAGGAGAGAGGAGAGGAGAGAGAGAAGCGAGAGAGGAGAGAGAGAAGAGGGGAGAGGAAAGAAGAGGGGAGGAGAGGAGAGGAGAGAGAGAAGCGAGAGAGGAGAGAGGGGAGAGAAGAGGGGAGAGGAAAGAAGAGGGGAGGAGAGAGGAGAGGAGAGAGAGAAGCGAGAGAGGAGAGAGAAGAGGGGAGAGGAGAGAGAGAAGAGGGGAGAGGAAAGAAGAGGAGAGAGGAGAGAGAGAAGAGGGGAGAGGAAAGAAGAGAGAGGAGAGAGAGAAGTGAGAGAGGACAGAGGAGAGGAGAGAGAGAGGTGAAAGAGGAGAGAGGAGAGGAGAGAGAGAAGTGAGAGAGGAGAGGAGAGAGGCCAGAGAGAAGATGAGAGGAGAAAGAAGAGAGAAGAGAGCAGAGAGAGAGGCGAGAGAGAGAGAAGAGAAAAGAGAGAAGACAGATCCTTCACTGACCTCTGAAAGAGCTGGGAGGGTGTGGGAATTACCGTCAGGGGAAGGGTGTGCAGGCTGGGCTGGGCAGCGCCCATGACGGGGAGGGGACGCGTCAGCATTCTAGTCGCCATGGCTGTGTTGGGTCGGGGGCAGCAACAAGGCACAGACCCGCCACTCAGCACCCCTTCCCGAGGTGGGGCCTCCATGGCCTTGGTTTGATGTTTTGGATCTCCCGGGGCTCTTGGAATCCTTGAGGTAAAAGGACTCTTGGCCGGAAGGTGGCAGAGTGGGCTGGGTTCTGTGCTCACTGGGGATGTGTGAGGGATGCGGCCCTGTGTTCACCCCGTCTCTTCAGGGCCCTTCAAGTTCATCTGCAGCTCGCCCAGACACTGAGGGTTCCATCCCACCAGGATCCACCCTGCTGGCTTCGTGCATTTGGGGGCACTGATGGCCCACAGGGCGCCCTATGGAGGCTGGGTGGGGCTCACCTCCCGGCAGGCAGGCGATTTTTGTGTGTGCCCTGAAGGCAGGCACCTTTGCCTCTGCGTGTCACATGGCTCCGCTGCCTGCGTGGAGACTCGGGGATTGTTCCCGTGCTGCGGGCACCAAGCATGAGGACTCCCGAGCGTGCACGTGGCGCTGTGTCCTCGGCCGCGGGGGAGCTTTCCATGCAACTCCTGAAAGGACCCCAAGTCCTGCTCGCCAATCTTTAATACGTGGAAACACAGGTCTGTGTTTGTGAACGCAGAATTCTCCAAGGAGATGGAGAGTGACAGGCAGCAAGGAGACAAGACAGCTGCTTCCTGCAACGGAAAGGGCATCCCGGGTGGCCACTGTGGGGCTGGAGGGGCCATGCAGGTCCACAGCTCACTTCAGCCCTGCGGGGCATGCGCTGGCCTGGGCACCTCTGTAGCCGCGGTTCCACCTCAGGGGCACTGTGATGGGCAGCTTAGTCTGGGAGGTCCGAGGGCGCCTTTGATGAGGGATCAGGCGGCTCCAAGGACACCCCTCCTTCTCCCTCCCAGGGGCTGAGGACGACCTGGCGCTCCGTGCTGCGCTCTACGGCCTGCTCTTCCACAGCCATGCCGACCAGGACGACTGGGAGGGCGGCCTCAAGGTGCTGGACGAGGCTGTGCAGGTGCTGCCAAGGACGGCCCACCGCCTGTGAGTGCTCCCCCCACCGCCTGTGAGTGCTCCCTCCACCGCCTGAGTGCTCCCCCCACCGCCTGTGAGTGCTCCCCACACCGCCTGTGAGTGCTCCACCCACTGCATCCCCACCGGGGGTGTGCTCCCCCACCGGAGTGTGCTCCCCCCACCACCTGCTGCTCCCCCACCGGAGTGTGCTCCCCCCATCACCTGTGAGCACCTGCCTGCTGCTCCCCCACCCAGAGTGTGCTCCCCTGCTCCACGCTGTCCCCCTCTGCCTGGGCCTCCCCAGGTTCCCACTTGCACTGGAAGACTTGACTTCCCCAGGAGAATTCAACACAGGGAGAGCGGGGACTGAAAACCCTGCATAGCCCCGAGGCCCCCGCTCACCCCCGAGACCCCCGCGTAGCCCCGAGACCCCCGCTCACCTGGGCTCTGCTTTGCTTCGTCTTTTTAAGCTGGAGGTGGAGGAATAAGTCCGGGCTGCATCACCCACGTTTAAAATTCTGCCACCCGATCCTGACGTTGGTTTCTCACCTTCCCTTTCTTTAGCTTGATCTTCAAGCACATGGTCATCGTGAAGGCCAAGCTCGGGCAGAATTTTTCGATGGAAATACAGAAATTCAAGGCCGAGAGTGAGGACTACTTGGCGCGCATGTGGCACCGCCTGGCCCTGAACTCGCCGAGCGTGTCTGGAGAGCTGGCCTGCTACAACAACGCCATCCAGGCCTTGCAGGTGTGAAGCCGTAAGCGTGGGTGCACGTGGTAAAATTTGTCCTTTAGTGAAAGGGAGAACCGTGTGGACAGAAGCTCAGCAGGGACCTGGTGTGGGGCAGCACGCAGAGCAGCCACAGCTGACGGGCACAGAGAATGCACCGCGTGGCCCCGGGCACTCCTCTTGCTGACCAGTCAGGGACGAGGGATGGAGCTGGTTTCAGTGGTCCCTTTCCAGCATGGAGGGGTCGTGGTCAGGTCCTCGTCCCTGAGCAGGGTGAGGGGGGCCCAGAGGGTGATGCCCCAAGTGGAAGCGCCCAGGCTCCCCTGGTGGCACCAGGGCCCCGATGGGCGGGTGGCTGCAGAGGAGAGCAGGCAGGGGCCCCGATGGGCGGGTGGCTGCACAGGAGAGCAGGGCTCTGCAGGGCCCTGGGATGTGGGCGTTCTGGGGATGTTGGCGTCTCTTCCCCACCCCCAGGAAGGCGAGATGGACGTTCCCCTTGGGGTGGGCTCAGGAGGAGGTGGGTGCTTTGGCGTTGATTTGATGCCTCTGCTTGTCAGGGGCAAGGGCCATGTGGTATGCACCTGAGAACTTCATCTTGGGGACGAAAAGGCATCCCAGGCCCCTGGTGTGAAAGGCATGAACCTTTCAACATTAGTGAAGATCTTAAAAGGCTTTTCTGTTACACGAGCTGTTTCTCCGGCTCAGAGCAATCCTGCCCCGAGGCCTTTGGATTGTTCTGGGGTCCAGGGGGCCCTTGGCATCGGGAACTGAGGATGGTTGGGGGTCTCTGACGGTGCTGTGTGAGTGCCGGCTCAGGGCACTGGGTGATCAAGGCAGACGCCTGGGTACCACCGTGGGGAGCCACAGGGAGCCACTGCTCCTCGCTCCGGGGAACCAGAGGCCACGTCGTTCCTCGGCAGTTGCCCTGCTAGGGTTCGCGGGTATCAGGCAGGGACCTGGCTGCCTCCAGGGAAAGCAGGAAGGGCCTGAGGAGGGGAGGCTGCGGGCGGCTGGGGAAGGCAGGACCCAGCTGAGCTGCACTGGGCCTCGGGGCAGAAACCCTTGAAAGTGTTTTCTGTCTTCACTTACCCGAGTCCTTCCTTCAGTTGTCTTTGTTAGAGGTACAACATGTTTTTAGTAAATTCTCAGGGTTATATAATCACCCACACACAATTTTAGAAGGTTTCATCACCCCCCAGCAATCCTGCATCCATCAGCACTCACTCCCCATCCTTCTCTCCCTCCATTGGCCCCAGCAAGCCACAGATCTGGACATTTTCTGTAAACAGAGCCAAGCATTACGTGGTCCTTCATGCAGCATGACATCGCCCAGGGCCATCCCCATCATTCCCGTTTAGGACTGAGTCGTATTCCGTTATGTGTCTTACAGTCCACAGATGGCTATTTGTGTTGCTTCCCATTGTCTGCCTGCTGTGAGGAATGCTGTGGTCAGCATTTGCTCCCGAGTTCTGGCGTGGCCCGGTCCTCGTCCCCCGGGGGCACAGCCCAGCAGTGGAGTTGCTGGGCACACGGTCGCCCTGTGTGGGGCCATCAGATGAAGTGCCAGATTGTCTCCCACAGCGGCCTCACAGGGTTGCCTTCCCGCCTGCAGGGCGTGGGCTGCGGTTTCTCCACACGCTCACCAGCTCTTGATGTCGTCTGACTATTCTAGCTGTGCCGGCAGGGGTGAAAGGGGTGTCTCCTCGTGTTTGCCTGTATTTTCCCAGCCACTGATGATGGGGTGCATATTCCCATGTGCTTATGGGCCATTTGTAGGTTGTTGGAGAAGTGTTCATTGCAGTCCTTTGCCCATTTTTAATCTGGTTGGTTGGTTTTCGTTGCTTTAGAGGAGCTCATGGTGTATCGTGGATGCAGGTTCTTTAGCAGGAGCCTCATCTACAAACCCTTTCTCGTTCTGTGAGCTGCTTTTTCAGCCACGTCTCCACTTTCTGGATGCCATGATTTGTGGCACAAACACGTTTTAAATTGTGATGAAATTCTAGTTGTCTGTGTCTTGTTTTGTTGCTTGTGTTTCTGGCATTATATCTGCGAAACTGTTGCATAACCCAAGGTCTTGAAGGTTGGTTCCCCTGTTTTCTTCTGAGTTTTATGGTTGTAGCTGTTATGTTAATGAGTTATACAGTGTGAGGCAGGGTCCCCGGCACTCCTCAGCCTGTGGATGCCAGCTGGCCCCGCACTTCTGTTGAGAAGATGACCTGCTCTCCCTTGAACCTCCCATCAGGGCCAAGGCCCTCCCCCGCGTACACAGCTTTTGTGGGAGCCACCATCGGCCTCCACAGCTGCTCCCCTCCTTCCCCATCCATGGGCATCCTTCACGTGGCTCCCAAGCCCCACCACCTCACTGGTTCCTCGTCCTCCTCCCCTTCCCACCTCTTCATGACAGAGGAGGCCCCGGGCTAAGGGCAGGACCTTGGCCATCTGATCTCACTGCACGTCCTGAGCTAAGCACCGCTGCCGCCCATTTTACCCACAAGCAATTCTCTAGCCCAGACCCCCCACCCGCTAGACCTGTGAATCCTGCTGCCTGCCTGGCCCCGCCCTGGGGCCAGCATCTTACCCAAAACCAAACGCTTGCTTTTCCCACCATCCTTCTTCTTGCCTTCCCCCTCGAGATGTTGCAGCTCCATCCTCCGGTGGCTGGACTTACACCCGACATCCACAACAAACCCACACCTTGCACCTAGACCCATGGACACACCCAACTTAACAGCCCACAGCTGTGACCAAGACACACCCCACGTATCCCACCCCCACACAGCCTATACTACACCCCACAGGCCACACCTTCACACCTGTAACCCACATCTCATACACACCATTCACACCCAATACCCCCACACACAACTCACACACTCCACATCCCACTCACACCCCACATCCCACACACACCACTCATACCCCACATCCCACTCACACCCCACATCCCACACACACCACTCACACCCCACATCCCACACACACCACTCACACCCCACATCCCATACAGACCACACACACCCCACATCCCACACGCACCACTCACACCCCACATCCCACACGCACCACACACCCCCCACATCCCACACACACCACACACCCCTTACATCCCACACACACCACACATACCCCACATCCCACACAGACCACACACACCCCACATCCCACATGCACCACTCACACCCCATGGGGACCTGCTTGTGACAGCTGATGCAGTGTGAGTGCCGAGCACAGAGGGAACCCCCAGCAGATTCGTGGGCTGAATAAGTGGCATGGGCCAGCGCTCAGAGAGCCACAGATATTTGACAGCAGAAATGAAGTGGCGGCGACATCTGTGCATGGCACGTGGTGTGGTGCCAGTGCGAGGTCCACCCTGCTGGAGAAGAGTGTGGCCGTGGCCCCAGCAGCACCTGTGGAGGGGAGGGTGTGGTGCAGGCTAACCCCGGCTCGCAGGGCTGCGGAGGGTGCGGTGCAGGCTAACCCCGGCTCGCAGGGCTGCGGAGGGTGCGGTGCAGGCTAACCCTGGCTCTCAGGGCTGAGGCTCTGCTCTGCAAGGGTCAGGTTAGGGCAGCCTCATACAATTCTGTAGCGATGATGGCCAAGTTTGCACAGGCCAGGCCTTGGACTGGGCTCTGCATCTGGACGCAGGACAGGGCAAACACCTTTCCTACCCTGCAGAGGCCTCCTTTCCAGCAGGGACATGGGGCTGCCCACAGAGCCACCCAGAGAGGGCCACCTGCAGACAGAGCGACAGCAGGACCCCTGTCCTGTGTCCTCTTGCGGTGCAGGGAATGTCTGGGGACCCGGGAGTCCCCAGGAGGGTGGCATCTGCAAAGGGTGAGGAGACGGGGAAGGAATTCGCCAAGCTGCAGCCTTCCCACCTCTGCTTGTGAAAAGAAACAACTGCACCTGAAATGTCCCAATGAGCCTAAATGGCAACTTGGTCTCATTAGAGGCGGCCTGCAAATGATCACTGTGGGGGTAAGAATGAAGCTTTTCTTGTAGAAAATGAGCAATAAAAGTATTCCACTGCGTCAGGAACGCCTTCAGGGCCATCCTGAGGATGTCACCCTTCCTGTTCAATCCCACAGAAGCCTGAGATGGAGTGGCAGAAGGTGGAGTACCTCATGGAGTTCGGCCAGTGGCTCCATCACAGACACTTTCCTCTCGAGGACGTGGTCTTCCACCTCCGCTGGGCTGTCGAGATCCTGCTGGCCATGAAGCCGCCCGGCGATGTCCCTGAGCCACAGCCCACGCCGGATGGTGAGCCCACGCCGCTGGCAGGGTGCCGACCCCACGCCGCTCCCCAGAGCTCTGCTTCCTGCTCCGTGATCTGGACCGCCGTTGGGTATCCATGTGTCTGTGCAGGCTTTGGAGGCCAGGAGCCCCTGACGTGTCTCAGCGCTGTCCTCTGCAGGGGCCCCTGACGTGTCTCAGTGCTGTCCTCTGCAGGGGCCCCTGACGTGTCTCAGTGCTGTCCTCTGCAGGGGCCCTGAGGGACTCAGCCTGACTGCCACCAGATGACCTTCACAGAAAGGTTCCATCCAGGTCAGGCGGAAGGCATGTTCTCGGGCACACAGCTGGGCCGGCCCAGAGGCAGCCTTCCTCAGGAGGCCGGGGGAGCGGGGGTCCAGAGCACCTCAGACCCTGTGGGCACCTCAGCCATCCCCAAAGTTGCTTCTGACTCGAGGTGGGGGCTCCATTCTCCAGCTACTGCTCCTCAGCAGGCCCTTGGCCACCCAGCCCCTGCTCACAGCAGTGCAGGAAAGTGGGTGTTTGCTGGCAAGTGGGGACCTGGGCAGACAATGGCGGCCCCACTGGCATCATCCAGGGCTTAAACACTGCCAGTGCCTGGGCATCAGCCCAGGGTGACCCGGGGCAGAAACTCTGTGGGGAGCGCAGGTGCGCACGGAGAGTCCCATGGGGTGGCTCGGCAGTCCTGCCGTGAAGAGCAGAGGCCGGCAGAGCCCAGCTAGGGTGGCCACTCCACACACACACACACACATACATGCACACACACACACGTGCGCACAGCAGGGCCATCCTAGAGCACTCGACAATGCTGGCTTGCTCAGGGCCACCCTCCCTGTGGCCGCGGTTCTAGCCCCCTGTCAGGATGAGTGGGGGCCCTGCTCAGAACTCCCAGGCCCTTGGGACAGTCTGGGACAGGAACGGGGTGCCCAGGCCAGGTGCAGCTCATGAGGCTTCCAGGACACACAGGGCAGCAGGAGAGCTCTCGGGGTCTGGGGGCCTGGGGCTGGAGCTGAGACTGGAACTGCCCCTGGGGGTGAGGGGGCAGCCAAGCTCAGCCTTCGCAGAGTAAGTACAACACGTGACTCTTCCCCTGGCTGCCGGCCCTCAGCAGAGTGGAGCACCGGGTGTCCGCGAGGCACCGGGCAGTCCACCACAGCCTCGGGCAGGGAAGGGAGTGGCCTGGGGCCCACAGACCCGTAGCCGGGCCTGCTCTCAGCCTCGGGCACCCCGTGTTTCAGGGGAGTACGTGGCTGTGGAGATGCCCCCACGGAGCCCCGTGTCCGAGGCCGAGGAGGCGGTGTCCTTGGAGCAGCTGCGTAGCGTGCGGCAGCTGGAGGCGCTGGCCCGCGTGCACATCCTGCTGGCCCTGGTGCTGTCGCCGGGCGCCGAGGGCTACGAGGACTGCTGCCTTGCAGCCTACGCCTTCTTCAGGCACATCTGGCAGGTGAGGCCCAGCGCAGACTCCCCTGCTCCTGCAGCACCTCCCGGGACGGGCCGCGGGCTGGGGAAACCGCAGTGAGCGTTGTAAAGATGTCAGAGTCTTTCCCAGCATTTCCTAAAGACCTTTGAGATGTGAGCAATTTCCTGCGACATCCAGATTCTTCCTCTCTCCTGAATGGTTCCCATCAGCATAAAAACAAGAGACTCCCCCAAAACAAAAGACTCCCCTCTTCATTCCTGCACCCTCCACATTCCCAGCACTCCCCAAGGGAGGGGCTCGTGGCTCCCTCCAGATCAGCCGGTCCTCCCTGACACCCGCCCTGGCACCCTTGCAGACCACCACCCAAAACTGCCTCTGCCTGGCTCGCCACACCAAGGCAGCGGCAGGCGCCTCTGTTAGCTGGGGCCCGACAGCTCCTGAACCGCCCGCTGACGGGGCTTCCAGAGCCTTCTTCCCACTCCCACCCCCCTCCTTGTCCTGCTCCTCCTACCACCTCTCCCTGTAAAGCCCACCAGGAGCAGCTGTCGGGGGCCTCCCCGTGCGTCTGTCTAGGCCTCCCGCAGGCTACACCCCAGCAGGGCAGCGCCAGGCATGGCAGGCCTTTCTTCTGAGGATGAGTTTGCCCGGAGCCCCCATAGGGCATCTCAGGATCAAGAGGGCCACCGCCCAGCCGTGGGCAGAGCAGGAAAGGCAGGGAGGCCCCCCTATCCCGTCTTCAGAATGCTCCACGCTAACCCCCCACCAGCCTCAACCACTGCCAGACCCGGGGCTGTGGGCGCCCACGCTGCCATTCTTTGTGACTCTTCTAGGAGAATTGCTCAATGTTATTCTCATGTGTTCTTAATTAGAGACCTCGAACTCATTCACCCAAGGAGTGGCAAGTCTCCCCCAGGGCCAGCCACGCCTGCCCCAGACCCCCAGGTGTCAGGGCCGCGAGGGGCCCGCAGGGCCTGCCAAGGAGGCGTGCCTAGCGTCCTCCCTGCCTGGGTACATCCCCAACAAGGGCCGCTGCAGGGAGAGTGCGGGATGGCCAGCAGGGAGCCCCAGGGCCAGGGGTGTCCCGCTGTGTCCCTGACAGTGGAGTGAGACTGAGGGACACCCGCGGAGCCAGCAGGCTCACGGGCATGTCCCTGCAGCCCCCGGTGCCCACACCCCGGGCCAGCCCAGCTCCGTGCTCTAGGGGCTCCCCTGATGGCAGCTGACGGGGACGCAAGACCACCAGAGCACTAGAGTCTGGGGAGCCCCGCGGGTCTGAGCGTCCCTCATCCAGGAGTGGAGGGTGGGCAGAGTGGGCGGTGGGTGGGTTTTCAGTGCTGCAAATGTGGATTTCATCCCCACCAGGTTTCTTTGATGACAGCAGGAAAATCAGTTCTGGAAAACAGACCCCTGGCAGCAACCAGCTCACATCTGTTATTGCCTAAAAAAGAGAAGGAGAATGAGAGGAGTAAAGAGAAGGAGAAGGAGAGGAGTAAAGAGAAGGAGAATGAGAGGAGTAAAGAGAAGGACAAGGAGAAGGGAAAGGAGGAGAAAGTCAAGGAGCCCAAGCAGGTGATGCCCAAGTGGCCACGGTGCAGAGGCCGGGCCCAGGATGGCCTGTGCCTCAGTTTCCCTGCCTGTCAGGGTTCTCGGAGGAGCCCCAGGCGGCCTCAGTGCAGAGGCCGGGCCCGGGATGGCCTGTGCCTCAGTTTCCCTGCCTGTCAGGGTTCTCGGAGGAGCCCCAGGTGGCCTCAGTGCAGAGGCTGGGCCCCGGCTGGCCTCTGTGCCTCAGTTTCTCTCCCTGTCAGGGTTCTTGGAGGACAATACAGGGGAATGTCTGTAAAGCACCCTGGCTTGTCCCTGGCAGGAATCCCGGGCCTGGAGCTAGCCACGTAATGCACGCAGTTTGCACAGAGCACGTTGTCCCAGGTCTGCCAGGCTCAGAGGCCATGGCAGCAGACACAGCCCAGGGCCTGGGTCCCAGAGCAGTGAGAAAAGTGTTTTTTTCATCTCATGAAACCTTTCTCTCTGCAAGTATCCACTTCTCAAAGTGCTGGGCAGGTCTGAGAAACCACTTGGCTGCCCAGCTCCCCAGAGCAGGACGCTCACACCTGGACCCCGGCACGAGCACTGCTGAGTTCATGGGACGCTCACACCCGGACCCCAGCACGAGCACTGCTGAGCTCACCAGCCAGCTGTCACTGAGGGGAGACGCAGGAGGCAGAGGCTGCAGAGCCTTAGCTCTCGGGAGTCCTGAGCCTGGGCACCCCCAGGCCAACTCTGGCTGTGCACGGGGCAGAAAGCTTTGCGTGCACTGCCTGGAAACAGTATCAGAGGCTGGATCTGGGCACTCGCTGGGACCTGGTGGTGGGGAGGATGCCGGCTGCCCAGGGCTGTGGCCTGAATGCTGCACAGCCATGCCGGTGGGCCGGGGGTGTCTGCTGTTTCACCTCCACCGTTTCAGGTAAATCCTGTATTCTTGCCTTTCTAGTCTCAAAGCCCAGCTCCTATCAAACAACTGGAAGACTTACCCATGAGCATAGAAGAGTGGGCTTCCTACTCCTGCCCCGAGGAAGTGCTGTCTGTACTGAAACAGGACAGAAGTGACTCTACTGTGAACCCCTCAAGTATCCAGAAGCCGGTACGTTGACATAAAGAAAAGGCTCAAGACCTTGGTCACAGCATGGTGTCCCCTTGACCTGTCCCCAAGTCCAGTTTTCACTGTGAACTGTAGCCAGAAAAAGGAGGACAGGACAGAGTCCCATCAGCCCCCAGCCTCCCACAGGCCCTCCCAGCACCACTGTCTGCCCTCAACTGCCGACACTTAGGAAAGCCTTCCTTCTTTCCCCACTCAAGTCCAACACGTACCTAGTGAGACAGGACAGGTGTTCATGACAAGCTCCCACAACCGCATGGTTAAAACAACAGAAATTGATCCCCTCATGGTTCTGGAGGCCGGAAGCCGAAAATCAGTGTCCCTGGGCTCAAATCCAGGTGTCGGGAGGGTGGCACACCCTCCAAAGGGGCCGGGGAAGATCCCTCTTTCCTCATCCCGGTCAGCCTCTGTGGTCACGTGGCCTCCTCTTTTGTGTGGATCAAATCTCCCGCTCCCTCCCACAGAATTGCATTTAGGGCACACCTGGACCATCTCCACCTGCGGTGTTTGGTGCCACGCTGCCATGCTGCCCTCCATAGTGGTCATTCAGTTCACTGCCGTGCCCGCTGTGGGTAGAGTGGCCCTGCGCAGATCCCTGCTGATGCCACTCCCCTCAATATCAGCAGCCGGTGGGTGGGCAGGGGCATTCCCCTTGGTTTAATGGGACACCCCTGGCCACAGTGAGGTTGGCCTTCAGTGCTTCCTATCCTTGGAGGTCCTCTTTTGTGATGTGCCCTCCAGGCTGTCGCCCATATTTAATTAAGCTTTCTGACTTTTCCTGATTGGTTTGAAGGAATCCTTTATTCTGGAAAATCACATGAGCAGCCATGTGACCAGCAGATCTGCCTCCACTTTGTGCCTTGCCTTTCCACTCTGTTAAGGAGGTCTTTTTGGGAACAGGGATTAGTAGTTTTAATGTAATAAGAGTCATTAGTCTTTTCCTTTGTAATTAGTCAGTTTTTTGTGTGTCCTTTTTTTTGATGTTTTCATTTCTGGAGGTTGTACAGATATTCTGTTATAGTATTTTTCCAAAAAGTGGAAATATTTTGCACCTTTGTAGTTTTGCCTGTCATCTGAACTTGATGTGTGTGTGGTGTGAGGTAGGGGTCAAGCCTCAAGCATGGCAGTCAGGGTGTCCCATTGTTCTGACACCACTTCCTGAAATGTCACTGGCTGCCTTCCCTGCTGGCTGCACTGGGCATGAGCAGTTGCCCACCTGTGCATGGGGCTGCTTTGGGGTCTCTCTTGCTTTCTGTTAGTTTTTTGTCCTTGGCATCATCATCTCATTGTCAATTACTGAGCTTCACAACCGTGAGTATTTGGTAGAGAAAATCTCCTTACCTCATTCTTCAGGACGGTTGGGCTATTCCTTTTATTCTCCATTGCATGTCCATGTGTATTTTAGAATCAGTGTGTCAGACCCATCACAAACCCTGGTAGAGTTTTTACTGACATTGCATTGAATCTGTAAATTACTTTATGGAGAACTGACATTGTTATGGTGTTCAGCCTTTTGATCCATGGACATGGTCTGTCTCTCCATTGACGTAGGTCTTCTTCAGCATCTCTTAACAATAGACCAGAGTTTTCTGCTTGGCAGTTATGCATGTCAGATTTATTTCTGTGTATTTGATATTTTTGATGCTGTTGTAAATATAGCTTTTTTGTTTCATGTTTAAACTCCAGATAAACTATAGAAATGTAATTGTTTTCATTTTGGCCTTGTAAGCATCCATTTTGTTAAGCTCTTTATAACTTTAGTAATTTGTCTGTAGATTATTTTGGATTTTGTGTGTACATCATCGTTTTATCTGCAAACACATTTTTCTTTTTTAGTTTCCACTCTTTACACTGTTTTTTCTTTACCTTGCCTTATATTCTGGCAAGGACCTCCGGTATGAGGTTGAATGAAAATGGTGATAACATCTATTTTTATGTTGCACATCCTATCTCAAAGGAAAGTTTCCAGCATTTTACTCTGAAGTATAATTGATGTTTGTTGTAGGTTTTTATCGATCTTTATTGATGAAGGAAGTTTATTTCTATTCGTTAATAATTTTAGTCATGAATGCTTTTATATCTTTCTCCATCTATGCAGATGATGTTTTCCTCCTTCATTCCTTGAATTAATTACCTTGATTCTTTCTAATGATTATCACAATAGGGCAGTTGTAGGTTTTTATCGATCTTTATTGATGAAGGAAGTTTATTTCTATTCGCTAATAATTTTAGTCATGAATGCTTTTATATTTTTCTCCATCTATGCAGATGATGTTTTCCTCCTTCATTCCTTGAATTAATTACCTTGATTCTTTCTAATGATTATCACAATAGGGCAGTTGTAGGTTTTTATCGATCTTTATTGATGAAGGAAGTTTATTTCTATTCGCTAATAATTTTAGTCATGAATGCTTTTATATTTTTCTCCATCTATGCAGATGATGTTTTCCTCCTTCATTCCTTGAATTAATTACCTTGATTCTTTCTAATGATTATCACAATAGGGCAGCTTGGCTGTGCTGTCACTCACTTTATGTCACCAGCTTTGGTTGGCGGCACTTGTTTCCGGGGTGTGTGCATCTGTGCTTGTGAGGAGGACGATGTTTGATTTTCCTTTCATGTGTGTCCTCCTCAGGATGTGGTAAAAGTTACGCTGGCCTTTTAGTCAGTTACAAGTGTTCCTTTCTGACCATTCTTAGGAGAAATTTGTATAAGATTGGTGGTTATTTCATCCTTAAATGCGTGGAAGAATTCCCTGGTAAAGCCATCTGAGCCCAGAGCTTCTGTTTGGGAAAATTTTAAATTATGGATCCAATTTATTTCATAGTTATAGAATTCTTCAGAGTTTCTGTTTCTTCTTGTAACAGTTTTCATAGGTTGTGTTTTTCTGGGATGTTTTTATTGAAAATACATTTTGGATGTATTGCCATGAAGTTGTTCTCAATGTCCTTGTATTACCTTTTAATGCCTGTGGGACCTGTAGAGCCCTGTCACCCCTCGCTCGCTCTCCCGATCAGCCTCACTGGGAGTGATCAATTCCATTGACCTCTCAAAGGACCCTGTGCTTTCCAGGCCACCCGCACGGCCCCTCTGCCTGGTTGTCATCCCTGAGGGGACGGCCTCCTCCTAGATTGCCTGGAATTCTGAGGTGCAGCCCTTCAAGAACCCAGCCTGAGAGAGAGAGTGAGAGAGTGGAGCTCTTGGTGGGCCCTGAACCCCGTTTTCTAAGCCCAGCCTGCAGCACGATGCGGAGCACCATGGGGCCCTCAGCTGCCTCAGTGCCTGATAGCCAGGCTCGTATCCCTGGATGCCTCAGTGCCTGACAGCCAGGCTCGTATCCCTGGATGCCTCAGTGCCTGACAGCCAGGCTCGTGTCGCTGGATGCCTCAGTGCCTGATAGCCAGGCTTGTGTCCCTGGATGCATACTGACTTCCAGATCTTGGCCCAGTCATTCTTTGGATATTGATTATCCTCCAGTTCTTAGAAGTACATTTTTGCGACAAGTCATCCAACTTTCCTAATTTCCCACTCAAGAGTAATGGTTTTAACAAACCAAGTCCAACATAATAAGAAGCATTAGCTCTTCTCTATATATTAAATTTGTAAGTGGTTGTGTGTGCACACAAAGAAATTCTGTCTCTAATGAGTCAGTAGTTTTTAGTGGAAAAATGAAACAAACACATAAGGGTGTGTTTCTTGTGAGGATCTTCATACTTGGGTGCTGATGTTCACAAAGATTATCACGTGACAAAATGAAACCCATGAGTGGAAGAGGGAAGGAAGATAGCACAGCCTCCATCCATCCCACAGAAACGCACTGAGCACCTGCTGTGTGCGGACACGCGCTGAGCACCTGCTGTGTGCAGACATGTGCTGGCATGGGGAGGGAGGGAGTTCTCTGAGGAAAGACCCTTATGCTTGTGGTCTACACCCGCTCCTGTGACCTCCTGTGTGTGTTATGTGTCCATGTAGACATACAGTTTGTATTTCCTGGACCACCTGGTCAAGGCCCTGCAGAAGATGTGCCTGCACGAACTCACGGTTCCCGTCCTGCAGTTGGGGGTGCTGATTTCGGACTCCGTGGTGGGAAGCAAGGGCCTGTCGGATCTCTACCACCTTCGGTGGGTACAGCTCCTTTTTCGGAGTGTGATTTCCCCAAAGCAAAACAAAAATAAACAACATGTTAAGGTATTAATTCTGTAGTTGACTGTGTAAATAATAAAGTCCCTGGGACTTGAACACCAAGTAAATAAAAATATTTGAATATGAAAATGGTATTTTTGGTTGGGACGGGAGGACTATTTGATCCCAGGAGTTTGAGACCAGCCTGGGCAACATAGCAAGACCCCATCTCTACAAAAAATTTAAAAAATATATTAGCCAGGTATGGTGACACACACCTGTTGTCGCAACTACTCAGGAGGCTGAGGCAAGAGGATCACCTGAGCCTAAGAAATGGAGGCTGCAGTGAGCTATGATCATGCCCCTGCACTCTAGCCTGGGCAACAGAGCATGATGCTGTTACTAAAAATTTAAAAGATAAAATATGATATTTTTATTTTAAAATTTCTACCTGATCCTTAGGAGAATATTCTTGTTTTAAGGAAATACAGGCATATCTTGGAGATATTGCAGGTTGTGTTCCAAAACAAAACAAATATCACATTAAAACAAGTCACATGAATTTTTTGGTTTTCCAGAGTATATAAAAGTTAGGTTTACACTATTCTGTAGTCTATTAAGTGTGTGATAGCCTTATGTCTAAAAAATGTACATACATCCATTTAAAATGTATGTACTAAAAATGCTAAAAAGGCTGGCAATTTCTTAAAATAAGACAACAATAAAATTTGCCACATGGATCAACTCTTTCACAAAAGATTTCTCTGTAGCATGCAATGATGTTTGATGGAATTTTACCCATGGCAGAAGTTCTTTCAAAATTGGAGTCAGTCTCTTAAATGCTGCTGCCACTTTATCAACTCAATGTATGGAATATTCTAGGTCCCTTTTGTCATTTCCACAGTGTTCACAGCATCTTTACCAGGAGCAGATCCCATCTCAAGAAACCACTTTCTCTGCTCATCCATAAGAGGCAATTCCGCATCCATTCAAGTTTTCTCTTGAGATTGCAGCAATTCAGTGCCATCTTCAGGCTCCACTTCTGATTCTACTTCTCTTGCTATTTCCTCCACATCTGTAGCTCCTTCTACTGAAATCTTGGATCCTTCAAAGTCATCCATGAGGTTTGGAATCAACTTCTTCCAAATTCCTGTTAATGTTGCTATTTTGGCCTCCTCCCATGAATCAGGAATGTTCTTAATGGGATCTAGAATGGTGAATCCTTTCCAGAAGGTTTTCAATTCACTTTGCCCAGATCCATCAGAAGAATCACTCTCTGCGGCAGCTATAACTTTATTAAATGTGCTTCATAAATAGTAAGACTTGAAAGTCGAAATGCCTCCTTGATCCATGGACTGCATGGGTGCAGTGTTAGCAGTGGTGTTAGCAGGCACGGAGAAGGCATTCGTCTCCTTGTATGTCTCCGTGAGCACTCTTGGGTGGCCAAAGCATTGCCAATGAGCAGTACTATTTGGAAAGGAATCTGTTTTTCTGAGCAGTAGGTCTCAACAGTGGGCTTTAAATATTCAGCAAACCATGCTGTCAACAGATGTGCTGTCACCAGGCTTTGTTGTACACTTACGGAGCACAGGCAGAGTAGATTGAGCATCATTCTTAAAGGCCCTGGGATTTTCAGAATGGTGAATGAGGATTGGCTTCAACTCAAAGTCCCCGGCTGCGTTAGCCCCTAGCAAGAGAGTCAGCCTGTGCTTGGAAGCTTGGAAGCCAGGCATTGACTTTTCTTCTCTAGCTCTGAAAGTCCTAGAAGGCATCTTCTTCCAATAGAAGGCTGTGCGGTCTACAGTGGAAATCTGTTGTTTAGCGTAGCCACCATCCATGCTCTTATTAGCTGGATCTTCCGGCTAACTGGCTTCAGCTTCTCCATCAGCACTTGCTGCTTCACCTGGCATTTTTATGTGACAGAGACAGCTTCTGTCCAGAAACCTCACGAGCCCACCTCTGCCGCTTCAAACTTCTTCTGCAGCTTCCTCACGTCTCCCAGCGTTCATGGGATTGAAGAGAGTGAGGGCCTGGCTCTGGATGAGACTTCGGCCTGAAGGAATATTGTGACTGGTTTGATCTTCGGCGCAGACCACGGAAACTTTTTCATACCGGCACTGAGGCGGCTCCACCTTCTCGTCATTTGTATTCATATGTTCCCTGTAGGAGCTTCTCATTTCCTTTCAGAACTTTCCCTTCACACTTACAGCTTGGTTAACTGGTGCAGGGGCCGAGCTTGCAGTCTGTCTCCACTTCTGACGCGCTTTCCTCACTGAACTGAATCATTTTTGGCTTTTCTTTAACGTGAGAGACGTGCGCCTGTTCCTTTCTCTGGAACACTTAAGAGCCCATCGTAGGGTTATTAACTGGCCTAATTTCAAAATTTCTGTGTCTTGGGGAATAGGGAGGCCCAAGGGGAGGGAGAGAAATGCGGGAGCGGCCAAGCTGCAGAGCAATCAGAGCCCACGGGACATTTATCGACTCAGTTCACCGTCTCATATGGGCGTGGCTGATGGTGCCCCAAAACAATTACAATGGTAACCGCAAAGATCACTGAACACAGATCACCATAACACAATCATAATAATGACAAAGTTTGAAATATTTTGAGAATTACCAAAATGTGACACAGAGACACCGAGTGAGCAGGTGCTGTGGGAAAATGGCGCCGATGGACTTGGTCGCTCAGGGCTGCCCCAGACTTTCAATTTGTAAAATATGCAACATCTGAGCAGCGCAATACAGCACAGTTTGATAAATGGAGGCGCCTGTGCCCTGAAGGATCCGGGAGAAAGGCTGCAAGTTGCATCCTCAGCTTGCTCAGATATCCCAGGGGCGGGCACGGGAGAGGAGGCTGGAGCAGGCGTGGTCACGGGGCTAAGAGGGACCACCGGGGCCCGCACAGGGATGCTTCCTGGTGTCTGTGCAACTTTCCTGCTTGCCTGAAAGCATTTTACAAGAATAGGGTTTTCAACAGGAGTCGAGGCTTCTCTGCTTATTGTGGTGGGTGCTGAGCCCACCTGAGGGCCTCCTCTTCTCCTCGGACGGCGTCCAGGAGGCAACAGATAATGCCTCGCACGAGATCTGTGAAGGAGCGGGAGAAGAATCCCACTTGAAATTTGATGGAGCTACCGGGCACTTTTCCCTAGTAATTTCGCTTACCTTTAAAAATGATTGAAAATACCATCCAAGTGTGCCTCGATGTGTTAGTTGACCGTTTTCTGTGAAGCACACTAGTAGCTTCGTTTCTGGCTCCCTCTGCGCCCGTGCAACACTGACTCTTTCGGCCACACTCCCCACAGCCTCGCCCACGCGTGCTCCGAGCTGAAGCTGAGAGAAGCAGCCGCGCGCCATGAAGAGGCGGTCGGGCAGGTGTGCGTCAGCGAGCTGGAGCAGGCCAGGTGTGTGCCGTCCCACCCTGCGCCGCCTGGGGTTTGAGTCTCGCCCTTGGTGCGGCCAGGTGAAAGCCAGCTGCGCGGCCACCCTCTTCCCTGGACTCCTGCCCCTCTGGGGAGAGTGAGCACTTGGGGGACACGGCTGTGGCCGGTTCTCCTGGGTCGTGCTGGAGGTGGGTTGTGGGGAGGTGCTCCTCACAGAGGGAGGGAGGGGCGGTGAGGGGGGCTCTCCAGGGTGGCCCGAGCCCCTCCCCGGAGGACAGAAAGGCTGGCTGCCGGGCCCTGGACCCTTGGGCGCTGGGTGCTGGGCGCCGGGTCCTGAGGCAGTGCTCGGTCAGGCCACTCCCGTCTCCGGCAGCCTTCAGGCAGGAGTTCACTTCAGAGCTGTTGAAGTTTACTAACATCAGGCTGTGTAACAACTAACTCTCGTTAGTGTAGCAAATCACTTTTAGATTTAGAGACCATCTCAGAAATACTTCTGTGCTATGATTGTATACGGTTCTGTTTTTATTAGTTTTTACAAGATACTTTTTAAAATTACGTAAGTGATACATTTTATAGTGAAAATCTTAGAACATGTAGATAAAAGAAAGAGGAAAATAAAGCTCACGATTGGCCCCATCATTCAGCATAACCCTGTTCATATTTTCACTCATGCTCTTCCGGCCATTTCGCCGTTACATTGAAACAGACACTGTTATGGTGAAAGTGGAATTAAGCTCTCTATACCCTTTCACTTAGCGGCCTGTGGTAACCAGCCTTCACCTGCAATGTGAACTTTGCATTTTTCAGTACCGTGAGTTATCTGTGCACCGTGAGTTATCTGTGCAGCCCGGCTGAACATTGGAACCGTGTCCACACTCTCCTGGTATAAGGGACGTGGAGCAGTGTCCCAGGAACCTGGTCTTTGGCCCGGTTGTCCTCACAGCCCTAAAATAACTTTGGAGCAAAGGAGTTGTGGAGGCCATAGGGTCCTGGTTCCCTGCTGTTCATTTGTTTACGAGCTGTGGAGGGTGGCAGATGGCAGAGGCCAACGCGATGTGGGGTGGCCAGCGCGATGTGGTGTGCTGGGAGCAGCGACGTCTCGGCGGCAAGGGGCACCTCGACTTGGAACGCGCGTGGCCGGGGAGGCCTGGGCAGAGGGGCGTGCAGGCCTCGGGAGAGGGTCAGAGGTCAGAGGACGAAAACGCCCTGGGGCTGGGCCTGCTGGGTCTTGACCTCTGCTGTGACCCCCTGCTGGCCTGCCTTCTAAAGGACCTCTCTGGACGTGCTGTGGCAAATGGCCAGGACCTGGTGTTCATGGCACAGGAGAAGGCGGGACAGCCGGGGGCCGTGGCCGGGGCCAGGTGGAGCAGCGAAGGGGAAGGTAGCAGACACCTTGAAGACCCCGTGGGAAGGCCGAGCGGGGAGCAGGAGCCCACCCAGGGACCTGTAGTTGGTTCCGAACTTTCCGGTGGGGGTGCCCGCGGGAGGCACAGCGGGGCCGGGGCTGGGCACGCCGGAGAGATGGAGTCGGAGATGCTCATTAAACACCCCTGGCTGTCAAACAGCAGCTGGACATGACCTTGGAGTTTGGAAGAGAGAACCAGTGATGGACACAAATTTGGGAGTCGGATGTGCCGTTAGATCCTGAGGATTTTTAAAAATCTTTGTAAACACGCGCGTGAAGAATGTAATTGTGGCTGTTTTCGTTTGCGTTTCTTTGGTTACTCGTGAAGGGACATTTTCGTGGCCATGTGGCTCTTGCGTATTGTCTGTTTTCCTCGCATTAGCTGCAGAAAAGAGATCGCGTTGAAAAAAGAGAAAAATAAGGAGCCTTTATTAGAAGAAAGCCTGCCAGCACTGAATGAGCAGACACTTCCTGTCCAGCCTGGGGAGATCAAACCACTGGACGCCAAGGACAAGGTAACCTCACCGTCCAGAATCCCTCTGACCCGCAGCCCAGCGGGCGCCGGTGCCTCGTGGCCATGCAGGGCTGCAGCTGAGCCAGGCGGCCGGCCTGTGTGTGTGTCAGTGTGTGAGGGGCCGGCCTGGGTGTGTGTCAGTGTGTGAGGGGCCGGCCTGTGTGTGTGTCAGTGTGTGAGGGGCCGGCCTGTGTGTGTGTCAGTGTGTGAGGGGCCGGCCTGTGTGTGTGTCAGTGTGCGAGGGGCCGGCCTGTGTGTCTGTTTGTGTGGGGCTGGCCTGTGTGTCAGTGTGCGAGGGGCTTCCTGTGACTGATTTCTCCTCCCGTGGGCCCTGGAATTCCCCGGGAAAGATGAGCTTTATGTGCACCACGGGCCTCCCTGGAACAGGCCTGCTGGGCGCCTGGGCAGAGGCTGAGAGAAGGTGGGGGCAGCGAAGAGGGAGCTCCGCCTGGAGGTCCCGGTCATCTGACAGAACTGGTTCTCCCACCACCTGGGTTTCCCTCAGCAGGAGAGCACAGCACCCCTCTGCATTTGCCCATAAAGGAAGGTGACCAGCCTGGCTCCTAACCCAAAACGCAGTTACCGTGGGAGCACCATGGAGGGGCAAAGGCCATGCTTCCTGTGACCTGGCAGTCAGGACAGGACAGGGGCTCAGCACAGGACCTGGATCCAGAACACAGCAGTGCGGGGCTCAGCCACCGCCCCAGGCCGGGGGCTCTGCTTAGCGAGGAGAGGCTGGGGGGATGCGGGGTAGGCCCAGATCCTAGTGCAGGGGCTCAGCCACCGGCCCACACCCGGGGCGCCCTAGCAAGGCCGGGTGCACAGCCGCAGGCAGGCCCAGATCCCAGGGTTGTTCGGCACCACGAGGTGGGGCAAGGGGTCCTACACCCCAATGTGTGTGTGTGGAGTAGCAAAGGCTCTACGTGGCTAGTGGTGGGCTTAGTTGGCTTCAAGGGGATTCGTGAGAAAAGAGAGGTGCCCAGGGTGCAGGAGGTCTGTCGGGGGAAAGGCAAAGGCCTGAGCTCTGGCCTTGGGGCACACGGGGAGCTTGCGAGGCGCCCATGGTGCCTAGGCCAGCAGGGAGCCCTTGGTGTGGTGTGGCTCCCTGTGTGGTACAGATGGCTCCTGAGCCAGAGCCTGTCCCGTGAGACTCAGAGGTCACAAGTGTCAGGATCGTGCCGCCTGGGGCTGCGGTATCTTACAGATTTTGAAGATGAATGGGGAGACCGGGAGGGACCTGGATGGGACGTCCTTTCCCCACCTGTGGATGCTGAAGGCAGAAGTTCTGCTGGAGATGAACCTGTACCAGCCTGCACGGCTGCTCCTGTCGGAGGCTTACCTGGCTTTCCAGGTGAGGAGCCCCTCCCAGCCCATCACCATCCACAGCCGCTCCCAGCGCACTGTGCACAGTGGAGGGACTGCGGGCAGAAGCTTGGGCTGTAGCGTTCAGCTCTAGCAGGGCCACGTGCCTCTCTTGTCTGGGTCCAGCTCTCTGCGGGAAGTCAGTCCTGTGCGTCCTCTGTCTGTCCGTCTTTTGCTCTGCCACTCACAGTTTGCTGAAGTTTCTATTTCCAGTACCTGCTGTTGGTCTCTGCAACCTCTCGTTTCTCTTGGGTGTCAGTGGCTCCGCTCTGCCTCCTGCCATAGTCAGTTTCTTACCTTCTGAGGCTGGACGAGAACTTGGAGAACCCCAGAGGGTGTCTCTGCCAGGAGCGCCACTTTGTTCTAGAAGGCGGATTGTGTGCGGGGCTGCCTGGGTCCAGGAATCTGGGCCTGGTCTGGTCTTTGTTTGTTTTGCTCTCACTCCCTGGATGGGACCCTTACGGTCCCCAGCGAAAGCCCCGGGACGTTTGCTGAGGCCCCGTCTCCCCGGCGGGCGCTGCACCTGTTTGGTCTTAGCTGGTTCCTGCCAGGCTTTGTGACATCCTGCTCTGCCCTGAGCAGCCAAGCCCAGCTGACAGCCCTTGGACCCTTCACCTCGGCCCCTCCTCCTGGGACTGGCCCTGCAAGCCTCAGCACCGGAAGCCCCAGCTGCAGCCTCCTCTCCTCACCCTGGGCGCCTGCACTCCCCCAGCAGGGATGGCAGCCCCAGGAAAAAGCCAGATGGATGGAGGCCCACGGGTGCTTTTCTCTGTGCAGAGTGTAGTTGCCAGTTTTTGCCAGCACTGACTGCCCTCCAAACTCACCTCAGACACGTGGTGACATCTTCTCTCCAGATTTTAGAGTTGCTTTCACTGGGAGGGTGAGGCAGAGCTGCAGAACCAGACAGCCTGTCGATGTTTTGAAGAAAAACTCCAGAAAAAGAGAGGGTCCTAGAATGGTATAAAAGTTCAGTGATGCCCATCAAAGCCTTGAGAGGTTCAGACTTTATCTCTGGCACTGAGGGCAGGTGTGTGCAGGACTCTGGCACTGAGGACAGGTATGTGCAGGTCTCAGGCACTGAGGGCAGGTGTGTGCAGGTCTCAGGCACTGAGGGCAGGTGTGTGCAGGTCTCAGGCAGGGGGACAGGTGTGTGCAGGTCTCAGGCACTGGGAACAGGTGTGTGCAGGTCTCAGGCACTGGGGACAGGTGTGTGCAGGTCTCAAGCAGGGGGACAGGTGTGTTCAGGTCTCAGGCAGGGGGAGAGGAGTGTGCAGGTCTCAGGCACTGAGGGCAGGTGTGTGCAGGTCTCAGGCAGGGGGACAGGTGTGTGCAGGTCTCGGGCACTGGGGACAGGTGTGTGCAGGTCTCAGGCAGGGGGACAGGTGTGTGCAAGTCTCGGGCACTGAGGGCAGGTGTGTGCAGGTCTCAGGCAGGGGGACAGATGTTTGCAGGTCTCAGGCACTGAGGGCAGGTGTGTGCAGGTCTCAGGCAGGGGGGCAGGTGTGTGTAGGTCTCAGGCATGGGGACAGATGTGTGCAGGTCTCAGGCAGGGGGACAGGTGTGTGCAGGTCTCAGGCACTGGGGACAGGTGTGTGCATGTCTCAGGCACTGGGGACAGGTGTGTGCAGGTCTCAGGCACTGGGGACAGGTGTGTGCAGGTCTCAGGCACTGGGGACAGGTGTGTGCAGGTCTCAGGCAGGGGAACAGGTGTGTACAGGTCTCAGGCAGGGGGACAGGTGTGTGCAGGTCTCAGACACTGGGGACGGGTGTGTGCAGGTGTCAGGGGGACAGGTGTGTGCAGGTCTCAGGCGGGGGACATGTGTGTGCAGGTCTCAGGCACTGGGGACAGGTGTGTGCAGGTCTCAGGCAGGGGGACAGGTGTGTGGAGGTCTCATACAAAGGGAGAGGTGTTTGCAGGTCTCAGACACCGGGGACAGGTGTGTGCAGGTCTCAGGCAGGGGGACAGGTGTGTGCAGGTCTCTAATAGCAGGAACAGGTGTGTTCAGGTCTCAGGCACTGGGGACAGGTGTATGAAGGTCTCAGGCAGAGGGACAGGTGTGTGCAGGTCTCTGATCGCAGGGAGAGGTGTGTGCATGTCTCAGGCACTGGGGACAGGTGTGTGCAGGTCTCAGGGGGACAGGTGTGTGCAGGTCTCTGATAGCAGGGACAGGTGTGTGCTGGTCTCAGGCAGGGGGACAGGTGCGTGCAGGTCTCAGGCAGGGGGACAGGTGTGTGCAGGTCTCAGGCACTGAGAACAGGTGTGTGCAGGGCTCAGGAAGGGGGACAGGTGAGTGCAGGTCTCAGGCAGGGGGACAGATGTGTGCATGCAGGTCTCAGGCACTGAGAACAGGTGTGTGCACGTCTCAGGAAGAGGGACAAGTGTATGCACGTCTCTGATAGCAGGGACAGGTTTGTGCATGTCTCAGGCAGTGAGGAGAGGTGTATGCAGGTCTTTGATAGCAGGGACAGGTGTGTGCAGGTCTCAGGCATTGGGGACAGGTGTGTGCAGGTCTCTGATAGCAGAGACGGGTGTGTGCACACCAGGGTCAAAAGGGAGCTTGTCCAAGGAAGGGACTGAGGATGCTGTGGACAGCTATGGAGGGGACATACATGGGTGCAGCATTCTTTTAGCCGCAGACACAGAAGAGGGCCAGCCTCTGCTGGGGCCGCAGGGCTGGAGGTGTGGAAGAGCTCCTGGGAGCTCCCGGGGCAAGAGTCAAGCCTCCGAGGTGGGCAGAGGCCCAGTCTCCCTCACCCCGGGGTCGGGAGGCAGTGGGAGGTGGTGAGAGCCCTGGGACTTAGGGAGTGAGTCTGCTGCATGCCGGGGCCTCCGTGGTCCTGAGCTCTGGGACTTGGGGAGTGAACCTGCCTCATACCCGGGGCCACCGTGGACCTTGGAGCCCAGACCCAGGACAGACGTGATGGGTGCTGGACTCCCGCGAACGTGGGTTCGCCACCCTCCTTCCTGCAGCCGCTGTTTTGCAGGGACTTTGTTTCACAGCAGGCGCTTCTGACAGGAAGTTGTTTGTTTCCTTGATCTTTCCCGCCCTCTTGCCTGAAGGCCTCCTACCTCCCGTCCTCAACTTTGCCCTCAGCTCACCCTGGCTTCTCAGCCACATCCACACCACAGAAAGCCTGCCTCCATGTGCTGCCCTCCCCTCCCGCCCCTCCTCACCCTCAGCCAGTGCAGCCCGGCCGCCCCGTCCCCCTCCAGCCTCTCCTGAACCTGCTCCCCGAGGCCGGCGATGGGAGTGCGCTCTGCCCTTCCACCCTGGTCTCTCCTCCGCGGGGCTCTCTCCGTCCTGCTGGTGGCACCCCTCCCCTCTCAGGCCCACCCACACAGTGGCCTTGTCTCTCGGGGGTCTGACCTCCCCTGGGCTCTCCCACTGTAGCCTCAGCACTCAGCACTCAGACCCCCGCCGACCTCAGAGGCCTCCAGGCTGGAAACATCTGCCTTGGGGGTTGTGACTATTGTTGTACTGCCCACTCCTCAGGACAGGGCTCTGCCCCTCCCACTCAGTGTCGGCACTGGAAACCCTGGCATCAGCCTCACGCACCCCCCACCCCGCCCCACCCACCCTGTCCTCTCCCTGCCTTCTGGGCGCTCCTCACCCCCGGCCAAGCTCTGTCCCACCTCCGCACCCTCCTCCTCTCCATGTGGAAGCCCCTGCCCGCCCTGTCGCCGGCCTCCGGCCCACTGTAGCTGCCCTCAACAAGCCCCGCAGGGGCCCGGCCCCGTTGGACCCTTGCCAGCCCTTCTCTCTGGGCCCAGCCACGAAGGGCCTCCCCCTCTTCCCTCCTCAGAGGCCTGCAGCCCCCTGCCAGGCTTGGTCCAGAGGCCAGGAATGCCCTTCCACAGAGCCCAGTCGCCCACCTGCCTACCCTCAGGCCACCTGACTGCCCACGAGGCTGCTATGGGCCCAGGCCCTGCCTACGCCGTCTGGCGGTCACAGCCATGCCCAGGTGCATGCAGGCTGTGGCGTCCAGGTGGATCCTGTGTCGGGCAGGGGCACAACTGGGGCATGCCTCCCTAGTGGCTGGGGCCCCTCCCTCGTCCTGGGCATCTAAATGCATGGAACGGCCAGAGATGGAGCCCTCAGCAGCTGGGACACCTGCTCTCTGGCGGCGGGTAGCCCCAGCTCATCAGCCCACCCTCCCCTCTGTCCCCACACCTGCAGCTACACCTGGGAGGGGCCTGCCCAGGTCCAAACGAGCACACAGAGCCTCTTGTTTGGCCAGAAAGTGATACATGGGAACAGGACGCTGCCTTTCCACTGCAGAAGACACCTGGGCAGCCCTGCAGCTGGGACCGGCTTTCCCGCCACCGCTCCCGTCCTCTCCTCACCCTCTGACCAGCACCTCTCTGTTCTTAGCACAGTCTGCCCTGTATTTCTGTCCCAGATCATGTGGCTGCCCAGCTCCCTGGCTGCAGGCCCCCGGATGGGGAGGCCTGGCTCTGGGAGGCTCTGAGCCGCTCAGCATCCGTGTCCAGGTGTGGCTGTCCCGAAGCCTTTCGCCCCAAGCGGGAGCCCCTAAAAGACAGGGCCAGGACGGGGCCAGCAGGAGCCCCAGGAGGCTCCGGGGACGAAGTTTCCTGCCGCTCAGCTCAGGCAGAGGGAGACAAATCCCCCCGAAGACCAGCCAGAGTGGGGCTGTGCCTCCCTGAACGCCGATTCCACTTGTCAGCTCCTCACTGAAATATAATTAAATGGAATGAGATACAGTCATGCGCGCTGCAGCTGGTGCTGACTCCAGAGAAACCTCTGGAGGGCAGGGAGGCGGGCGTCCCACTCAAGGAACCACAGTGGGGCAGGAGCCGGGCAGCACTGCAAGTCCTGCCAGGGAGTGCGAGGGCGGCCATGGGCCCCACCCTTCCACTGCCAGAGTGAGCAGCCCTGTCTTCCCCTCACCTGGTGCGTCTGTCTGTCTCTGCCTCTCTGTCTCCCTCTTCCTTCTCTCTGCCTGCTCCTGTCTCCCTGCCTGCACACATCTGTAGAGGAACCCAAGCATGTCTGAGTTTCTCTCCTTCAGGAGCTGGATGAGCCTTGTGCAGAGGCCCAGTGCCTGCTCCTCCTCGCACAGTTGGCCAACAAGGAGAAAAACTATGGACAAGCCAAGAAAATGATCGCACAGGCCCAGCACCTGGGCGGAAGTGAGGAGTTCTGGTACAATTCCACTCTGACCCTGGCAGAGGCGCTCTTGTCCATGGAACACTCAGGAAGGGAAGCTACGGTAAGAGGCACGGGGACCTGGGGCTGCATGTCGGGTGCCGGGCCAGGTGCTTGGTGGAGAGGAAGGGCGTCCATGGGGCTCTGCCTGGCAGACCGCTGATGACACGCCTGGATCCATCCCTGCCCCACCCTCAGACACACCCGTATCTACCCCCGCCTGTCCTCAGGCCCGTATCTGTCCCTGCCCGCCCGTCCTCAGGCCTGTATCCATGCCTGCCTGTCCTCAGACACACCCGTATCCACCCCTGCCTGTCCTCAGGTGTGTCACATATTTCAGAAGCTCATCAATGCCTTCAAGATCCTCAAGAAAGAAAGACCAAACCGATTGCCTTTACTGGAATTCATGATCACAGATCTAGAAGCCAGGTAACTCTTTGTAAGAAACACTGTTCATTAGCGTGAAAGCTGTGGTTTCCTCTTTTCCATCTGCAATTTTTGTGCCATACGTCAAGTCTATGCAAGTTCAGAGACCCACGTCATGGGGCCACATATCCACAGCTTTCCGTGCAGCTCCAGAAAGCTCCAGAAGTTTCCTGAGCTTGCTTCAGACTTTCTTTGAGAAGTGGACCTTCCATCCACATGTCCCGTCTGTTTGGCTTAGAAAGTCAACTTCAGGGCCTTGGGAAGGGCCTGGGAAACCTTTTCCTCTAAGTCTGTGGTGTGTCGGTATAAATTTGTAGGGAGTGTGTTCTTATAGCTTTCACAAAACCCTTGCGGCAGGCACGCCTCCCTTATTGCCATTTATCGACGCCCAGGCTGGAGTGCAGTGGTGCAATCTCAGCTCACCGCAACCTCCGACTCCCTGGTTCAAGTGATTCTCCTGCCTCAGCCTCCCGAGTTGCTGGGATTACAGGCATGTGCCACCATGCCCGGCTAATTTTTGTATTTTTAGTGGAGATGGGGTTTCACCATGTTGGCCAGGATGGCAACGCCGTCTCTTCTAAATCAGAATCACAGGCTCCAACGCAGCAGACCTTTTCAAGGAGCTGGCTTTGGTTTACAGACCCCAGCAACACGGATTTCTGCCTGACTCAGGCTTTCCTTGTGTTCTGCTTCATCTTTGTGGAGCTCCCTGCATTGGCGCGAGGGCAGCCCAGGGCCCTGCTGTGGCTGCTCCGGGGCGGCGGCCTCATGCCTGTGCTCTCTGCCTCCCTCCCGACCTTGCCCTGGGCCCCCCAGCTGCAGCGTGTGAACAGCCCAACGCTTCAACATGGGTTTCTGTTCCACTAGTGAGTCAAGTAGGAGAGGGTTTTTGAATTTCCGCCTGGATACTGTTCCACTAGTGAGTCAAGTAGGAGAGGGTTTTTGAATTTCCACCTGGATACAGTGCCTGGGGTGGGGCTTGTGAGTTTCTGATTTTATCACATGCGATCACAGAATGAGGCCCATATGATGTTGATTTTCGAGAAATGCTCCGAAAGCGTTTCTCCGAGCATCCCTGGATGAACACCGGGGAGAACAGCGGCAGCCCAGCCGCAAGCCCTGACGCGGCCCTGGGGCTTCTGACTCCAGGCCCCAAACCGTCCCTCCGTCAGGTGCCTGAGCCTGCGGGTCAGAGTTGCGCAGCACTCAGCGGTCACTGAACCCACAGAGTGCTCGTTGCTACTGAAAGAGATGGATGATGGCCTGTTGGAAATTGAGAGAAAGTTTATCGACTGTGGCTGCAAAGAGAATTGTGTTGACGTAAAACTAGAGCGTGCGAAGATCAAGAGGTAAGGCTGCCTCCACGACCCCTGCACGGGAGTCACTGCTTCTCTTACACACAACACGCCCAGCGCCATCCTGCCTTCTGGGCCTGGCTCACCCCGGCTGCACCCCCGCGGGGTCCACAGGACCCTCCCCTGGGAAGCTCTCGGCTGCCGCCTCACCCACACGTTCTGATCACATGCCCAGCCCTCCCCGTCGGGGGAGCCCCCGTTGCCCCTGACAGGGCCTCCTTCTGGCCCCAGCCCTGCGGCTGCCCACACCTTCCTCGAGGGCATCCACATTGGGCCTTGCACCTCCAGCCCTTGGCAGACACGCACAGACATACAGCACCACCCACCCCCACCAGCCACAGGCACACGCGCATTGCACACACATGCCCAGGCCCAGGTCACACGTGCACATCCCGAGCACAGCCCTGAGCTGCTTGCAGGGCCCTGACCTCAGGAGGTGGCCCTGCCCTGCATGGCTCTGTAGCGCGGCCGCAGACGGCATCTCAGGGGCTGCTCCCACCGAGGGCAGGGCCAGCACAGCCCTGATGCCAGCCGTCCCCACCACAGCAGCTGCCAGCCACTCCCACCCTGGCAAAGCCTCCCTGGCCCCGCCCACAGCCCTGCCCCAAACCTGGGGTCGCCCCCAGCAAAGCCTCCCTGGCCCCGCCCACCGCCCTGCCTCCAACCTGGGGCCACCCCCAGCAAAGCCTCCCTGGCCCCGCCCACCGCCCTGCCTCCAACCTGGGGCCACCCCCAGCAAAGCCTCCATGGCCCCGCCCACCTCCCTGCCCCCAACCTGGGGCCGCCCCCAGCAAAGCCTCCCTGGCCCTGCCCACTGCCCTGCCCCCAACCTATGGCCCCCGGACTTGTCCACACGCAAGCGTCTCGACACGGCGGGCCCAGTGCGGGCGTGTAGAAGCCTGCGCGAGGGAAGCATAACCCACCACAAGGTCTGACCTGAGCCGTGTCTGTTACTGTGGATGTCGTACATTGTCCTTGCAGAAGTTCAGTTAGCTGATCAGACCCAGCCCGCTGGGTAAAGCTGATGCTGTGGAATTGCTTCAGCAAATCTCCTTCAAGCGCACACTTAATTTTTATAACCATAATACACTGTACATACTGCATTATTCCAGCTTCTTAAACCTCTAAGACGTATCGAGGATGTCTTTACATGTTAGCTATTTTAAAACATCATTTTAAGCACTAATAAAATATACAGTATGATAGAAAATGACATATTAAACATTTAGTAATAATAACATAATGTTTTAAAATTCCATTCTTATGTCTTATAAAGGTTACGTGCCCAGAACGAGAAAGATGAAGAACAAAAAACTGCGTATTACTTGGAAGCGTATGGCCTGGCCCAGGGTGCCGTAGCTGAGGAAGAAGGGAGGCTTCACAGCATCCAGGGCTTATATGGCCTGGCCCAGGGCGCCATGGCTGAGGAAGAAGGGAGGCTTCACAGCGTCCAGGGCCTATTGTCACTTCAAGACGTAAGCAGGTGTCCTGGTTCCTGTGCACACTGGGTCACTCCCACCGGGATATAAACCCCACTGTAACTTACCTTACAAGCCAGCTGACTTCTGCTTCTAGCTGAAATGGAATAACAGGGATCAGATACTCCCCCATCTGAAACAACAAAAAAACAAACAGTGTATGAAACAAAGACTTTGAAAACACTAGACGTCAGCAATGACAGGCAGTGGTCCCTGAGCTAAGGTCCGAGCTCACCACGGCGGCTCAGGTGGAGTCCGCTGGTGACCTGAGTCACAGGATGGAGCCGAGAGCCTGGGGAGAGCCAGGCACTGCCACTCATGGGACAGAGCCCCAGGGAGGGGAGGGCAGGAGAGGGCTGCACAGAGAGAAAACCCCAAGACCTTCGAGGGAGGCCCCGGAGTGTCCTACCAAGGACTAATCAGCACATTCTTGAGAGGAAGCTACCCCATGCTGGGGAAGAACCCACCCAAAAGGGTTCTAGGGTGGGAACAGCACCTACTTCACCAGCCGGATTGGAAAACCTCATGATCCCTGGGGCATCGGGCAAAGCAGACACAGGGCCTTGCCTCAGTCGGGGGTCATTAGGCCTGGGTGAGCCCCGCTCCAGACCTGCCTGAGAGACCCTAGAAAGCAGACCTGAAAGGACCCAGCTATTTCCTTTGAGAAGATAACTGTCCCGGAACAGAGCCCAAGCCTGAAGAACACATACAGGAATGCAGAAATGCCCACCAGACCCCAAAGGAAGACAAAGCCCAAATGTCTGGCAACCGATAAAATATTGCCGTATAGAAAAGCAGGAAATTAGGAAGAATAATTGATCAATCAAAAGCAAATTGATCAATGGGCACAGATATTATAATTGGAAGACAAGTTATCACTGTATTCTGTATGTTCAGAAAGTTAAGTAGAAATGGTGAAGATGTAAAAGGAAGAAAACCCAAACTTTCAGGGTGAAAACCACAACACAGGAGATGAAGAAGGCACCAGGTGGGGTGAATGACAATGATGGCAGGAGAAAACATTGGAGAACTTAGAGACATAGCAACAGAAACTTTTAAAAAGAGAAAATGAAATTAAAAAGAACAAAAATTAAAGTCACACAGTTTTAAGTGCACGAATATAGGTGTAATTGGAATCCTGGGAGAAGAGGAGAAAGTAGAATAAACAGAATAATTTGAATAACTAATGACTGAAAATTTTCCAAATTTGATAAAAATAAATACAAACCCACAGATCCAAGAAGCTGAATGAGTCCCAAGCACAAGAACTAGAAAGAGGAATGAAACTATATCAGGGCACACCATAACCAAACACTTTAACACCAGTGCAAGAAGAGCATCTTAGCATCAGCCAGAGAGCACTGTGTGTTGTGTGCAGAGTGGCAGAGGTGAATGGCGCAGCTTCCTGCAGAAGCAGTGTAGCTGAGAGCCCAGCGCAGGGACCTCTGTGAAGGCCGAGAGGAAACACTGCCAACCTGGAATTCTGTACCCAGAAAATATGATTCTTAATGAAAGTGAGATAAAGATGTTTCTCCAAACACTCGAGAGCTGAAGGAAGGCGTCCTCAGTGGCTGAGCCCTGCAGGAGCTCTTGGAGTCAGTCCTGCAGGCAGAAGGAAGCCACACCCACTGGAAGTGTGGATCCACACAGGTGCATGGAGAGCCTCGAACACGTAAACTCCAGGGGAAATTGTGTCCAATTCTTCTTCTAAAAATCACTCTAAAAGATAATTGGCTGCTTAAACAATAATAACAATGTAGCATGGGGTCTCTAACATGTAAAAATGTACGACAACAATAGCATAAAGATTGGGAGGTCAGTAACAAATGCAAGGTTTCTATGCTCTGCGTGAAGTGATATCATACACTACATACCAAAACAGCCACAGAAATACCAGAATACAGATGTATGCTGCATGAGCCAAGAAAGGAGATAAATGGAAATCATAACAAGTATTCATTTGTCCCCCTGAAAGCAGAAAAAAGAAAAAGAATAAAGGACAGGTGAGACCAACAGAAAATAAACAGCAAGATGATAACCTTAGACCTAATCATGGAATAATCACATGAAATTTAAATAATCAGAACACCCTCAGTTAAAAGAATCTATCAGATTATATAAAAAAGCAAAACCCAACTATGGGCTACCTACAAGAAAGCCACTTTAAATATTAAGACATAAATAGGTTAAAAGGAGAAGAATGGAAAAAATGTACCATGCTAACACTAATGAAAAGAAAGCTGGAGTGGCTATATTAACAACACACACAGCCGATTTTGGAAAAAAGAATATTACCAAGGATAAACAAACTCATTTTATAGTGCAAACGGCTCAACCAGTCAAGAGGCTATAAATGCAAACATTTCTGTAGCTAATAACAGAGTTTCACAATCAATGAAGCAAAAACTGATAAAATAAAATTGCAACGGAGAAATAGACAACTCTACAATTACAGTCAGATTTCAGTTCCTCTCTCTCAGTGTTAATAGAGTAAGTAGCCAGAAAATCAGCAAATCACTAGAAGATTTGAACAACACTACCAACCAATATGACCTGAAGATATTTCTAGAACGTTCACCCAACAACAGCAGAATAAGATGCTCTTTGTGTGCACATGAATATGTTTCAAGATGGACTGTATTTTGGACCATAAAACAAGTCTCAATAATTTTAAAAGATTTAAGTTATATAAAATATGTACTGGTGCCACAATCTAAATTAGAAATCAGAAACAGAGAGATAGATAAATCCATAGAAACAGGGCAAGGAGGATAAGGGATGATTTTTTAATGGGCGAGGGGTTTCCTTTTGGAGTGATGAAAATGTCGTGGAATTAGAGATGATGGTGGCACAATGTTGTGAACGTGTAAGTGCCACTGAATTGTATATTTTTAAACGGTTAATTTTGTGTTATGTGACTTTTACCTCAATTAAAAAAAACCAGAAAGCTGGCCGGGCACAGTGGCTCATGCGTGTAATCCCGTCACTTTGGGAGGCTGAGGAGGGCAGATCACGAGGTCAGGAGATCGAGACCATCCTGGCTAACATGGTGAAACCCCATCTCCACTAAAAATACAAAAAATTAACCAGGCATGGTGGCGGGCGCCTGTAATCCCAGCTACTCGGGAGGCTGAGGCAGGAGAATGGCGTGAACCTGGGGGGGAAGAGCTTGCAGTGAGTGGCGATCACGCCACTGCACTCCAGCCTGGGCGACAGAGCGAAACTCCATCTCAAAACAAAACAAAACAAAACAAAACAAAACACAGAAAGCTATGTATGCACGAAATGCCAAAGATTTGAAAAATAAATAGCAAATGTCATAATAACTGTGGGCCACAGAAGAAATCAAGGGGGAAAGTATTTTGAACTGAAGGGAATAAAAAAACACCTATCAAAGTGTTTAAGATGTTGCCAATTCAATACCGAGATGGAAATTTACAGCACTAAACACCTGTAGGAGAAATGGGAAAAGATTCAAATCAATTACTTCAGCCTGCACCTTACAAAACTATAAAAAGAGCAAACTCAGTTCCCAAATAAGCAGAGGAATAAAAATTAAAGATCTGAGGGGCAATCGATCAGTGAAATAGAAAACAGAAAAATAAAAGAGAAAAGTAATGAAACCAAAGCTAGTTCTTTGAAAAGATCAGTAAATTGAAAAACTTCTAGTCAGACGGATCAGAAAAAAAAGATGACATAAATTACCACTATCAGAAATGAGAGACACAATTTCTCCATGGATTCTACAGATATTGAAAGGATAAGGGAATCATATTACAAACAACTTTATGCTAATATGTCTGCCAACTTAGACGAAATGGAAAAATTCCTTGAAAGCATGAACTACCAAAGCCCACTCAAAAAGAAAGAGATAGCCTGAGTAGCCCTATATATTTTAAATTTTTAATTTGTAATTAAAAACATTCTCACAAAGGAAACGTCAAGCCCAGATGGCTTTACTAGTGAATTCTGCCAAATATTTAAGAAAAAATAATACGAGTTCTACACAAATTATTCTAGAAACTTGAAAAGGAGAGAATACATCCCACTTTTTCTATGATACAAATATTACCTTGATACCAAAACAAGATAAAAACATTAACAACAACAAAAAGCTACTGACCAGCATTCCTTGTGAGCAAAATTTTAGCAAATTAAATCCCACAATATATAAAAAGGATAATACATCATAACCAAGCCAAGGTTACCCCAGGAATAGTTTAACATTCAAAAATTAATTAATTTCACCATATTTTTTCAAAACTAACAAAAACCATATGATCATCTTTGTGGATGCAGGAAAAGCATTTGACAAAATTCAACACCCATTCCTGGTAAACACTCCTAGCAAACAATTAATACAGGAAAACTTCCTCAACCTGATAAAGGACATCTATGAAAAAGCTAGAGCTAACGTCACAATTGTGGGAGAAAGACTGATGCCCCCTTTCGATAAGGACGAAGACGAGGATGTGCCCTCTTCTCACCTGTGTTCCGTGTTGACATGGGAGTTCCGGCCTATGGAATCCGGCAGGAAAAAAGGAAATTAAAAGCATCCAGATTGGAAAGGAAGGAATGAAACTGTTTTTATTCACAGATAACATAGTTGTCTGCATACACAGTCCTATGCAATCCACCAAAAAATAAAGCTACTAATGCTGAGTTTTGTAAGGTTGCAGGATATAAGAACAATATGCAGATATCAGTTGTATATTTCTACATGCTAGAAATAATCAGACATTAAAAATTTTGAAACAATTTTATGACAGCATTTAAAAATGAAATCTGTCCCAAAAATGTGAGAACTTGTACTCTGAGAACTACAAAAGATAACTGAGAAAAATTTGAGAATACCTAGGTAAATGGAGAAATGCATCATGTCTGTGGATCAGAATTTGAGAATGCCTAAGTAACTGGAGAAACATACCATGTGTGTGGATCAGGATCTGAGAATGTCTAAGTAAATGGAGAAACAGACCGCGTCTGTGGATCAGGATCTGAGAATAGCTAAGTAAATAGAGAAACATACCACGTCTGTGGGTCAGGATCTGAGAATGTCTAAATGCAGAAACATACCACGTCTGTGGATCAGGATCTGAGAATTCCTAAGTAAATGGAGGAACATACCACGTCTGTGGATCAGGATCTGAGAATTCCTAAGTAAATGGAGGAACATACCACGTCTGTGGATCAGGATCTGAGAATTCTTAAGTAAATGGAGGAACATACCACGTCTGTGGATCAGGATCTGAGAATTCCTAAGTAAATGGAGGAACATACCACGTCTGTGGATCAGGATCTGAGAATGTCTAAGTAAATGGAGGAACATACCACGTCTGTGGATTGGGATCTGAGAATTCCTAAGTAAATGGAGGAACATACCACGTCTGTGGATCAGGATCTGAGAATTCTTAAGTAAATGGAGGAACATACCACGTCTGTGGATCAGGATCTGAGAATTCCTAAGTAAATGGAGGAACATACCACGTCTGTGGATCAGGATCTGAGAATTCTTAAGTAAATGGAGGAACATACCACGTCTGTGGATCAGGATCTGAGAATGTCTAAGTAAATGGAGGAACATACCAGGTCTGTGGATCAGGATCTGAGAATTCCTAAGTAAATGGAGGAACATACCACGTCTGTGGATCAGGATCTGAGAATTCCTAAGTAAATGGAGGAACATACCACGTCTGTGGATCAGGATCTGAGAATTCCTAAGTAAATGGAGGAACATACCACGTCTGTGGATCAGGATCTGTGGATACCTTGCACATGAATGTTGGCAGCAGCTTTATTGGTAGTAGCCCCAGAACTGGAAATAAAATATTTGAATAGATAAGCAGGGTGTGGCGCGTGCACACGGTGCACCGACGCCGGCTGTGAGAGGGAAGGAGCATGCGTGCAGCCGCGTGGGGGAGTCTCACGGTGACTTTACCGAGGAAAATGAACCAGACGGAAAGACAGCACTCTGTGCGCCTCCACTTAGGTACGGTTCTGGAAAATGCCAAGGAATGCAGGGTGCCGGCAGGCAGCTAGGTGACCGGGAGGGAACATGAGGGGACGCGAAGAGATTTGGGGATAAGGGCTACTGCATTATCTCGAAGGTGGTGATGGTTTCACGGGTGTATTCGTGATCAAAGTGTGTCAGTTTTCCACTGTAGATCTGCGCAGTTTGTTATGAGTTTCTTACGTCGGTTATGCCTCATCCAAGTTGTGGGGATGTAGATTCAGGCTTACCAGAAGCTTCCATGCTTCAGAGGCATGCCTGACCCCCTCAGTTGCAGAACGTCAACACGCCCCTGATGAGGAAGCTGGCGCGCCTCAAGCTCGGCCTCGTGGAAATGGCTCTGGACATGCTCCAGTTCATCTGGGAGGAGGCCCACGGGCAGCAGAGTGAGCAGGGGTCCCTGGAGAAGCTGCTGGCGGACTATCTGCAGAACACCAGTGACTACACTTCCGTCGGCCTGGTAATTGCTGGGGTCACAGATTCCCGGTGGAGGGAGCGCCAGGCCACAGTGCAGCTGATGGGACCCCCGTTCCAGCAGGAGCCGTCTCCACCACTGTGCACCTGGCGGTGCGGGTCAGCTGGGGACCTCTTGCAGCAGGGGGAGCTCCCGGGCATTGTCTCACCATTTGAGGAGACTGAATTGGCTCATGAAATCGAGGTCCCATTGCAGGGGTGTTTCCTATATGACCCACAGCTGCCCTTCCCGACTCATGAATTTGCTCTAATTAATTCGTATTAATAATTAATGCATATGTGGATTAAAGAGCTCAATAGAGGTGGACTCCATTTTGGTAAAAAAAAAAGTTGAATATGTAGAATGTTTTGAGGGAAATATACATTCTTCCATTTTGAGTTTTCTGAGACTTCATGAAACATGACTCAAATTAATTTACATAAGTATAAATGGACCAAAGACGGGCCTAAAACTGATTTGTCAGTGAGCTCTGAATTAAGGTTCTATGAGCAGACGTCTGTGACCCCCACACCAGAGCCCTGGAGACCCTCCCTGCGGGGCAAGGCTTTCTCAGAGCTCCCCAGTGTTCCCACCCACAGGGCACAGCAGAGGGCGGGCTCACTGGGTCCCCTGGGCAGGGTGGGCGGTTGCCCTTGGGGTGGCAGCTGTAACATGTCTGTCTTTTCGAAGCAATGGTTCACGCTGAAGCGGACTCTAGCACACGGGGCACTGGCACAGCTGGGGAGCCTGCAGCCGCTGAGCGTGGGCTGTGTGGAGATCCGCGCCCGGCTCCTGGGCCTGGCCGGGAGGGCCCTGCACCTGCTGGCCATGCAAGCTGACCCTGTGCACCCTACCTGCTACTGGGAGGCGGGCCCCTCGGTAGGTGCTCCTGCTTCTATCCCAAGTCTGGCTCCAACACCAGTCACCCGTGCCTGAAAAACACAAGCGAAGTGTTTAGGACTCCTGTGATTGCAGCAGTGGCCCCAGGAAGAGAGAAAAATGTAGGAAGTAGGCGTGAGGGAAGAAATGGGGCTGGCAAAACTCAGGCCTTCCGGAACAGACCTGGGAGGGAAACACAGTGTCTGTGGAGTAGGCAAGGAGGGCAGGCGGGCACTTGGGTCGGCCCACAGCAGCACAGAGCCAGCCCGCCCCAGCACGCGGCCCGCCCCAATCAAGCCCTGTGCTGGCGAGCGTGGAGCAACGCAACTGGTGTGTCCCGCAGCAGCGGCTCTGGCCAGGCCCCGCACAGGGACCTGGGGAGCTCAGAAGCTGCAGGAGCGGCCTAGGGTGGGCCTGAGCACCGGGCGCCGTGGCCCCCATGCCAGTGCACAGCAGGGCCAGCCCTAGGCAGCCTTGGCTCCCCTCCATCCCCCACCCCCTACAGCCCAGGGAGGCTGCTGCCTCCATGCCCAGGTGGCTCTGAGAAGGGCGGTCGGGACCTTCTTCACTCTCAGCCCAGGGCCCACCCTTCTCCAGAAGGCTGCAAGGCTGCCCAGCTGGGCTGAGTCAGCTGCAGGAGTGACCTGCTCCCTCAGGACCCTGGTGATGGCCCCTACAAGCCACGCAAGGCCCCAGGTCACCTTCCTAAACACTTGTGCAGATGCCAGCTCCTCCCCCGGAAGGCACCTGCCCCAGCAGAGAAGCTGGGCTCGTCCCCACACACCAGCTCCTAAGGAAGATGCCCTCAGGGACTGGAGCAACCACGCCATATGTGCCTGGCTCCATGCCCAGGGCAATCCCCCCACCAGGTGCCGTGCAGCCCTGGGTCGGCCCTGAAATGTCTGTCCTGCGTCTTCAGGACCTAGCACAGGACTTGATGTACCTCGAGTGAATTGATGGAATCGAGGCTCTGCATGCAACCAGCCTCCATTGGCCTGCTCAGGTAGCGGGTGGGTGTGGACCAGAAGCGAGGGTCGGCAGGGCCTCCTGTGAGCTGCGTCCTCATCCATGAATGCTGCTGATGGTGCTCCAGCGAGGAGGGGCCAGGGCAGAGCAGACGTCAAGTCCCGTGTGGAGGGCGCAGGGTTCTTCCGCGGCCCCCGCCCCATGCAGGCCAGGCCGGGACGTACCTGCCTTTTGCTGTCCTTAGATATGATTTATGTTGTTGTCCAGCTTCTTGAAATCAAAGCTTAAATCAAGGTTTTTCTGGGTTTTTTCTTGTATTCAAGGCTGTATTTTTCCTCTAACCCCCGTTTTAGTCTCCCAAGTTTTGATACGTAGGATCGACACGGTCTAGGGTTGCTGGTCACGTTGTCTAAGGTGTTATCCGAGCTCGTTGTCCATCGTCTCACAACCCAGAAAATTAAGGCGCGTGGACACAGGGAGAAGTTGCAGCGAAAGTTTAATAAGTGAAAGAAAAAAGCTCTCTGTGGCGGAGAGGGGGCCCGAGTGGGCTGCCATTTTCACAGTTGAATCCAAACGCTTTGATAAGAAAGTCCGCTGGTCTCTTTCGCTGTTCTTGTGACTTCCTTATCTGTGCCGCTGCGGGTGTGTCTTTAGGGAGCACAAAGCGCAGCCTCTCTTGTTTGTGCAGCTGTGGGTGTGTTTTGGATAAGCCCCCACCCCCTCCCACAACCCATGCAGGTTCCCTCGGAGCCCACCGTGTTCATGCCTGAAAAGGGGAGGAAACTTTCCCTGGCAGCCGGCTGATGACCTGGAGAACGAAGGCTTCTCTGCTGCCCTCCCTCCCCCCGACTCACCAGTGCTGCCGCAGCTTGGTTTTGCCTGGCAGCTCTCTCTCTGCCTGTGGCTGTGACATTTCAGGCTGTTTCTCCAAAGACCAGCCTTGGCTGTCGGCCTCACTGACTTTTCCTTTTCTCTTCCCTCAGTATTTTCATTCTCTAAGTCCGTTTTATAAATTCCATTGCAATTTCTTGTTTGACTGACTTGATGATTGTATCTTGTTTAATTTCAAGGCGACTGTTTCTCACGGGTCTATTTTCATGACTGACTTCCTGTTTAATGTCCTGGTGGTTGAAAACACACCGAGTGGTCTCGGTCCTGGGGACTCTGCAGTGGCTGCACGTGGTGCAGCCCTGGTTGGTTTTGGTAAATGTTCTGCACACGTCTGAACGGCGTGTGCTCCGTCGAGAAAGGGGCCAGGCTCCGTGCATGTCAGGCAGCCGTGCGTGTCAGGTGGCCACGGCTGCCCTGCCTCCAGCGTGCTTGCTGGTTTTTGCCTGCATTCAGGCAGCCTACTAGAACGGGGACATGTCCATCACTCCTTCTCCATTTCTATCAGTGTTTTTATTTTGACGCCTGATCATTGGGTGCATATATAGATTTGGTGCTGCGATACCTTGTGTCCCGAAAACCCAGGGGGCTCCCTCTCAACCCAGGTTCTTCAGGGGCTGCCAGGGCTTCCTATACCCAGGTGGGGCTTGTGTCTCAGCCAGATCAGGGGCCCCTGAGGGCTGGTGGATGCCTCAGCCTCAGTGCTGGCTGGTTCCGGGAGAGGTGTTTCCAAAGGACAGGAACGAGAGCCCCCTGGGAATGTGTTGGATTCCAGGCCCACGTGACTCAGGCCGGCTTCCTCAGGGGTCTGCGTCCTCACCCTGGCTGCAGCATCCCCTCGCCCAGGCTCCAGCGTCCCCTTGCCCAGGCTCACGGGTCAGGGCCACCCTGCATCAACTCAGGGATGGAGGGTTTGGGATAGTGAGAGGCCATGCTGTGGCCTGCGGTACCCCCTACCCGGGGACCCTGCTGAGGAGCCCGACCACCCCGGCCTCCCTGGGTGGGCCCTCCCCACGCCGACCAAGCAGGAACCCAGAAGTGTCTGCCAACCTGCAATGTGTGTCACAGGTGGGCGCCAAGCTGAGCGGCCTCAAGTCTCTGGAGCTGGAGGTAGAGGAAGAGGGTGCCACAAAGTCCAGCAGGGACCCGCCGGCCTCCAGGGCAGCCCCGGAGGAGCACTGCAGGAGAGGCGAGGACCTGAAGGTGCGGCTGCCCCTCCTGCCCCTCGTGTGGCCTCTGCCCGGAGCCTGGCCTGAGCCTGAGCCTTGTGCCCCACAGAGGAGGATGGTTCTGGCCCAGCAGTACCTGGCTCAGGCGTCAGAGGTGCTGCTGCAGTGCCTACAGGTGGCCCTTGGCAGTGGCCTCCTGGATGTCGCAGCAGCCGCCAGCCTGGAGATGGTGGAGTGTGTCGGCACCCTGGACCCTGCAACTACCTGCCAGTTCCTGGCTCTGTCTCAGGTGTGTCTCTGCCCTGCCCACCTCCAGCCAGGCCCTTCATGGAGGAGGGAGGACCCTGGGCTTCAGCTGGGGCCCTCGCCTTGGGGGGACTCCATTAGAGAAGCAGGCCGCAGGCCAGGGTCCTTAAGCAGTGGGAGCCTGCCGGCCACGTAAACTTGTGGCTCAGAGAGAACATGCATTCGTGTGCTTATCCCCGATCCCCTGCATCGGGCAGACATGGAGACCTGGCAGTCACAGGCCAGCAGGGCCCCGTCCATGCGGACCTCACAGAGGTCCCACAGAGGATCGGGCAGACACAGAGACCCGGCAGTCGCAGGCCAGCAGGTCCCTGTCCGTGTGGACCTCACAGAGGTCCCACAGAGGATCGGGCAGACACGGAGACCCAGCAGTTGCAGGCCAGCAGGTCCCTGTCCGTGTGGACCTCACAGAGGTCCCACAGAGGATTGGGCAGACACAGAGACCCGGCAGTCACAGGCCAGCAGTGCCCTGTCCGTGCAGACCTCACAGAGGTCCCACAGAGGGAACAAGCGTGGCCCCACGCGACTCTGCAGGTGCCAGGAGGAGCCAGCATCCCAGGGGAGCCTTGCCAGGAGAGCCAGCCCACTCCTGCTCCCAGGCTGCAGCTGCTGCGCACCCTCCGCAGGGTGCAAGGCCTCCCCGCCCAGGCCTCGGGCCCCTGGTACACCTCCCCTGCTCCCTTTCAGAGCTGCTCGGCCTCAGAGACGATGAGGGATGTCCTGCTTGCAGCCACAGCCAACACCAGCAGCTCACAGCTGGCGGCCCTGCTGCAGCTACAGCACCAGCTCCGGTGCCAAGACAGGACCACCACCAGCCTGGGCGCCCGTGTGGAGCAGAGGCTGGCCGCCGTGTCCAAGGTAAGCGGGCACGGATGCCGCTGAACCTGCCCCCAGCTCTGGAGCTCTGTGGACAGACACTGCAGCCGCACAGTCCCACGCCTGAGCGAGGCAGCCTTGCTCACCCCCCAGCTCATGAGCCATCCCTCCCCGTGCCCCCAGCCATGTGCACCTGGGTCGCCTCTCCAAGCCTCAGTGTCCCCTGGTCCTTGTGGGGGTAGTAACGGCCCACGTGGTGGGTGCGGTGAGGTTGGCGAGGTCACAACTACAAACGCACAGCCAGGCCTGCAGCCAAGAGCTGACCAGCAGATGGGCCAGCAGTGCCCTGAGGGCCTCATGTGGATCGGAGCTGCATGTTCCCTGCCTCCGTTTAAGGAAATATTTTACACCTTGGTCAGGTCTAAGGGTTCAACCTTGAGAAACATGTCTGTGGAGCAGGACAGCTAACGGCGCTTTTTGTTCAGATTAGCAGATGCGAATGGCAGTATTTAAAGAAAAAAGACGACGACATTTCTTGAATTGTGGGAAACAGACAAGCATGGCCTAATGGGGCCCCTCCCTCCTTCGGCTGCGTGGCTGCCTCCCTGGTCCTCTCGTTGGGGTGGACCTGACCAAATATCCCCTCGTCCAGGGCTGTTTGGTGGACAATGCTTTGCTGGTGAGGGTGGGGCGGGGGCAGCATCCGCCACTGGCTGACAGGAGCACCCCTGCCATTGTGACATCCAGAGATGTCTGCAGACATGGCCAGTGGGCGCAACATGGCCCCGGCTGAGAACTGGTGACTCAACCCAGAGGTGGAAACCTGGAAAGCTGCCGTCCTTCTGAAGCTGAGAGGACAGAGGGTGGAGGCAAGGGGCCTGCAGGCCCAGCCCAGGCCCGAGGACAGGAGAAGGTGGCACAGCCTGGCCCTGCGCCTGGAGGAAGATGCTGATGCACATGGCCCTGCCGGAGCTGGGTCCAGGAGGGTGTGCATGGCAAGCGGGAATTAAAATGGGCTAAGCTGGGCGTTGGGGGCGCCTGTGGTCTAAGCTGGGCATGCAGGGGGGTGCCTGTGGCCTAAGCTGGACATGGGGGCACACACCTGTAGTCCTAGTTACTCAGGAGCCTGAGGCAGGAGGATCACTTGAGCCCAGGAGTTCGAGGCTGCAGTGAGCCATGATAGTGCCTGTGAATAGCCACTGACGCCCAGCCTGACCAACATAGTGAGACCCCATCTCAAAAAAATTGGGCTGCCCCGGGCAGCACTTACTGGACAGGTGAGGAGCAAGCAGCCAGGCTGGTACCAGAGCACCTGCTGTGGGTGAGCTGGGCACGGGAGTCATGGCTCTCCCTCCCGCACGGCTGCAGACCAGGCAGAGCTCACCCCATAGGAGCTTTGGGGACCAAGGACACCAGTGTGTGTGCAGGACTGAGTGCAGGGCCAGGAGGCGGCCTGGGGCTTGACATGTGGGAGCCATCAGTCACCACGATGGGGGCCACCACTCCTCAGGCCCTCCTGTTTCAGGAATTCTCATGGAAAAGCTGCACCGAATCTCAGCCAGGCACAGACTCAGTGCAGTCGGGCTGGGGGATGTCGTAGACCACAGCAGGCCCACCGCAGCAGCCTCGGGAAAGGCTGGCGAATGGCAGAGCCTCATATTTTTGAAGTTATCAGCCGTGGAAGCAATGAGAACTAGCTAAGCTAAAATGTTTGCACTGAGAGCATTGAGTCAACCCTCACCGTCCATCCTGGGGCCACTGGGCAATTCGGAAATCAGCTGGGACTGGTGTCAACAGAAGCTCTGCGAGGAGGAGGAGCGAGCCTGCAGCCAGGACAGGAGAGGTCACTGCGCTGCAGCTAGGAGAGCCCCACAGCACCCTGGGAACACCCACCAGGAGCAGCCCCGCAGCACCCTGGGAACGCCCATTGAGAGCAGAGCCCCACAGCACCCTGGGAACACCCACCAGGAGCAGCTCCACAGCACCCTGGGAACACCCACCGAGACCAGAGCCCCACAGCACCCTGGGAACACCCACCGAGACCACAGCCCCACAGCACCCTGGGAACACCCACCGAGACCAGAGCCCCACAGCACCCTGGGAACACCCACTGAGACCAGAGCCCCACAGCACCCTGGGAACACCCACTGAGACCAGAGCCTTACAGCATCCTGGGAACACCCACCAGGAGCAGCCCCACAGCACCCTGAGAACACCCACCGAGACCAGAGCCCCACAGCACCCTGGGAACACCCACCGAGACCACAGCCCCACAGCACCCTGGGAACACCCACCGAGACCAGAGCCCCACAGCACCCTGGGAACACCCACTGAGACCAGAGCCCCACAGCACCCTGGGAACACCCACCAGGAGCAGCTCCACAGCACCCTGGGAACACCCACCAGCAGCAGCCCCACAGCACCCTGGGAACGCCCACCGAGACCAGAGCCCCACAGCACCCTGGGAACACTCACCGAGACCAGAGCCCCATGGCACCCTGGGAACACCCACCGAGACCAGAGCCCCATGGCACCCTGGGAACACCCACCGAGACCAGAGCCTTACAGCACCCTGGGAACGCCCACCAGCAGCAGCCCTACAGCACCCTGGGAACGCCCACCAGCAGCAGCCCTACAGCACCCTGGGAACGCCCACTGTGACCAGAGCCTTACAGCACCCTGGGAACACCCACCGAGACCAGAGCCTTACAGCACCTTGGGAACGCCCACTGAGAGCAGAGTCCCACAGCACCCTGGGAATGCCCACCAGGAGCAGCCCCACAGCACCCTGGGAACACCCACCAGGTCCTGGGCCTTAGGGACATTCCCCTGGAAGCTTCTGGAAGGCAGTGAAATCTGCTGTGGTCTTGTGGTGCCTGGAGAGGACGCAGCCTCCAGGACATAGTGTCCTCTGCAGCATCCCATATGTGCTCTCCTAAATGAAGGGCTCAATGTGGGGGTTTCTGGGAAAAGTGAATGCAGCCCAAGGTTGAATCTGTGACTGAGAAACAGACTGAAGAAAAGACCCTGTCTGAGGGGGACATTGGAAAAGACAGAGCAAGGGTGCTATGATTTGAACGTTTGTCTCCCTTGAAACTCATGTTGAAACAATGCCCAATGTGGCAGTATTGAGAGGTGGGGCCTTTAAGAGGTAACTGGGTCATGAGGGCTCATGAATGGATCAGCCCATTTGTTGACTAATAAGTTAATGGATTATGGTTATCATGGGAGTGGGGCTGATGGCTGTATGAGAAGAGGAAAAGACCTGGGCTAACACAGCCCCCTCACCGTGTGTCATTCTGGGCCACCTCAGGACTCTGCAGAGGCCCCACCTGCAAGAAGGCCCTCATCAGATGCGGCCCTTTGACCTTGGACTTCTCAGCCTCCAGAACTGTAAGAAATAATTTCCTTTTCTTTGTAAATTACTCAGTTTCAGATATTCTGCTATAAACAACTGGAAATGGACTAAGAAAATTGGTACCAGGAGTGGGGTGGTTAACAATAATGAATACTTGAAAATATGGAAGCAGCTATGGAACTGAGTAATGAGCAGAGGCTGAAAGCATTTAGAGGAGAAGGCTTTTAAAAACCCAGTATGTCTGTAAATGGATCATTGAGGGTGATTCTGGTGAGGGCCTGCCTGGAAGACAAGATGACAAGGGAAAGTTTGGAACTCTTTAGAGATCCGTTAAGTGGTCGTGACCAGAATGCTGATTTGGACAGGAAAGGCCATTCTGATGAGATTTCAGATGGAACTGTGGAGCAAGGTATTAAAACCTAGAATAAAGGCCAGCCTCGTCATAAATTAGCAAAGACTTTGGCTGAACTGTCCACGTGGAACAGCTTTGTCAAAGGCTGAACTTCAGAGTGGTGAACAAGGGTATCTGGTAGAATAAATATCCAAGCAGCAAAGAATTAGGCTGCTGCGTGGCTACTTCTAACCACTACACGGAGCTGCAAAAGGGAAAAAATAACTCGGAGATGGAATTATCATCAAAAGAAAAGTGAGCGGAAGGATCTGGAAGCTCTTAGCCTGGCCACGTAAAGAGTGAAAGGTGTGCCCAGGAGAGGAGCCAAGGCTCTAGACCGTTCACCAAAAGTCAGCACAGAGAGGAAGGGCCGGGTGCTGTTCTTCAAGGCAGTGGAAGAAAGACCCAGAAGTCATTTCAGAGATCCTCAAGGCTGCCCTCCCATTGCAAGCCTGGAGGCCATGGAGGGCAGAATTGCACTGGTGGATGTGCCAGAGGTGCCCTCCACAGGCTCTCTGCCCAGGGCCTGCTGGGGACCATGCTCCCTAAATTCCAGTGCAGCTCTCCATGGCGGCCCCAGGGGTGGCTCAGGCAGCTCTGGTGCAGATAGACCCACAGCTCAAGAAGGTGTGGCCACAGCATTGGCCACGGCCACGTGGCACTGATTCTGCAGGCTTGCAGAGAGCAAGATGGAGGCTTGGCAGCCTCCATCCAGATTTCAAAGGATGCCATTGAAAGCCTGGAGGCCTGGGCAGAGACTCGTCCCAGGGATGGAGCCACCACAGACAGCCCCAGCAGAGCAAAGCCACGGGAACAGGACCCCCACCAGGACCCCAGAGCTGTGGAGTCACTGGCAGCTCGGGAAGCTTCAGGCACTGGACTCCCACCCATAAGAGCAGCCATGTGGGCTGCACCCAGCAAAGCCATCGGGGAGGCCCAACCCCCAGCCCCTGCGTCCAGAGGCAGCAGGTGCTGTCGGAAGAGACCATTCCCTGAATTCAGGATCACATCAGCCCTGTGGGGTTGGGGCTTGCTTCGAGCCTCCACTCCTCATTTTGCCTATTCCCGTTTTCAAGTGGGAATGTCTCAGCCGGTCCCACCGCTGTATGTCGGAAGTAGAGAACTTGTTTTGATTTCACAGGCTCATAGATAAGACTGAACTTCGGACTTTTGAGTTGCTGCTGGAACAAGTTAAGACTTTGGGGCTACGGGGTTTGTAGGAATCTATTTGTATATGAGAAGGACATGAGTTTTGGGGGCAGAATGCTATGGTTTGAATGTTCCCTCCAAAACTCATGAATGGATTGATCTAATTAATGGTTTTAGATTCAGGGGTTATCCTGGGAGCGGGACTGTGGCTTTATAGGAAGAGGAGGAGAGACTTGAGCTGGCACACTCAGCCCCCTCGCCACGGAATGCCCTGTGCCACCCCGGACTCTATGGTGTCCCCACCTGCGAGAAGGCCCTCACCAGACATGGCTAAAACCGAACAGCGCTGGGCCACACACAGCCACAGCAGAGATCCCCAGTACCAAGGTCACTCAGAGCGTGTTTTCCAACCACGGTGACATAAAGCAGGAAATCAGTAACAAAAATGGACCTGTGAGAAACACGGGCACCTTGAAATTAAACAGTTACTTACGATGATCAAATTAGTCAAAGAAGAAGTCACAGCAGAATTCAGAAAACACTTTAAACTGACTTAGACTTAAACTGACTTAGAGAATGAAAATACTACAAATAAAAACTTACGTGACTTAGCTCAAACGGGTTACAGGAAAAATAACAGCCTTGCATACAAGAAGAAAGCCAGAAAACACCTTGATTTAAGCTTTGATTTCAAGAAGCTGGACAACAACAATAAATTACAGCTAAGAAAAATGAAAGAGGACAAATCAATACAACATCAGAAACAGCGAAGCCAAAACCAGCAGAGGAAATCCAAGGCACAAGTTGGTTCCAAAGAGAAGACAATGAAATGGAGAAACACCTGCTCAAGAAAGAAAGGGAAAAGGCAAGTTTCCAGTATCAGTAAGAAAAAGACCCATCCCTGAGATGATGCAGGCATTGAAAGTTCACACAGAATGTTCTTGACAGCCTTACTCCAATACAGGCAACACCGGACTCAAATGGACCAACTCCTCAACATAACACAGCTCACCAAAGCCAACAGAAGCGTAGAAAATCCAAATGATTCGGTGTCTGTTAAAGAAATTGAATCTCTTATTTAAAATGTTGCTACAAAGAAAACCCAGACCCCACTGGCTTCACCAGTAAATTCTTCCAAAAACTGGAAGAATAAATAACCTCTGAAAACTCATAGAAAGTAGAAATAAAGCAAACAACTTCCTCTTTTACTAAGAGGCCAGATGAACGTTGACACTAGAAACTTAGCAGGGACATTACAAGAAAGGAAAGGCTCTCTCATCACTAATACACAAAAATCCTAACAAAATACTGCAAATAAAGTCCAGCAGTTATAAGGGGCGCCACGTCAGGGTGAAGTAGTTGTGTTCCATGTGGTTCAATATTCAAAAATCATTCGATATCATTGACCATGTTAACAGAAGGAAAAGGAGACAAATCGCAAAATCACCTTGACAGGTGCAAAAAAGGTGTCTTTCAAAATCCAACATCAACTCATGATTTTTAAAATTAAGATAGAAGCAAATGTCCTTAATCCAATAAAGAATATCTATACAGCCCTAGCATGCATCATATTTAATGGTACAGTATTGAAAAGTTTTCCCCAAGAGCGGAAATGCACACCCTATCAGCACTTGTATTGAATACAGAACAATATGACTAGAAAAAGAAATAACATGTAGAAAGACTGAAAAGAAAATACAGAACCAAGAGACTGAAGAACTCGGGTGCTGTTCCGTGTGTGTGGGCCGAGAGGCTCCGTGCCATGAAGCCACCAGTTCTCTCTGTGGCCGAGGGTTCACGAAGGCTCTTCCTCCTTCCGGTGAGGTCTTAGCCTGGTTCCCCTGAGCTATTAGCAATGTTGTTTTCCACAGAGATGGCCTGGCAGGTGGCCCAGGGCTGTGTCCCTTGTGGGGACCTGGGGCTGCGCCACCCCCCTGTGGCCACGGGAGACACAGGGTAGGAGCCGTACAAGGGAAAAACGACAAATCAGACTGCGCTGAAATTCAGAAGTTCTGTTCACCAAAAACGCCCTGCCGAGAGTCAAGGGGCAGCCACAGAGAATGAGAAGATATTGACACTAGGTTGCCGACACATGTGTGTCCCACATGGATGAAGGGTGTAGGTCCCTTTTCAGTAAGAAAAGGAGACACTGATTGAAGATGGCACGAGGTTGGAATCTCACAAAAGCAGAGATTCGTGTGGCCAATAATTTTAATGGTGCTCAAGTTCATTAGTCAGGGAAATGCAAAATTGAAGCCTGACGCAGATAACCAGACACCAACCAGAATGGCTCCCATGGAAAAGGAGGACACGGCCAGTGGGGATGAGACGGGGATGGGGGCAGCTGAGGCTCCCTGGGCCTCATGCCTGCCCCTTGGCACAGTAGCCCGTGGGTGCAGCAGCCCCTGGGCAGGGTTCTGGCAGAATCGCTGTAGCTGACACAGCAAGTCTGCACCTGACTCTGCGCCCGGTAGAAATCCTTCGCTGGGGTCCCCAGAGAGCAGCATCGCTCATGACCCCCATTGACGGGAAGCCACCCAGATGCCCTTGGCCACAGAACGGATGAAGACGCTGTGGCATTCCCAGCTGTGGCATTACCAGCTGTGGCATCTGCAGGGAGGAAGGCCAGCCCCACGCTCCACCTGGGTGAAGCCCACGGCGCAAGCCAGAGGCCCGGCAGAAAAGCCCACCTGAGCTGCTAGAATCTGTTGTGGTCCCCTTGTGGGGACGAGGGCCAGTGGCCGGCAATGTCCCATCTCTTTGCCTGGCCACACAGGTGTGCCCACTGCAAAAATCCATCGAGCTTTTCACGCATGGGCTTTTACGCCACTTTCTGTATATTCTACTTTGATAGTAAGTTTTATAAAAACTGCTTTGTTTGTGCAAACTTGAAGCTATGACTCAGAACCAGAAGCCTCACAGCTCGATGGAGGGCTGCCCATGCGGAGAGGCCCAAGCCTCCAGGAGCCCTCTGGCTGGCCCTCAGGGGCTGTGGTGGCCGCCTGCCGCTGGTGGTGAGGAGCCTGAACTGCGTGCCGGGTCTGGTATTAGACAGACTCATAGTCCACGGGAGCGGACGGGCCGGAGCTGCTGCCTGCACCACCTGACCACAGCCGACTGGCATCCCAGGGGCCTAAGGCCAGGAAGAGAGGGCCTTCCCCAGGGGAGCATGGGGGCACGGCTCTGAGTCTGCACTGTGTACACGTGTGTCCGTGCATGTCTGCGTGAGTGTGTGCGTCTGTGTACACGTGCGTGTCTGTGTCCGTGCATGTCTGCGTGTCTGGGTCCGTGTATGTGTTCATCTGTGTGTGTCCGTGCATGTCTGTGTGTGTGCATCTGTGTACATGTGCGTGTGTGTCCGTGCATGTCTGTGTGTGTGCATCTGTGTACGTGTGCATGTGTGTCCATGCATGTCTGTGTGCATCTGTGTACGTGTGCGTGTGTGTCCGTGCGCATCTGTGTACGTGTGCATGTGTGTGTCCGTGCATGTCTGTGTGTGTGCATCTGTGTACGTGTGCATGTGTGTCCGTGCATGTCTGTGTGCATCTGTGTACGTGTGCGTGTGTGTCCGTGCATGTCTGTGTACGTGTGCGTGTGTCCGTGCGCATCTGTGTACGTGTGCATGTGTGTGTCCGTGCATGTCTGTGTGTGCGCATCTGTGTACGTGTGCGTGTGTCTGTGCATGTCTGTGTGCGTCTGTGTGCATCTGTGTACGTGTGCATGTGTGTGTCTGTGCATGTCCGCGTGAGCACGTCTATGCACGGGTGGGTGTCTGTGTCCGTGCATGTCTGTGTCTGGGTCCATGTACACGTGCATCTGTGTGTGTCCGTGCCTGTCTGCGTGAGTGCGTGTCTGTGCACGCGTGTGTGTCTGCATGCATCCATGTGTCTGTACATGTATGTCTCCATGTGTGGTGTGGAGGACACAGAAGGATGGAGGGAAAGGCACCACTCACAGAGGCGGCGCTGGAGAATTTTCCATTTGTTATTTTGGGTTTGGTGAACATGCACTTTGCGTCATGCAAATCAGGTTTCTAAACATTAACAACCGGAGAGAAATGACATTTTGGGGCCGCCGGTGACTCTTGCGTGCCTCTGCTGCCCCCTGGTGGCAGCCCCGAGTCACTTCCAGCAGGGCCCCCCACCCCAAGGGCCCAGCCTCGGGCAGGAAGGGTACAAAGCCCCCGCCGTGGCTCTGCCACGAGGTCTCCTGGAAATGAGGGGAACAGCACAGCGACGTCCTTGCGTCCTAAATGCATCCCCTGATGGCCGTTTTTCGCCACACAGGCTTGGCAAAATCTCTGCGTCACTGAGCAGCATTTTAACCTCTTGAATGAGATGCCTCCGACCTTTTGGATCCTCTTTCTGCACCTCTCAGGGGACAGGTAAAGCCGCTCCTTCTTGTTGAGGCCGCCCCCAGCCCGCTGAGAGGCCTCAGGGAGGCAGAGACCCAGCCGTGGGCTGCCCACACCTCAGCCCCACCCCAGGGAGGCCTGGGACTCGGGAAACGCCCGGACAGTCCCAAGAAGGTGCCGGACAGACACCGGGTACCCCAAGGGGGGGGGGCCGTCCAGAGACGCCACACACCCCTTCCTGTGACCTGTCTCCAGTACAGGGTCTTTGTGTCTGGTCTGGGCGTCCGGACCCGAAGGTCACTGTTATGGTGGAGCCGAGAGCAGGACAGCTGTCCTCTCCAGCTCCCACTGGCCTGGAGCCAGCCGGCGGTGCCTCTGGCAGTGACCACAGAACTCACTGGCCGTGGCCAAGTGCCCGGTGCATGACCCAGCGTGTTCTCAATCCACGTCCTGACCGGCCATGCACACCCAGCGGTGCCCCTGGAGGCGCACACGGGGAGGGCCCTGCTGGGCGTCCATGGTCTGCAGAGTTGGCCTCACTGGGCTCCTCTGAGGTCGCTGGAGCTGGGCTGTGAGGTGTGTTTCCTTCATGGCTTGCCTGCGACCCTGGCCCACGTCCTGCCAGCAGGTCCCGTCTGTACGGCGCTGCCTACGAGAAACCCAAGTTCATTACTGCAGCCAAAGGAAAGGTGCAGGCGGTGGGAGGTGAGCAGGGCTGCAGGGGAGGGGGAGGGGGAGCAGGGCAGGCGGAGCATGGGCGAGAGTGGGGAGGTGAGCAGGGCTGTGTCGGGAGGGGGAGGTGAGAGGTGGAGGGGAGGGGGAGCGGGGCGAGAGGGGGAGGGGAGCAGGGCGAGAAGGGGAGGGGAGCGGGGACGGGAAGTGGGGAGGGGAGTGGGGGGAGGGGGGAGCAGGGGCAGGAGCAGGGGGAGGGGAGCGGAGGGGACGGGAGCATGGGGAAGGGGGAGCAGGGGCGGGAGGGGAGTGGTTTCGGGAGGGGAGCGGGGGCGGGAGCAGAGCTGATACCCACTGTGCCTCAGGTTCCCTGCACACGGGCCCTTTCCTTCCAGAAGCTGAAGGCCCACCAGGGAGCCGCTGGGGTCCCAGGGGTGTGGCCTCTCCCAGCCCTCCACCCACAGGGATGGAGGGGTCTGTAGAGCCTGTGACATTCTGGAAACAGGTGTAGACGGGGCGTGTGCTTCCCTGGGGCCCAGGAGGCCCATCCGCTGCCTGCGCAATGATGTGGCAGCGTCTCCACAGCATGGGACCAGGGGGACCCCACATGAAGGAAGGGACTTCCATCCATGCAGCCTTTCCTGTGGGACAGCAGCCCTTTTCCCAGTGCTCACCATGCACGGTCCAGCTGCCATCCTCAGCCCTGGGCAGCGACAGAGGGTGTGTCCATGTCCCCACAGGCTCCTGCAAGGTGATGCGTCTGGCCATAAGTCCCACTGCCTTCTCCCACCTGCTGGCCTGTGCCCAGCAGTTCCGGAAGCAGACCCAGGCCCAGGTGTACAGTGAGGACATGGCCCTGAACATAGGCTCGGTGAGGCCCTCCAGGCTCCAAGCCACCCAGCCGGGACCCTCTGCTCCCCACCCCTGGGAGCCAGGACCCTGGCGAGGTGGGGGGAGGGGCGGGGCGCTAGGCCAGGCTGCTGAAGGGCTTGGGCCATCCCAACACCCGGGCACTGCCCAACTCCCAGGCCAAGCTCCATGTGGGGGGAGAACTTGCTCCTTGGGCTCCTTGGCCATGTCTGATCCCTGAAGCACAAACAGGAGGGGCCTGGTCCACTCTGCTCCGCAGAGCTCAGGGTCACCTGGGCCCGGCTGTCCCCACAGGCAGGACCCTCCGTGGTGCGGGCAGAGGAGATGGGTGGGGGCTGGGGTCTCAGGGTGACCCTCCAGAGGATGGGCCAGGTGCTATGGGGCCCTCGTTGCCGAGCCAGGTGCCCTTGTCCACCATGCTGTTTGCAGAAGGGGCAGGAGCTCGGCCTTTCTGCAGGGGCCTGGCCCTCGCGGGGTCTGGGCCATGCGCCCTGTTTGCTACGGGGGCCTCTTTTTTGGATTGCGGTAGGAACCAGAAGGCCTGCAGGTGGAAGAGAAGGAGCGCCCTGTGCAGAGGCTCAGTAGCGTCCTGGGGCCCCTGGAGGAGCTTCTGCAGCCGCTATTCCCCCTGCTCAGCCTCTCCAAGGCCAGGTACTGGGGATGACGTTGAGGCTGGCACCCCACCACGCTCACGCATGGACACGTGTGTCCAGTGCTGTGGCCAACCACGTGTGCTTGCTGTGCCTTCTCGGCCGCCTTTGTTCAGGACTCGGCGCCGCCTGCCTGCTCCCAGGAAGCAATTCTTCTGGTTCTGCCTCCATTCCTGCCTGGAGGAGTACTGCCCACTGCCCACTGCCCACGGTCCCTCCAGCCCCTGGCCCAAGTGTGGGGTGGGAGGGCAAGCACCTCCAAGGGACCGCCCGGGCTGCTTTGATTTGGGGTGGGAAGGAAGGCAGAGGGGACGGACACCTGGCACCGTTTAGCTTGGCTGGTGGATCAGAGATGATCCCAAAATCCTGTGGCTCATCCCGGCCCCACCTCAGTGGGACCATCCCCAGAAGTGAGCGTGGGGATTCGTGGTGCTGCTGCCTTAGAGTGAAACAGGCTGAGCAGGTGTCGCCTATATTCCAAGCGTTTGTTATCTCTGTTTCTTAAACCCGAATATATAACCTGACTTTCAGAGTGCAGACACCTGCGGTTGTTGCCGATTCAGGGAAGTCGAAGGGCAAAGACAAGGAGAGGAAAACGTCCACAGGACAACACAGTGAGTGGGGCGGGCGTGGCCACTCAGCCTGGGGAGCTCATCCCGCCAGAAGAGGTGGGGTTGGGATCCACCCACCCATCCGGGAACGCCAGGGGGGGTCAGGAACCCAGGAGTCCCACAAGCCCTGCTGCTCCTTCCCCTGAGGCCTCCCTGCGCCTGAGGTCCCCGGAAGGTTCTCTGCACAGCCCTGGACCAGCCCTCTGGGTAGGAGGCTCTGTGCCAAGCCTCCTGAGAGCACCACGGAACCCAGCACAGCCACCTTCGCGTGGGTGGATTGTCAGCCCCGCCACACCACACGTGCTTGCTAACAAAAAGAATCGTGTGGAGGGACAGGCGTGATGGGAGGCTGTTCCTCGCCCCGTTCTGGGGCATCTGGAGGAGGAGGTGGCATGGAGTCAAGGCGGGCTGCCAGCCTTTCCCAGCGCCCAGCAGCCAAGTCAGAAGACGGAGCCCTGCGACCCCGTGGGAGGGGTCCCGTCTTCAGGAGCTGATCTCCCTGCACTGCTGTTTCCCAGGCACAGTCCAGCCTGAGGTTGCCGATAAGATAGTCCTGGTCGCAGACAGACATCTCCTGGAGCTGCCACTGGAAGGTCTCTCTGTGTTCGATGAAGGGACAATTTCCTCTGTGTCACGAGAATTTTCTCTTCAAATGCTGTGGAATCGCCTCCATAAAGAAGAGACAGGTAGGAACTGCCCTCAGCCACCTTAATGTGTAATTTTAAAATGGAAATATTTAAATTATTTTTCAGATGAAACAATGTTAGCTCCTATCAAGAAATAATCATCAAATGTTGCAACATTTTTCTAGGCATTTATTCATTCAAAGATATTTGTAGGATATAAATACTCACCAGCCTGGGCAACATGGTGAGAGTGCATCTCTACAAGAAAGTTTAAAATTAGCTGGGCATGGTGGTGTGCACCTGTGGTCCTGGCTACTCAGGAGGCTGGGAGGTGGGAGGATGGTTTGAGCCTGGGAGACTGAGGCTTTGGGGAGCTGAGATGGCGCCACTGCACTCCAGCCTGGGCAACAGAGTGAGACCCTGTCAAAAATAAAATATATATGTATATATATAAACACTCAAAACTATTTATAAAATACCTGCTATGTGCCAGTATCCTGGTGCTAAACACACAGGGAAGACAAACTTAACGCTGTTCTTGCCCCCACAAATACCTGTTTCAAAGGAGGGGACCAGATGTGTAGTAAACAGCCAGCCTCTCCGTTAATCACTCAGACAGTGAAAAGCACGAGGGAGCGCGCGGAAGGCCCTGACCTCGGCTGGGATTCGGGGGTGATGACATTCTGTGACTGAGTGCTGGCTGTGCAGACGTGCCCCGGTTGTGAAGCTTCCCCGAGCGCTACCCTTGCGGTACGTGCAGTTTTCTGCACTTCGGTATCAAATAAAATTAAAAATAAATCGATTGGACTTTTGCTTCCATCTCAGATGAAGTAACAGGGACCAGATTCGTTCTTCCAGCTGAGACAAATAAAAACCAGAGAAAAGCACATGAAATGAGGGTTTTCAAACATTGACGAGCAGTCCGCGCAGGACGGGGGGCCTCGAAGGGGGTTTGGCTGGCGAGCGCCATGGCCCACCCAGGTCTTACTCTCTGGGGAATTTCCAGGCCACAGCATTGGGGGGGGGGGGCAGGAAGAGCCCAGGGGTCTCCGCAAGTTGAGGACAGACAGTTTGGAGTCTGGGAAACTGACAACTACAACGTGCAGGGCGGGACACCTGGAAGGAGAGAGCTGCAAGGAACGGCCACTCCGAGATCTGCAGAGCCCTCAGCAGGAAGACAGCCACCACCTGTGTGCGAGTCCAGGGAAACAGACAGCTCTGAAAATAGTGAAAACACGGATAAATACTTAAAACGCCTTTATTTTCAAAATCTCTTTAAAATATTTTTGAGCAAAAAGCTTAGAGCAAAAGACAATAATAATGGTATGGGGTTTTATAACATAAATGTGAAATGAATGACGACAGCACAAAAGATGAGAGGGAGGGAATGGAAGCAAAGTATTTAAAGTCTCCATCCTCTGGAGAAAGTGGTATAATATTACTTGGAGATAGACTGTGATAAAGTTATAAACTATACATCCTCAAGTAATCAATAAAAACAAAACAAGAAAAACAAACAAAAAACCCCACAGAGTTTATAGCAAATACATAACGAAGAAGATGAAATGGAATCATAAACATACCCTTAATCCAAAAAAACACAGAAAAAAAGGGAACAGAGAACAGATAGGAAAAATAAGAAAAACAAATAGCAAGATAGTATATTTCAACCCAACCATATCTATCATCACATTAAGTGTCTAAACACCCCCAACTAAAAGAAAAATATCATCTGATTAAATGAAAATTCAGCGTTCAAAATATGCTTCCTCCAAGAAACCCACTTTAAATACAAAGAAAATGGTAAGTTAAAAAGAAAGGATGGAAAAACCTTATCTCTTAGTATCCAAAGAAGGTTGGCATGGTGAGATTAAATTAGAAAAAGGTGGAGTTCATCCTGGGAATGTGACCAGGGCTACAGTGGGCCATTCCGTAAAGAGGAGGAGGCTAATTCATGAAGAGGATGTGAAACCTCAGTGTCTGTACATCGATTAACATCCCCGTAAAACACACGAGACAAAACCCATGGAGCCACAGAACAATCAAGACGTACCCGAGGATGGCTGGGGAGGTCAACATCCCTTTCTCAACAGTGATGGAACAAATATGCATCAAATCAGTAACGGACATTGATGTAACATTCCCCCCACGGCAGAAGAATGTACACTTTACACACACACACACACACACACACACAGAACATTTGACAAGATATACCCTAAGTTGAGCCATAAAACAAGCCTCAAAAATATGAAAGGGTCCAAATTACCCACAGTAGGTTCTCTGACCACAGTGGAGTTAAATAAGAACTTAATAACAGAAACCATGCCTGGAAAAACCCAGACACTTGGAAACTAAATATGCTTCTTAAATACCCACGGATAAAAGAAGAAATTAAAAGGAGGGAAATTTAGAAAATATTGTGATGTGAATGAAGACAAAAGCACAATTTATCATTATGTGTGGATGCTGCTGAAGCGCAAGAAGGACTTTATGGAACTAAGCATGTATGTTAGGAAAGAAGAAAAGGCTGCAAAGCAATGGCTGCTATTTCTATCTTCAGAAATTAGAAAAAGAGCAAATTCAACACAAGCATCATCAAGGATGATGAAAATAAGAACAGAAATCTATGACACAGGAAACAGAAACACAAACCAGAAGCAAGTGCTTTGAGAAAAATCAATAAAATTAATACACCTCTAGTCAGGTCAGGCTGATCAGGAAAAAAGAGAGACACAAAATTATCAATATCAAAAATGATAGAGGCAGCATCACTACAGAGTCAAGAGAGGATAAAAAGTAAATAATGAATAATGCTGCACCAATAAATTTAACAACTTAGATGAAATGGACAAGTTCCTCGAAAGACCCAAACTTCCAAACTCGCTCAAGAAGAAAGGGATGACCTGGATATGCCTGTATCTATTAAAGTAATAGAATCTTTAGTTTAAAATCTTCCCACAAAGAAAAAGCCTTGGCTGGGCGCGGTGGCTCACACCTGTAATCCCAGCGCTTTGGGAGGCCAAGTCAGGTAGATCACGAGGTCAGGAGTTTAAGACCAGCCTGGCCAAGATGGTGAAACCCCATCTCTACTAAAAACACAAAAATTAGCTGGGTGTGGTGGCATGTGCCTGTAATCCCAGCTACTCAGGAGGCTAAGACAGGAGAATTGCTTGAACCCGGGAGGTGGAGGTTGCAGTGAGCTGAGATCATGCCACTGTACTCCAGCCTGGGTGACAGAGCGAGACTCCATCTCAAAAAAAAAGAAAAAAGAAAAGAAAAAGAAAAGAAAAAACATCTATACCCAGAGGATTTCTACACACATCCTCCCACAGCAATTAAAAGAGGAGACTCTGCTTCCCAACTGATTTTCTGAGGCTGGCATTATCCGGATACCAAACCCAGAAAAAGACATTAGGAGATTAAAAAAAAAAAATGGACCAATATGCCTCATGGCTATAGATGCTAATAACATTCTTAACAAAATGTTAGGAAATGGAGCAAAACAATATGTTACAAGGATTTATATTATGTCCACGTGGGTTTTAACCCAGAAATACAAGGGTAATTAATTTAATATTTGAAAAATCAGCCAATGTAATTCACCGCATTCATAAGCTAAAAAATAAAGACTATCTGATGATTGCAATAGATGCAGAAAAGCATTTGACAAAACCCAACATCCATTCGGAATACAAACTCTCAGAAAATGAGGAGGGGAAGGCGGCTTCTTCCAGCTGGCAAAGGACATCTGCAGAACACCTGCCCCTGAGCGTCGCAGGTTGGCAGGAGGCTGAGGCCATCCCCTAAGGCCAGCAGCCAGGCAGGGCCGCTCACTGCAGTGTCAGCACCACGCTGGAGATCCCGGCCGGAGTAGAGAGGCAGGAAGAAAAAAGGAAAAGCATCTAGGTGGTCTTTCTCTGCAGGTGGTCTCATCATCTGTGTAGAAAATGTAGTCTAATCTACAGAAAAAGCTACTCTGACTAGTGAGTGATTTTGGCAAGGTTGAAGGATATAAAAGTCAAGGTACAAAAACCAATTGCATTTCTATATAACTAACTATCAGAAATTAAAACTTAAAACACTACCATTGACAATAGCTTCCAAGCCAGGAAATAATTAGGGATAAGTTTGACAAAAGGTGCAAGACTTTATACGCTCATACTATAAAACATTGCCGAGAGAGATTAAAGAACTCAACAAATGGAGAGAAACATCATGCTCTTAGATGAGAAGGCCCAATATTGCCAAGGTGTCACCTTGCCCCAAGGTGATCTATAGATTCCACACAATTCTAGTCAAAATCTCCACAGGATGTTTTTTTTTTTTTTTTTGTAGAAGTTAACAAGCTTATTCTAAAAGTTATATAAAAATGTAAGGGACCCCTATAATAGCCAAAACAGGAGGGCACACGCCACCTGATGTCAGGACCCCGTCACATGGGTGCAGTATTGATACAGTGGAGCGCAGGCGTGACGGTAGCCGTGTAGACCCAGGGGATGGGGCGGGGAACCAGAAGCACGCCACAGGTGCACAGCCGGGTGGTGGCTGGCAAAGGGACGAGGACGCTGAGCGGAGGAAGGGCATCTCCATGAGTGGCTGCAGTCCCTGGACGTCCAAGTGCAGAACGAAACACAACAAAAACGAGGCCGCACGCCACGCAGGAAAATCAGCTCGAAATGGATCCGAGACCAAAGACCCTCACATTTCTAGCAGAAAGCACTGAAGAAAATCTTTATGACCGTCAGCAAATTTAAGAATTTCCACTCTTTGAAAGATATTGTTAAGAAAATGAAAAGTTACGCCAAGACTGGAAGAATCTGATAACAGTAACAAATTTAGACTATATAAAGAACTCTCAAAACTGAATAATAAGAAAGAAACAACCCTAAAAAAGATTTGAACAGATACTTCACGAGAAAAGATTTAGATAGCAAACAAAGTACGATGGAAGGATGCCCGACATCATTAATTATCAAGGAAATGCAAATGGAAACCACAATGGAATACCCCTGCACACCTGTTAGAATGGGTGAAACTCACACAGTCGACCAGAGCGCGTGTTGGGAGGGTGTGGAACCGGAACCCTCATACTCGGCTGGTGGGAATGGTGAATGCTGGAGCCACTTTGGAAGACAGTTTGGCAGTTTCTTAAGAAGTTAAAGCAGGCCTGTTGTATGCCGCAGTCATTCCACTCCATCTACCAAAGAGATAAGGAGACACGCGTCCCGCAGAAACTCATACACATGTTTACAGCAGCGTTATCTGCAATGACCTAAACCGGGAAACCACAGAAAGATCCATCACCCACAGGACGGACACCTGGACACCCAGTGGGCGATGAGCACATTGGGGTGCGGCCACGTGGTGGGGTCCTGCCCGGCAATGAGGGGCGAGCTGTTGGTGCGTGGGACAGCGTAGACGGGGCTCAGAAGGATTACGCTGAGGGGTGACGGGGCTCACTCAGAAGGATTACGCCGAGGGGTGACGGGGCTCACTCAGAAGGATTACGCTGAGGGAAAGAGGCTGGATCAAGGGAGTGCACAGGGATGGTTTCATTTTTACAAAAGCCTGGGAAATACAAACCAATGTACAAGTCAGAAGGCAGGTAAGTTGCTTCCTGGGGGTGGGGGCTGGGGCTGCAGGAGAAGTTGGGGGAGGGTCGTGGGTGCAGGAGGGAGGGTTGCAGGCATTTTGGGGAAGCTCCTGGGGCTGGGTGTGCCGTGACCTTCGCTGTGGCGATGACTTGCTGGCGTGCAGCGTCCAGTCCCGTCACGTTGCTCACTTTAAATGCAGGCAGCTCCCTGTGGTCAGTTGAACCTGAACAATGCTCAAATTGGACTCTGTACTCTGGCACTCCGAGCCTTCCTGTGACCCCAAGGCCTCGTGGAGTCTCCTGCTTGTGAGTGGAAATTTTTTACATGAAATACAGAAAGAGCAAATTTGCATCGGTGTCACGGAAGTTTGCAGAAGGGCACATGTGCGAAGTGGATCCTTGAAGGAGGAGGTCCAAGGACAGAGGGCCCTGCAGGCACCGTGTCCCAGGGAGGCTCCTCCAGGCCCAGGAGCTCCCACAGCAGTCGGCGTGGCAGCTTATAGCTGTTCTCCGTCTGATTCTGGCCCACTGGGTGCCCCGTCCATCACAGGCCACGGTCAGCCCCTTCTCGGAACTGTGGCTGGTCCCTCCGGCCGCCCTCCTGCCTTCCCCTGACGAGCACCGTGTGGGGTTGTGTCTGCCCTGCATGGCAGGAGGGTGGCTCAGTGGCCCAGGACTGGGTGGGGCTCAGGCTGTGGAGAGGGTGGGAGTGCCGGGTGGAGAGGCAGGGAGCCCGGAGCTGGAGTCGGTTGGCACAGACACGAGGCTCATGGAGGTGTCGGAAACCGTTTTTGATAGTGAAGTGCACCATGGCTCTAGAAAAATGCCCAAATGGAGAATCAGGCAGGAGGCAGCACCTGCACCCACCCGAGAGCCACTCCTGCTTCCCCAGCCCAGCTCGCCGCCCACAGCGCCCACCCTCCTGACTGTACTGCAAAGCCAGGGCCTTTTATCACCTCACCTCCAAGATCAGCACCCCAAAATCCTGCAGCCTGGGGTGCCTGTTATTAAACTCGTGCAAATGGCATCTGAGGGCACATGCTGCATCCAGCTCCTGCCTGGCTCTGTGGCTCCAGCTTCTGCCTGGCTCCGTGGCTGGTCTCTGTGGCTCCGGCTCCTGCCTGGCTCCGTGGCTGGTCTCCGTGGCTCCGGCTCCTCCCTGGCTCCGTGGCTGGTCTCTGTGGCTCCGGCTCCTGCCTGGCTCCGTGGCTGGTCTCCGTGGCTCCGGCTCCTCCCTGGCTCCGTGGCTGGTCTCTGTGGCTCCGGCTCCTGCCTGGCTCCGTGGCTGGTCTCCGTGGCTCCGGTTCCTGCCTGGCTCCGTGGCTCCGGCTCCTGCCTGGCTCTGTGGCAGGTCTCTGTGGCTCCGGCTCCTGCCTGGCTCCGTGGCTGGTCTCTGTGGCTCTGGCTCCTGCCTGGCTCCATGGCTGGTCTCTGTGGCTCTGGCTCCTGCCTGGCTCCGTGGCTGGTCTCTGTGGCTCCAGTTCCTGCCTGGCTCCGTGGCTCCGACTCCTGCCTGGCTCTGTGGTGGGTCTCTGCGGCTCCGGCTCCTGCCTGGCTCCGTGGCTGGTCTCCGTGGCTCCGGCTCCTGCCTGGCTCCGTGGCTGGTCTCCGTGGCTCCGGCTCCTGCCTGGCTCCGTGGCTGGTCTCCGTGGCTCCGGCTCCTGCCTGGCTCCGTGGCTGGTCTCTGTGGCTCCGGCTCCTGCCTGGCTCCGTGGCTGGTCTCTGTGGCTCCGGCTCCTGCCTGGCTCCGTGGCTGGTCTCTGTGGCTACGGCTCCTGCCTGGCTCCATGGCTCCGGCTCCTGCCTGGCTCCGTGGCTGGTCTCTGTGGCTCTGGTTCCTGCCTGGCTCCGTGGCTGGTCTCTGTGGCCGGCCGTGTTCCACCCACCACAATTTATCTGCCCCACCCCCCGTTACCAGACACCCTGTCTGTCTGCATGTCCTGGTGTGCCCGGGAGTCCCAGCCCTTTCGGCTTTTCACCAACCAGCTGTTTGTGAAGAGCCTGTTTTGTCTCTCACCGGTTCTTCTGTGGGGTTATCTGGGTTTTGTTCTTTGAGGTTTGTTGGATTTTCCTGGTATACTTTGGATATAATTTTTATTGTTTATATGAATGACAAATGTCTTCTCTGTACCAGTTCTTTTCACTCTCTTAAATGGGTCTTTTGATGAACAAAATATTTTAATGTTATTATAGTCTAATTTATCAATCTTTTTCTTAATAGCTGGTGCTTTTAGCATGTTTTCTAAGCCACTTTGTTGAGGTGTGACCGGCATGTAAGAAGCTGTACATGCCTAACATAGACCACTCAGTGAGTTTGTGGATGAGTGTGTCCACGAAGACATTATCGTGATCAGGCCATGCACGTGTTCATCGCCTCCCAAAGGCTCCTCCTGCCCCTTTATATTGCGTGTCTGTAGATGGTAAGAAATGCTAACATGAGCTCCACCCTCCCAGTGGGTTCTGAGCCCACAGCGCGGTGGACACACACAGCACACATCAGTGCACACGGCACACATCAGTACACACAGCACACATCAGCACACACACAGCACACATCAGCACTCACACAGCACACATCAGGGCACACACACAGCACACATCAGGGCACACACACAGCACACAGCGCACACAGCACACAGCACACACACAGCACACATCACTGCACACACAGCACACATCACCACACACACAGCACACAGTGCACACATCAGCACACATCAGCACTCACACAGCACACATCAGCGCACACACAGCACACATCAGCGCACACACAGCACACATCACCACACACACAGCACACAGTGCACACATCAGCACACATCAGCACACACAGCACACATCAGCACACATCAGCACTCACACAGCACACATCAGCACACACACAGCACACACAAGCAGCACACACAGCACACATTAGCACTCACACAGCACACATCACTGCACACACAGCACACATCAGCACACACACACATCAGCGCTCACACAGCACACAGCGCACAGACAGCACACATCAGCGCACAGACAGCACACATCAGCACTCACACAACATACAGCACACATCAGCACTCACACAGCACACAGCACACACACAGCACACATCAGTACACACACAGCACACATCAGCGCACACACAGCACACATCAGCACACAGCACACGTCAGCACACAGCACACATCAGCACACATCAGCACACAGCACACATCAGCGCACACAGCACACACAGCACACATCAGCACTCACACAGCACACAGCACACACACAGCACACATCAGCGCACACACAGCACACGTCAGCACACAGCACACATCAGCACACATCAGCACACAGCACACAGCGCACACAGCACACACAGCACACATCAGCACACAGCACACATCAGCACACAGCACACATCAGCACTCACACAGCACACAAAACACACATCAGCACACACAGCACACATCAGCACTCACACAGCACACATCAGCGCTCACACAGCACACAGCACACACACAGCACACATCAGTGCACACACAGCACACAGCACACATCAGCACTCAGCACACACAGCACACATCAGCACACAGCACACATCAGCACTCACACAGCACACACAACACACAGCACACACAGCACACATCAGCACTCACACAGCACACATCAGCGCTCACACAGCACACAGCACACACACAGCACACATCAGCACACACACAGCACACATCAGCGCACACAGCACACATCACCGCACACACAGCACACAGTGCACACATCAGCACACATCAGCACACACAGCACACATCAGCACACATCAGCACTCACACAGCACACAGCACACACACAGCACAAACAAGCAGCACACACAGCACACATTAGCACTCACACAGCACACATCACTGCACACACAGCACACATCAGCACACACACACATCAGCGCTCACACAGCACACAGCGCACAGACAGCGCACATCAGCGCACAGACAGCACACATCAGCACTCACACAACATACAGCACACATCAGCACTCACACAGCACACAGCACACACACAGCACACATCAGTGCACACACAGCACACAGCACACACACAGCACACATCAGCGCACACAGCACACATCAGCACACAGCACACGTCAGCACACAGCACACATCAGCACACATCAGCACACAGCACACATCAGCGCACACAGCACACACAGCACACATCAGCACTCACACAGCACACAGCACACACACAGCACACATCAGCGCACACACAGCACACGTCAGCACACAGCACACATCAGCACACATCAGCACACAGCACACAGCGCACACAGCACACACAGCACACATCAGCACACAGCACACATCAGCACACAGCACACATCAGCACTCACACAGCACACACAACACACATCAGCACACACAGCACACATCAGCACTCACACAGCACACAGCACACACACAGCACACATCAGTGCACACACAGCACACAGCACACATCAGCACTCAGCACACACAGCACACATCAGCACACCGCACACATCAGCACTCACACAGCACACACAACACACAGCACACACAGCACACATCAGCACTCACACAGCACACATCAGCGCTCACACAGCACACAGCACACACACAGCACACATCAGCACACACACAGCACACATCAGCACACAGCGCACAGACAGCACACATCACTCACACAGCACACATCAGCACACAGAGCACACATCAGCACACACACAGCACACATCAGCACATACAAAGCACACATCAGCACACACAGCACACATCAGCACTCACAGCACACAGCACACATCAGCGCACACACAGCACACAGCACACACAGCACACATCAGCACACACACAGCACACATCACTGCACACACAGCACACATCACCACACACACAGCACACAGTGCACACATCAGCACACATCAGCACTCACACAGCACACATCAGCACACATCAGCGCACACACAGCACACATCACCGCACACAGCACACAGTGCACACATCAGCACACATCAGCACACACAGCACACAGCACACATCAGCACACACACAGCACACACAAGTGCACACACAGCACACATCAGCACTCACACAGCACACATCACTGCACACACAGCACACATCAGCACACATCAGCACTCACACAGCACACATCAGCACACACAGCACACACAAGCGCACACACAGCACACATCAGCGCACAGACAGCACACATCAGCACTCACACAACACACAGCACACATCAGCACTCACACAGCACACAGCACACACACAGCACACATCAGCGCACACACAGCACACGTCAGCACACAGCACACGTCAGCACACATCAGCACACAGCACACATCAGCACACACAGCACACACAGCACACATCAGCACTCACACAGCACACATCACTGCACACACAGCACACATCACCACACACACAGCATACAGTGCACACATCAGCACACATCAGCACACACACAGCACACATCACTGCACACACAGCACACATCACCACACACACAGCACACATCACCACACACACAGCACACAGTGCACACATCAGCACACCAGCACTCACACAGCACACACACAGCACACATCAGCGCACACACAGCACACATCACCGCACACAGCACACATCAGCACACACACAGCACACAGTGCACACATCAGCACACATCAGCACACACAGCACACAGCACACATCAGCACACACACAGCACACACAAGTGCACACACAGCACACATCAGCACTCACACAGCACACATCACTGCACACACAGCACACATCAGCACACACAGCACACATCAGCACACATCAGCACTCACACAGCACACATCAGCACACACAGCACACACAAGCGCACACACAGCACACATCAGCGCACACACAGCACACACAAGCGCACACACAGCACACATCAGCGCACACACAGCACACATCAGCACTCACACAACACACATCACTGCACACACAGCACACAGCACACACAGCACACATCAGCGCTCACACAGCACACAGCGCACAGACAGCACACATCAGCACTCACACAACACACAGCACACATCAGCACTCACACAGCACACAGCACACACACAGCACACATCAGCGCACACACAGCACACGTCAGCACACAGCACACGTCAGCACACATCAGCACACAGCACACATCAGCACACACAGCACACACAGCACACATCAGCACTCACACAGCACACAGCACACACACAGCACACATCAGCGCACACACAGCACACAGCACACACACAGCACACATCAGCGCACACACAGCACACGTCAGCACACAGCACACATCAGCACACATCAGCACACAGCACACAGCGCACACAGCACACATCAGCACTCACACAGCACACACAACACACATCAGCACACACAGCACACATCAGCACTCACACAGCACACATCAGCGCTCACACAGCACACAGCACACACACAGCACACATCAGTGCACACACAGCACACAGCACACACAGCACACATCAGCACACAGCACACATCAGCACTCACACAGCACACACAACACACAGCACACACAGCACACATCAGCACTCACACAGCACACATCAGCGCTCACACAGCACACACACAGCACACATCAGCACACACACAGCACACAGCACACATCAGCACTCACACAGCACACACAGCACACATCAGCGCACAGACAGCACACATCAGCACTCACACAGCACACATCAGCACACACACAGCACACATCAGCACACACAAAGCACACATCAGCACACACAGCACACATCAGCACTCACAGCACACAGCACACACAGCACACATCAGCACACACACAGCACACAGCACACACAGCACACATCAGCACACACACAGCACACATCAGCACACACACAGCACACATCAGCACACACAGCACACATCAGCGCACACACAGCACACATCAGCACACACACAGCACACATCAGCACACACACAGCACACATCAGCACACACAGCACACATCAGCGCACACACAGCACACATCAGCACTCAGCACACATCAGCACACACAGCACACATCAGTGCTCACACAGCACGCATCAGCGCACACACAGCACACATCAGCACACACAGCACACATCAGTGCACACACAGCACACATCAGCGCACACACAGCACACATCAGCACACACAGCACACATCAGTGCACACACAGCACACATCAGCACTCACAGCACACATCAGCACTCAGCACACATCAGCACACACAGCACACATCAGTGCTCACACAGCACACATCAGCGCACACACAGCACACATCAGCACACACAGCACACATCAGTGCACACACAGCACACATCAGCACTCACAGCACACATCAGCACTCAGCACACATCAGCACTCACAGCACACATCAGTGCTCACACAGCACACATCAGCGCTGTGTACCCTTTGCCCTGCGGGTCAGCGGAGCTTCCTCATCCTGCACCACCAGGGCTTTGCACCCTGGGCCAGCACCTCTCACTCCCTCCCCCAGCCCCCGTCAGCCACCACTCACTCTGCTTCTGTGAGCTGCACTCTTAGATTCCTCATGTATATGGAATCATGCAGCCTCTGGCCTTCGGTGCCTGGCTTTTTTCACTTTGCGTGATGTCCTCAAGGTTCATCCATGTTGTCGCCAACGGCGACAGGATGTCATCTTGCTAAGGCTGAGACCTGCTCCGTCGTCACCTTTAGATGTCACCTTTTCATCAACCTGTTAGCCATTTTTATGTCTTCTTTAGAGAAATGTCCCTTCAGGTCCTTGGCCCGTTCTTCGATTGGGTTGTTTGGTTTTTTACTATTGTATTATAGGAGTTCCTTATATACTTAGGCTATTGATCCCTTATCAAATATACATTCTACATTCATTTTCTCCCACTCCATAGATCACTTTTGCATTACGTTATTTCCTTAGCCATACAGAAGCTTTTCAGTTTGATGTGATCTCACGTGTTTATTTCTGCTTGTGTTGCTTATGATTTCAATGTTATATCCAAAAAATCATTGCCAAGACCCAGTCAAGGAGCTTTTATCCTGTGTTTTCTTCTAGTAGTTTTATCGTTTCAGGTCTTACATTTAAGCCTGTAATCCATTTTGAGTTGGTTTTTGTAGATGGTGTAAGATAAGGCTCCAAACTCATTGTTTTGTGTGTGGATATTGGGTTACCCCAACACTGTTTATTGACGAGACCGTCATTTCCGCATTGTGTGTTCTTGGCACCTTTGTCAAATATCAATTGACCCTGAACGTGTGGGTTTATTTCTGGATTCTCCATTCTCTTCTATCGGGCCCAGTGTCTGCTTTTATACCAGTACCACATTGTTTTGATTACTATAGCTTTGTTGCATAATTTCAAGTCAGGTAATGTGATGCCACCAGCTTTGTTCTTGCTCAGGATTGCTTTGATTATTCAGGGTCTTTTGTGGCTCCTCATAAATTTTAGGATTGCTTTTCTATTTCTGTCAAAAATGCCATTGGAATTTTGATAGTGCATTGCATCTGTAGGCTTTGGGTAATATGGGCAATTAAAAAGATTAATTCTTCCAATCCATGAACACAGGATATCTTCCCATTTATTTATGTCTCCTTCAACTTGTTTCCTCAGTGTCTTACAGTTTCCAAGGCACAGATCTCTCACTTGATAGTTGAATTTATTCCTAAGTATTTTATTCGTTCTGATGATATTATAAATAGGGTGGTTTTCTTAATTTCTTAATTAGATAGTTCATTGTAATGATGAGTTCATTGTAATGTATAGTACTGATTTTAATGATAGTTCATTGTAATGTATAGAAATACTACTGATTTTTGTATGTTGATTTTGTGTCTTTCAACTTTACTTAATTTATTAGTTCTAACAGTTTTTTGGTAGAGTCTTTGAGGTCTTGTATATATAAGAGCTTGTTATCTGCAAACATAATTTCACATCTTTTTTTCTGATGTGTGTGCCTGTTCTTTCTTTTTTTTCTTTTTTTTTTTTTCTGGAGATGGAGTCTCACTCTGTTGCCCAGGCTAGAGTGCAGTGGCGCAATCTCGGCTCACTGCAACCTTGAGCCTCCCAGGTTCAAGCAATTCTCCTGCCTCAGCCTCTCGAGTAGCTGGGATTACAGGTGCACACCACCATACCCAGCTAATTTTTGTAATTTTAGTAGAGACGGGGTTTGGCTATGTTGGTCAGGCTGGTCTCAAACTCCTGCCCTCAGGTGATCCACCCACCTCGGCCTCCCAAAGTGCTGGGATTACAGGCATGAACCACCGCACCTGGCCTGTTATTTCTCTTTCTTTCCCGACTGCTCTGGTGGGGACTTCCAGCGCTGTTTAAATAGTCAAGAGTGGGCTTCCTTGCCTTGTTTCTGATCTTAGGTGAAAGCTTTGTGCTTTTCACTGTTAGCTGTGGTTTGTCATTAGGTGTGTTCGGGGTTTTTAAAATCTTTCTTCACCTCATGATCATGAAAATATTCTCCGATGACATCCTCTAAATGCATCTTTTTTTGTGTTCCACCTTTCACGTTTCCACCTAACTGCCATCCGAGATGGACTCTGTGGAGTGTGAAGTGGAGTTTAAGGTTTTTTCTACGAGGGGATCCAGCTGTCTGCACATCGCTTATTGAAACATCCTTCCCTTCCCCACTGCCCGGCGCGGCCACCACTGTCATGGCAGGGGCAGAAAAGGAAAGCAGCAGCCCAACTAGACGCTCCAGCAACGGTGTGGTTGGCAGGACACGGGCCGCCCAGGGGTGCCTGTGAGCCTGCGACGTCGCGTGGTCCTGGGGCTTTGCAGATGCGATTCCAGACTTGAGACGATCCTGGGGATCTGGGTGGGCCCAGGTGATGAGAAAGCCCTCACACAAGAGAAGCAGGAGAAGGAGCCTGGGGGCTGCGCTGCCGACGGTGAGGATGGAGGGCGTGGCCAGGAGCCAGGAGAGGATTCTCCCCGGGAGCCTCCAGGCAGAGCGCGGCCGACGCCGTTCACTGTGACCCAGTGACCCCATTCGGACCTCCGACTCCCAGAACCGTCAGACAGGAAGCAGTGCCACATCAAGCCTGCGTTTTGTAGTAATTGGTTAACAGCAGCCACACAAACTAACAGAACCCTCACCACAGAGTCACTGAAAGCCGGGCTGCCGGTGATCTAGAGCCTTGAGTGTCCTCAGCCGCCAACCGCTGAGTCTGGGGCGCCGCCAGGTGTGGCCGCACTGCCGTAAAGCGCTAAGGACACCACCAGAGAGTCGGTGTGCAAACTCCCAACAAATAGAGAAGGAAGAATGAATGAGGAAGACGAAGGGGCCGGTTACCTCAATCAAATCCAACAGCTGGTCATGGAGAAACAGGTAGAAAACCAGGACAAATAAAAATAAAGTAGTAAGATGGTAGAAGTTGGCCCATTTATGTCATATATCAAAAAAAGAAAATTGGCCAACCCTGCCAGTGAGAAGACACAGGAGATAAGAGGTGCCAGCCGCATGCCCTTTGCAGGAAGCACGCCCGTCACAAATGACCCCCACGTGATAAACCAAGAGAAGGGAAAATGAGTAAATATTTAAGAGTAACCCGGAGGGCCGGTGTCTGACTCTCAGAGGAAACAGACTTTAGAGCCAGGCATTATTAGGGACATGGACATCATGAGAATCGAAAGTTCGCCTCCTCAGAGGTATGAAATAGCCTCTAAATACAAAAAGCAATAAAAAGCAAAAACCGCGGGGTGCAGCCGTTGGCCAGCCCCAACGCTGGGAGATTTTACCACGCCTGGATTACTGACGGTCCAGACAAAGAGCAAAAAGAGAGAGATTCAGGGCGACATAATTAACAATCTTGGCTTAATAGAGACATGGAACTCTGTGCCTCAAAAGTGGCGATTTGCAATCTTTTCAAGTATCCTGGGAATAATCACAAAATTGAGAAGCAAATCCCACTGTGCCTCAGACACAGGCAGACGGCCCGCATCTGAGGCCACAGCGTGATGAGGGTAGAAAGCAGTTCCCGAAGGCAGACTTTTTTCCATCCTCGCGCACTTGAAAATTCAACAGCTCACTTCTAAATATCTCATGGGACTCAGAAGACATGAAATGATCATGGAAATGTCAAAAACTAGCGAGATGTTGCTAAACATAACTTAGAAGGTATTGCAGATGTAAATGCCAACGTCAGAATAGGAAAAGCGCCAGGAATTCAGAAGCTCAGCATCTGATTTAAGAAGTCAGAGTTGGCCGGGCACAATTGCTCACGCCTGTAATCCCAGAACTTTGGGAGGCCAAGGTGGGCGGATCACCCAAGGTCAGGAGATCGAGACCATCCTGGCTAACACGGTGAAACCCCATCTCTACTAAAAATACACAAAATTAGCCGGGCGTGGTGGCGGGTACTTGTAATCCCAGCTACTCGGGAGGCTGAGGCAGGAGAATGGTGTGAACCCGGGAGGTGGAGCTTGCAGTGAGCCGAGATCGCGCCACTGCACTCCAGCCTGGGCGACAGAGCGAGACTCCGTCTCAAAAAAAAAAAAAAAAAAAAAGAAGAAGTCAGAGCAAGGAGGCAGAATGATCCCCAGGTGAGCAGAGGAGAACATGCAGAAGACGCCAGGGAAACAGAGATGCCACAGAGAAGAGCAACCGAGAACGCCAGAAACGGAAAGACACAGCGCTAACGACGCACCAGCAGCGACAGGAGAACCCGGAAGTCCCCGAGCAACTTTGAATCAACGTAGCAAAACCCCTGGGCAGCAAGGACAAAATACTAGGAGAAAACACCTTCCGATGCCAGGAAGAAAGCAAACCTGAGTAGTCTCATAACCAATAAAAAAGGACATCGATGGATTTGAGTCTTCCCACAAAAAATATGTTTTTCCATGTTTTCACTGAATTCTGCCAGACTGTCAAGAAACAGATCATGTCAGTGTTAGATAAATCTCCCCAGTAATAGAAAAGTAGACAGCTCCTCCCATCCTTCCCTAGGCCAGCCTACCTCCTCCCAGACTGCCCCAGAACAGCACAAAAAATACATAAAAAGATAAGCTGCCATCACTCAGTTCAGCTTTTCTCTTCCCTTCCTCCCCACTTCCTGACGGTCTCGCTCTGTCACCCAGGCTGGAGTCCAGTGGCACAATCACAGCTCACTGCAGCCTCCACCTCCTGGGCTCAAGCGATCCTCCCTCCTCGGCCTCCCAAAACACTGGGATTACAGGCATAAGCCACGTGCCGGGCCCCAGTTTAACCTTAAAACGTACAGATGTCCTAGAGGAACAGTGCAAGCATTTCAGTCAGCGCAGGGGAAAAGCATTTGATAAAATGCACATATTTACTTCGTGAGCCAGGAACCAAACGCAATGCCCCATCCTGATAAAGAAATCCATCAAAAGCTGGAGACAGCCTCCTTCTTAATGAGGATCCCTCAGAAGCAGCCTCTTTGAAGGCGGTCAGGCAGTGGGCCCCATGCGTGCGTCCATTCCGCTGTCTGCTGGAGGCCCCAGCATAGGCACACAGAAAGGAAAGTCGGGGGCAGAAACAGGAGGGAAGTGGCCATCCTTCCCAGGCACATGACTATCTACTCAGAGCCTGCAAAAGAAAGTGTTCGTGTCGAAAGGGGCAGGTTGTAAATCCCTGTACAGAAGGCCCTGGAACCAGTGAGGGGCCCGGGCATGGCAGGCACACTGGTGAGTACCCAGTGGGGTGGGTGAATGGTCAGCCAGGTGGGCCTTGGAGCCTTTGGAGACTGGTTCTTTCTTAAGGACTTTCCCAACCCTGTGAACCTTTGCATTTCACAAGTTATTGCCACGTCAACTTTACACAAATTAAAACCGCTTGTTCTCACAACTTGTTTTTTTTTTCATTTAAGTGAAATTTGCATAACATGAAATTAACCGACCGTGTGGCCGGAGGGCTGCCTCGAGCTGCTGCCAAACATCCCTGCCTCTTTCTTGTCTTCAACAGAAGGTGGCGTGAAAAAGGAGGGAAGAAGCAGAGACCCCAAAAAGAGAAGCCTAGCGAAGAAGGGCAGGAAGGTGGGTGGGGGCCTGTGATAGGGGATCGGGCTGGTGGGCACAGCGGGAGGTCAGGCTCCTGGCCCCTGCACCTGCTGACCCTGGTCTGTGGTTGCAGGGCAGCATCCCCCGGACCATCCCCCCTGACTGCATCATAGTCGACTCAGACAACTTCAAGTGTATCCTTTGATGGGCCCCGGGGGGGCCCCAGACCCCGCCCTGTGCTCCCGTTTCTCCTTGACCGGGACCCAGTCGTCGTGGACCCATACGAGGAGGCCCAGGGCCCAGGTGGGTGCTGCACAGGGCTCCCTGTTCAGGCACACGCCAGCCTCGGGCCTCCTGCCGTCCTGCAGTTGTGGGCAGCAACTGGTGCCCCACTCCTCGAGGCTCCGAAATCTGCATATGTGCTTGCCCCATTTTGGCTGTAAATATTTTAATTTGTTGAGGTTTTCTCTCTGGCTAGCCTGGTTCTACCATCACCCCACCCGGGCATGGCAGGGCACTGATATATGCGCCTGCATTCGCTGTGACCCCTCCCCAGGGACCCCGGCCCTGCACACCCGTGTCTGATGAAACACCGTGGTCTGTATCCACCCTGTTCTCCTTGCAGAAATGCTAACTCCTGTCTCCATCACCCAAGACATTTTGGAAAGATTCCAAGACACATTCACGTCGCGATGGGCGGGACATCTGGGAAGCAAGCACTTTCCCAGGTTCGGATCTGGGCTCCCAGGAGCCGTTTGCAGTGTGGCAGGTCTGGGGGTCCAGCGGGGAGCCACTGCCCCCTACCCCCGGCTCCCTGGGTCTGCCCTGCCAGTCCTGCCACATACAGCATGCAATGCTGAGACAGACCCAGCTCCTTGAATCCTCACAGAGACTGGGCGAGGGGCACTGTTACCCTGCTTTACAGATGGCGACCTGGGGCCCCCAGGGTCACTGATAGCACATGGTCCAGCAGCAGGGGCTGCCTCTTCACCAGCAGCACTGCAGCCCCTCCAGAGACCACTCGCAGACTCTGCCCCCCAGATGCCCTTGGGGTTCCGTGGTCCAGAGGTGTCCAGAAGCAGCCAGCAGGGAACAGAGCAATCAGGGAGAGAGCACCACGGGTGGGAGGGATCGTTCCACGTCACAGGCTCCACGCCAGGGGCGGGGCTGCAGGGGCAGGTGTGTGCAGGGGCGGGGCTGCAGGGGCAGGTGTGTGCAGGGGCGGGGCTGCAGGGGCAGGTGTGTGCAGGGGCGGGGCTGCAGGGGCAGGTGTGTGCAGGGGCGGGGCTGCAGGGGCAGGTGTGTGCAGGGGCGGGGCTGCAGGGGCAGGTGTGTGCAGGGGCGGGGCTGCAGGGGCAGGTGTGTGCAGGGACAGGTGTGTGCAGGGGCAGGTGTGTGCAGAGGGTGGCACTGCAGGGGCAGGTGTGTGCAGGGACAGGTGTGTGCAGAGGTGGGGCTGCAGGGGCAGGTGTGTGCAGGGACAGGTGTGTGCAGAGGTGGGGCTGCAGGGGCAGGTGTGTGCAGGGGCAGGTGTGTGCAGAGGGTGGCACTGCAGGGGCAGGTGTGTGCAGGGGTGGGGCTGCAGGGGCAGGGCTGGGATCCTGTATGGAAGGAGGGAACCCTGGTCTGGTCACTGTCTCCCATGCCTGGAGTACTGGGGGTGCCTTGACCTCCAGGTGCTGGGCCATTGGGAAAGCCCCTCCTAGCGTTTCCCGCAGCGAGCCCCGCCCGAGTAGGGGTGTTCATTCCAGCGTAGAAGTCCATGCTCACCGTGGGTCCCCTTGACTAGGCTCCGCCGTGACCCCTGTGATCAGAGCACAGAGGAGGGAGGCGTGGGCATTAGGAACATGAAAGAAAGTTCAGTTTAATGCACAAATGGGACAGGCGTGGACCACGCAGGATGTGGCCTGCTTTAAGAACGCACGGTGGGGTCTGGTACAGGTGCATGGGCACTGTTGACCAGCGCTCTCCTCTCTCTGCAGCCAGGCCCAGTGGGAGCAGGCCCTGGGCAGCTGCAGCGGTTTCTTCTTCTATGGAATGGAGAGCTTCCTGTCCCATATATTAGTGGAGAGATTGGTCGCCATGAACTTGCAAGGTGAGAGGTGTCCTCTCAGCACCCCCTCCCCCGCGGGCACAGGACAAACCCGCCTGAGGGCAGAGCAGGGCCACTGTCACCTGCTGGTGCTGCCCCCACCCCCTGTGGCCGCAGCCCCCTCCTGCCCCCCACCCTCTGTGACTGCAGGCCCCTCCTGTCTGCAGGTGGACGACCTCTACCCACCCCTGCACCCCCTGCCTGGCCCACACAGACGTGGCAGCCACAGGGGCTTCTGGCCCTCCCGCCCTTCATTTCCGAGTGCCCCCACTCCACCCAGCCCAGCTTTTCAGACCTGGCAGGAGTCAGTGCTGGGCCCAGGAGCCCAGGAAGGCTGGGGTGGGCTCAGGACCGCGCTGGTCACGGCCCCTCCCTCAGGGCCTCTAGTTTAATCGTGGGCACTCGGGACCTCGCCTTCCCCTTCGCCATCCACCAGCCGTGGAGGGGCTGCCAGGTGTGGTCCTGCCATGCTTGGCACAGTGACACCCCAGCCAGCTCCAGCACAGGGGGGGCTTTTGGCAGGAGGTGGGGATGGCAGGGCAGGCTGGGGGCGTGGCGTGAGCACAGCACACACGTAGGGGTACGTCACCCTGTCACACGCCACGGCCCAAGGGTAGTGCTGACGGAGACAGCAGGCGCAGCCACTCGGACACCGCAGGGCGAGTGGTCAGGAGGCAGGCGTGGCTCAGCCTTGTGCCGAGGCCACCCCTCTGACTCAACGTCCTGTGGCTGCAGCCCCACCAGGACGCCCCCTGTGCAGGGCCAGCCCACTTGCCGTGACCTTCTCTGATGGGGCTGCTGATGGCCCCACTGTGTGGGGTTGACAGGAGTCTTTTAGGGACTCGGGAGTTGCTGTGCCCCCCATGAGGGGTGTGGGCCCTGTTGATGGAGCGGAGCAGGTGTGTGGACACTTGTCCTGTGGCACCTGGCACCCAGGGCCTGCACTTGGGTGGGGCCAAGCAGGACCCCCACTCTGCTCTGCAAGCCTGGGCCTTGGCCATCAGAGGTGCTGGAAGCCCATCCCAGGTGGAGTTAGAAATGGGCCTCTTTGAAAGTTGAATTCCAACTGAGGCAGTGAGTAAAGTAGAAGAGGCCTCGCCAGGGCTCCCCCAACTCCCCAGCAGCCTCGGCCTCACGCAGCTGGACAGCCTGTCTGCGGGAACGGCCAGGCTGCGAGTGGAAGTGGGCAGCGCCCAGGGTTGCCCTGGCCCCCGATCCCTGCTTCCGTGGAGGGCCCAGGCCAGGGTGACCAGCTCATGCCCAGTGCCCGGGGCTCCCCTGCATCCCAGGAGCCTGCCATGTCTCCACTACACAGGGACATGTGGCCCCCTCACATCAGCCCCCAGTCAGTGCTGCCCCCCAGCAGCCTGTCCCTCCGTCCTTGGGGAGGGCTCCACCTCGTACACCTCATTCATGTGGGGTGCCAGGGTGTCCAGGCATGGTGGGGGTGCCGAGATGCCCTCCAGGGCAGAGGAGGCTGGGGGAGCCCAGGTGGGCTTCCCACCACTTCCTGTTGCCCGGCACAGTCGCCGGGAGGAGGCTGTGAAGGGGTCTGGGCTCCTGAGGCTGGCGAGGTCCACTGTGGCCAGGGGGTCCCTGGAAAAAACCTGACGGTCATGAGGTCGGAGCCCGGAGCTGAGTGGCCAGCGTGCCATGCCCTGCTGCGCCCTTGGGGCACAGGCCCCACCTGCCCACACCCCATCCCCACTCCCCATGTCAGGCCAAGGCTGCTGAGCTGCCCTTCCCGTCCCGGCAGAGTGCCAGGTGGCAGTCCTGCTGGACCTGGCGCGGTCCTACCAGAGCTTGAAGAGGCACATGGAGAGCGTGGAGCACAGGAGGTGCCTGGCTGCCTGGAACGGGTGGGCAGGGATGCTGAGGATGGAGAGGTCAGACAGACGGGCGTGGGACCCACAAGGGAGGAGGGACCTGGGGTCGGGTTTCAAGAACGGTGAGAGCTGTCAGGGTGCACATGCGTTCCAGCAGTTGGCGAGGTGTGGCTGTGCATGGGGAGGGGGGCGGCTCAGCCGGGCCCCTGGCACCAGCCCACGGGAGCCGGGTCCCCACAGCGCCTCACAGCTGTCCCTGGAGGAGCCCGTTGAGGCGGCCATCCTGCTGAGCCTGGTGGGCGTCAAGAGCATCCTGGCAAACCAGTGGCCGACGCTGCTGCAGGACAACGCGCTGCGGGCCAGCGTCTTATGGGAAAGTGCGTGGGCCCCTGGCATCCCGGGCCTGTCCCGCAACCCTTCAGCAAGGCTGCCAGGGTGTCCATGCCCTCCTGAGGGGACGTTTCTCCCCTAGATCTGTTGGCCGTTGGGAAGCCAATTGGAGAAACAGTGCGTCTCCTTCAGAAGATGAGTGGCGACGAGGCGGTGAACCAAGGTAAGGGAGGGGCGGCCTGCACCCCGCGGCCTTCAGCACCCTCTGCAGCCACTGCCCATGGGGCACGTGCACTGCACAGCCCTGCAGGGACAGGTGTCTCCGCTTCTCCGTGGGGGACCTGGGACTCCAGACGTTAACTAGGAGCCGGAAAGAGGGAGGGCTTGTTCTTGCCTGGAAGTTGCCTGCGTCTCTGTACCACCCCAGCCCCCCACCGTGGCGCGACCCTCGGCAGTGACGGCCCACAGTGCCACGTGGCTCCAGAACCCAGAGGGAAAGCATCACGGTTCCTCGTTGACAGCTCCAGTCACACAATCCCCACGAGCCCAGGGGCTGTCTGGGAACCAGTGGGAAATCCAGGTGGCAGCTGTGCCTGGCCCCCTCCCCAAGCAAGGACTCCTAGGGGGCCGACAGCTTGCACCACAGTGCCCGACGGCCCCTTGATATGACCAGGAGTCCCAGCCCAGGAAGAGGCCTCCCGGAAGAGGAATGCATGGGTTGAGGGGTGTCTCCCATTGGCGTCCTGGAGAGCAGCCTGCCTGTCACATGGCATCCAGCGCCCGTCCCTCTCTTGGCCTCACAGGGGAAAAGTCGGGAAGGGGCACGGGACATGGTCTGTTCTCAAACACGGACAGACGGAACCCCACCCAGCCGTCCTTCAGAGTCAGCAAAACCCTCCTGCCACGGTGAGGCGGGAGGAGCCAGAAAGGAGCTTCCCGGGACCCCGGGGAGGAGCCACAGAGGAGCTTCCCGGGACCCTGAGTTGAGGCGCTCAGCGGTGCACGGAGGGGGTGGTCTGCCCTGACTAAGAAGGCTTCCCCCAGAGGCCTTCAGTATCCACCGCTCACCAGGAGCTTATCGTGTAAAGAGCACGTGGTCCACGGTCCGGGGATACCGGTCCCAAGGATCCCTGCTTGTTGGGGGAGAGAGGGAGCGAGGGGCAGGAGGAAGGCAGACGGAACCCACACTCATCCCTGCAAATGCAGAGCAGGGCACAGACACGGATGCCGCCGTGATGTGGCCAGTGTGGGGCCCACACGATGCCCTGCTGGGGAATCGGGGAAGGGCAGAGCCAGGCTGGCTGTCCCGCTGCTGCTGCTCAGCGATGACCTGCAAGTTCTGGTCCCTGCAATGGAGGCATGAGCCCAGTGACTGTCACTGTTCAAAAGGGGCAGAGGCTGCTGCTTCCTGCAAGGCCGCAGCCACACTCTAGACGGGCGCCCCCCCAGCAGAGCAGCTCGCCTGGCCAAGGGGTAGAGGGGGATGGTGGGCTTCGGATCGGGGGTCCAGTCCTGGTGCCGTCACCCGGCTGCGCGGGCCTGGACACCTCGGTGCGGGAGGGGTGCGGGTGGTGGGGGCGCCCTGGAGGCCTGGCGAATGGCAGTGTGTTCCCCAGAGCGCCCTCAGTTGGAGCAGCTGCCACTTCCCGCCCCTGTGCCCTGGTCCTCACCGGGCTGGACGTCCTGCGGGGCCTCGGGGTTCATAGCTCCCGCCCCTTTCTCCACAGACGAGGCTTCTCAGACCTTGAAGGACAAGCTGCTGCTGCTCCAAAGCTCCGAGCTCCTTCCCACCACGCTCAACTTGGTCCTGTATGGGCTGCCGCACCAAGCCATCGGGTAGTGCAGGCCTGGACCTGCCTCCCATCAGCTGCTGGGGCCCCAGCACTTGCCTCTGCCCTTGGCTCTGCCCCTCTGCCAACCCATCCCCACCTCCCGGCTCCCATCCCCAGCTCCCAGCTCGCTCTCCCCTTCCTGGGCCTCTCCCCAGCCCTTGGTGCAGCCTCAGCCAGGGACCCTCCCCCAGCGACTTCCCGCAAGGCAGCCGCCTGGACCTCGAGCTCTGCCTGCCTGTGTGCGCCATGGGGTCTGCGTCGGGGCTGGAGCTGCGTCTCTTCCCGGGGCCAGGACAAGGGCGGCCTCCCCTTGGCGGCGCTGGTGCTGAGTTGCTTAGACCAGAAGACTATTCAGACCGTGAGCCTGTTTTTGATTTGAGTGTTCCACTAAACAAACAACAAAAGCCAGTCTCTGTGAGTGGTTTCCGTGACTCGAGGCTCTGGGTGGGGGGCTCCTGGCCCGCAAGAAATGCGCCCCCTGAACCCAGCAGCTTTCCAGAGTGGGGATGGGGGTGGGGCTCACACTGGCACAGGCCACGTACCCTGCACACGTGCAGGGCCCCTCAGAAGGAACCTTCCAGAATAAGGAGAATCATGGGTGGTGGAGTCTGTGCCGGCAAGCACCACGTGGAGCTTCTCGTGAAGTGATGCTTTTCTTCCTTGAACACTCCTGGTGGGCTGCTGCATCCAGCGGCTCCTTGGGGAAGAGACGTGCCTTCCAGATGGCCTTTCTGACCTTCTGGATATGTCTCTCCCAACTCGGCCGGATGAGTGGGGGCTGGGGGGGGGGTCAAAGGGCGTATTGGTCCATGGGAGGACCACGGGAGGACCATGGGGCCTGCAGAGCCTTCTGGGGACGCACCCTCCAGCCATACACACGGGCTCTGGCCAGGAACAGGGGAAGTCCCAGGACGGCCCCAAAGGGCCAGAGCGTGAGCCTCGCGTGTTCCCGCCAGCGCTCCTGCCCGCCCTCTGCGTGGGGCCGCGTGGGGCTGTTTCTTCAGCCTGGGACTCGCCATGGGAAGGCCGGAGGGCAGCCCCTCCCGCGTGGCCTACAGAAGCTCAGTGCGGGAGCCACGTGAGGTCAAGGCTGCCTGTGCAACCTCAGAATCCCCTCCGTGAGGGAGGGAAGGGTCTGCCGAAGGCGTTCCCGCCACGCTGCACCCATGGAGCCCACTCGCCCGGCTCGGCACCCACCCAACTCCTGCCGGGCACTGACGCCAGGCCGACGAGAGCCCAGACAGCTGGGTCAGGACAGGTGGCCCCAAAATTGTCCAAAATAGGTCTATGGGCCAGGCGCGGTGGCTCACGCCTGTAATCCCAGCACTTTGGGAGGCTGAGGCGGGCGGATCACAAGGTCAATAGATCAAGACCATCCTGGTCAACATGGTGATGCCCCGTCTCTACTAAAAATACAAAAATTAGCCGCACACAGTGGCACGCACCTGTCGTCCCAGCTACTCGGGAGGCTGAGACAGGAGAATCACTTGAACCCGGGAGGCGGCGGCTGCACTGAGCTGAGATGGCACCACTGCACTCCAGCCTGGGCGACAGAGCGAGACTCTGTCTCAAAAATAAAAAAAGGTCTACGTACCTAGTCCCATAGCTGGAATTTTAAAAAGAATAAAGATAACATCAAATGCTGGTGAGGACACCAGGAAACGGCCTCTCACACGTTGTGGTGCAGCCTCTTTGGAAAACAGTTGACCTGATTCTTACAAAGCCACAACCCAGCAATTGCACTTTTAGGCGTTTAGCCCAGAGGGCGGGAAATGCACCTTCACACAAACGCACACACGAGTGTTTACAGCAACCCTGTGTCCGTCCACAAGCAAATGGTCAAACTCCGCTCTGTCCACTTGGGGTTAATGCTGCCAAGCAACAGAAGCAGAGAACGGTGGCTCCGGCCCGGACAGACCTCCAGGAGTTGGGCTGAGGACAAAGCCAGCATCAGAAGCTTCACACACCGCAGGGTGCGGCTTGCAGAGCATCTCAAGGCGGCAGAGCTCCAGCACTGCACAGTTAGCGTGCCTGGCACGGGGGCCCGCTGCTGACACACCAGTTGTGTGTCTCGACGGTGGCTGCAACGCCAATCCCTACCTGAGAAAGGAACCACGGCACCCGCAGTTCACCGAGAGCTTGAACCAGTCTCATTTCCCAGCTTTGCCATTGGCTGCAGCTGTGCGGTCACCGCTGGGGAAGGCCGGGGAGCGGACCCGCTGCGCCGTGTACTGTTTTTGCAACTTCCTGTGAATCTATAATTAATTTGACATAAAAATTTCAAATGCACATCTTTGATAATATTGAAAGGTTATGTGTGATTCCCCTCTTTTGTTTGATTTTTCTTTTTTCAAATATATACACATGCTTATTTCAGTTTAGGAAAAAAAAAAAGCTAACTAATGACCAGGAAATAAATTCAAATCAGAGCTGCGCTGGAAATATGGGCTTCCTTCTATGGAGCCGCTGGCGCTCACCCAAACAACAAGAATAAAAGCTTCTGGAAATATTTCATCCACACAGCACCACATTTTTTACCCTACGCTGTGTCCACACATGTGAGAAATATTAAACGGTGAGTGCCGTTCCATGCATCACAGGCTTTAAAATAACTTTCTGAATTATGTCCCGGCAACATAACAAATCACATTATCAATTAGCTTCCATAACAGAAGTGGCATTCTGTAATATATTCAAGCATAAAAAAATTGCATAGGTGAAATTTATGTAACCCTAAAAACTATAAGGCAAGAGCAGATGCCTTGGAATTTATTGGAGATAATGGGGGACAGAGGGTGGTCTCGCGGTGCTTGGCCCTCAGCCTGCAAGTCCCGAGCGCAGAAACCATGCAGGTCGGTGGGGGACGGGACTTCCAGGAGACGCTCCCCCGGCCAGCGGGTCCCCAGCCCGGGCCTCTCGGATGTCAGAGGGCCCCTGGGACCAGGGGAGGCAGGGACGCTCCTGCACTGCTGTCCCCGCTTGGGTAGTGACAGGGTCAGCCCAAGCCCCAGGCCACACACTCAGCAGCCCCGTCTTCTCCCCAGAAAGCAGCTGGAAACCTGGCCTGGGCCTTCGGGGGAGCATGAGGTGAGGCTTGCTGTGCCCCGGCTGGGGGCTGCCCCCCAGCTTCCTGACTGCGTGCTGGGGGAGGTGACTTCCCTCCAGCCCCGGCGCTTCCCTCCCACGAGGCCTCGTCCTGCTCGGGTCCCAGGTGGTGGAGGGGCACCCCCAACAAGCTGTCCAATCTGGTGCCCTCAGTTCTTCCACCATCTAAAAATGTCCATTTATTAGTTTACAGATTGAAAATTTTTACACATTTAGAATGAGGGTTTTTCACCCAAAGCCACACCAGACAGCAATGTTTAGGGATCCTTTCTGGCTCCCATCAGCCTCCGTTCCTGCATGGCGAAGCTCGTGCTGTGTCTCCAGTAACTTTCCCAGCTTCCCCATTTGGAGGTGGTCACGTCCAAGTCCCGTTTAAAGCTCCCCTTACCCTGCGACAGGCACCTGGCAAGGACCCTCTAAAGAGTGTGAGTTCCCGGCAGCCCGGGCTCTGGAACGCAGCCTCAGCCCCTCACTGCACCGGTGGAGGTGGCCTCTCTGGACAGGGTGGGGCGACAGGGCCCCATCAGGTCTGGGCCACAGCAGAGTGGGCTGGGGGGGCCTGGGCACAGCCAATGCCCCCCGTCCCATACTCACTGGGGTCACACACATGTGGCCTGGAAGGTAGGTCCCCAAAGTTCCCACCCAAAAGGCTGTGGGAAGGTCAAAGGGCGTGGCCAGCACCCTGCAGTCGTCCCTCTTGTAATCCCCAGGTGCACCTCGCAGCCCCTGTAGGCCCCTACCCCGCCCCCGCCTCTCCCTTCTTTGGCAGCTCAGCCCCTCCCCTGCAGCCTGAGGGCCCGGCCTGGGTACCCTCGGGATGTCCCTTGAGCCACGCCCTGGCCGTCCTCTCTGGAAACACAGGGGCTCTGGGCCGCCACTCACAGGCACAGCCAAGAGGCCTTTCAGACGGATTTGGATGAAGGAATTAGGCGGGTTAATAAAACTAAAATGTTCACAGACGCTTGTATATAAATTTCTAGTAAGTTGCCTCATCCAACACTGGTCTCTCTAATAGTTTAATTTCTGTGTTAAATAATTAAAACTCTATCTCCAATTGCTGTGAACAATTGTTTTCCTTAATGATCTTCCCAGAGGAGCCAGTAATTTTATATCTTGTAAAAATGATTAAATGGCATCATTATCCCATATCTCTGAAATATAACTCAGCAACTTCAGGAGAGGCCATTCGTATTCAATTAATGCCCCCTTGCGCGAGACGTGGGTGTCACCTCACGCCAGCCTCACCCGGCTGTCCTCGTTTTATGATGACAATGATGAAGATGGAAACAACCAGTTTAATTATCCCATTTCCAACACAGAAATCAATTTCCAATACGTCTTCACCCGTAAGAAAAAAAGGCAGCCGTGGTTCCTGGGAAGGGCAAGTGGAGCGAGAGCCCTGTGAGGGGACAGGGCCGAGGGGACAGGGCCGAGGGGACAGGGCCGTGGGGACAGGGCCGAGGGGACAGGGACGTGGGGACAGGGACGTGGGGACAGGGCCGAGGGGACAGGGCCGTGGGGACAGGGCCGAGGGGACAGGGACGTGGGGACAGGGCCGAGGGGATGGGGCCGAGGGGACGGGGCCATGGGGACGGGGCCGAGGGGACCCGGCCAAGGGGGTGGACCTGAGGCCCTGGGGCCGCTCAGTTGCCCATCCCCCTCCCGGCTCCTTTCCCAAGCACAGGGCTGGGCCCTGGGAGCTCCCTGCCCCTCCTTGCTGAGCTCAGGGCTCTGCACCCTCCGAGGGGCCTGGATCCCCCACCTCTGTCCTGTTCCCAGGGGTTACCCTCCCCTGCCCCTCTCCCACACCTCCCTCTGGCCCCACAGTCTCTCCAGCTGGGCTCCAAGGGGCTGGGACGTGGGTTCCTGGGATGACCCCGCATGCTGGGCCGACACGCTGACCCCCATCGGCCCGTCCTGCTGTCCTGGAGTGGCTTTAGCATGGCGCGGAGCAGCTCCCGCTGTTAGGGTGACTCGAGGGACACGCCTGGCTACTCATCACCGTGCTAGTGGCCAAGATAATCTAATTGTTTGACATTTTTATCACAATTCATTGGGACCGGAGCGAGATGGCTAGATTGACACCCCGTGCAGTCGGCTAATGGCCACACAATTATGAAGAGCTCTTAAATGTTCTTATTACGGATTTTAATTCTTTGTGACAAGAGGCAAGAGATGCGTTAAGATAATGGGGACGCAGCTGAGCTCCGCCTGCTGCAGACCTGCCTGTCTTTCTGGCCCTGCCCTGAGTCCAGCCTGGCTAGGGTTGGGGTGCTGGAGGGACTTGGGGTGCTCAACAGCCTGGGCAGAGACCAGGGGGGGTCCCTATAACCCCTGACCCCAGGAGACCTCGTCTTTGGAAGGAGGCTCTTGAGGCCTAGAACCAACCCCTGTGGAGCTGCAGCTGGAGCCCCCGCGGAGCCTGCACCCCACAACCCTCAGGACAGAAGGCTGGACTCAGGGCTGTCCTGGGGGCCTTTCAAGGGGCTTGAGAAGGGTTTTTTCTGGGAATCCCAGCCCCAGAATGTCTTGCCACCTTTGAGGAGCTTGGAGACCTCGGCCCCTAAATACCGGCTGACCCACGACGGGGTGAGGCAGCTCCTAAATACCCACGATGGGGTGAGGCAGCTCCTAAATACCGGCTGACCTACAATGGGGTGAGGCAGCCCCCCCCCCCACCAATATCAGGCCCTAGGAGAGGAAGAGCCCCGGGGCTTGAGACCACAGGACTCACTCAGAAGGGAGGGCAGCGGTCCCATCACAAGTAGCTTTGCTCTTTGGGCTGTAGGGGTCGCTCCCCTCCCTTCTCCGCATCGCTGAGCCCCAGCCCTGCAGGGACAGGGCCTGAGACTTCCCAGAACCCTGTGCCTCTCTCCCTGGGCCCCGTTCTTGCTGACTGAAGAAATGGGAGGGAGTCAGAGAACCAGGGTCCCTTAGTAACAGACCCCCAATTCCTGGCCGGGTGTGCGGCCAGCCTCCCAGTGTCCCTTAGAAATCTCACACCTGTAATCCCAGCACTTTGGGAGGCCGAGGTGGGCAGATCACGAGGTCAAGAGATCGAGACCATCCTGGCCAACATGGTGAAACCTGGCCTCTACTAAAAATACAAAAATCAGCTGGGCATGGTGGCATGCACATGTAGTCCCAGCTACTGCAGAAGCTGAGGCAGGAGACTCGCTGGAACCTGGGAGGTGGAGGTTGCAGTGAGCCTAGATCTTGCCACTGCATTCCAGCCTGGCAACAGAGGGAGACTCCGTCTCAAAAAAAAAAAAAAAAAGGAAAAGAAATAGACCCCCCATTCCTGGCCAGGTGCACAGCCAGCCTCCCTTGCAACACGTGTGGCCATTTGACTAAGTTCTGGTTCAAGACACCTCCATAAAAGGAAAGGCTTGCTCTTTTTCCTTCCTGTCTGCAGGATGGGATGGAATTTGATGGCTGGAGCTTGGCAGCCATAATGTGCTATGAGGTGAAATCTACATGTTGAGGATGGCACAGCCACAGTTGCGAGGAGCCTGGGTCCTCAGTGCTCTTGGGGTCAGAAGCTTCCTGTCCTGACTAGCTCGCCTTGGACTCCATAAACATGAGCGAGCAACAGCATTGCCCCTGGTTTAGTTCTCACCAGAGAACCTGATCCCGTGGACGCGGTGGGACCATAGGACCATATGGACCACGCATGGGGGCAGGGGTCCCAGAGTCGTGTTTCCCCCTCCAAGGCAGAGTCCTTGAGAGCAGGTCTGCATGGGCTTCGAGGGTGGGGCCTGGGCCTGCTGCCCCAGGCTGCTATGGTCCCATAATCACTTCCAGGGTTGACAGGTGTGGTTCCCAAGGCTGCTCTGTCCTGCTCATCGAGGAATTCCAACCCAGGCAAGAGGCCAGGCGGTGGGGAGAGGAACGAGGAGGACTGTGGACAGAGGACCAGCCCACGTGAGCAAGGCTGCAGAGGGGATGGCCCAGCAAGAGGAAACACGGGTTCTGTTCTGGTTACACAGCTTCCCTGGGGAGGCTGAAGGGCCCAGCCATAGCAGAGCCATGAATGTGGAAAGAAGAACCCGGCAGGGGTGTCTGCATCCCCATGGTGGAGAGACGTCCCCACCCCCATCTCAGATGTCCCCGCCCCCACCTCGGAGAGCCCCAGCCACCTGCCACGTGGGGCCTGCACAGCTACCCCAAGTCCAGGGTCTCTGATGTCCGAATGAGAGGTGACAGCGTGCTGGCAGTCCTCACAGCCCTCGCTCGCTCTCGGCGCCTGCTCTGCCTGGGCTCCCACTTTGGCGGCACTGGAGGAGCCCTTCAGCCCACCGCTGCACTGTGGGAGCCCCTTTCTGGGCTGGCCAAGGCCAGAGCCGACTCCCTCAGCTTGTAGGGAGGTGTGGAGGGAGAGGCGCCAGCGGGAACCGGGGCTGCGCGTGGCGCTTGCGGGCCAGCTGGATTTCCGGGTGGGCGTGGGCTTGGCGGGCCCCGCACTCCGAGCAGCCGGCCGGCCCTGTGCAATGAGGGGCTTAGCACCCGGGCCAGCAGCTGCGGAGGGTGTACTGGGTCCCCCAGCAGTGCCCACCCACCGGCGCTGCACTCGATTTCTCGCTGGGCCTTAGCTGCCTTCCCGAGGGGCAGGGCTCGGAACCTGCAGCCCGCCATGCCTGAGCCTCCCACCCGCTCCGTGGGCTCCTGTGCGGCCGGAGCCTCCCCGACGAGCTCCGCCCCCTGCTCCAGGGCGCCCAGTCCCATCGACCACCCAAGGGCTGAGGAGTGCGGGCGCACAGCGCGGGACTGGCAGGCAGCTCCACCTGCAGCCCCAGTGCGGGATCCACCGTGTGAAGCCAGCTGGGCTCCTGAGTCTGGTGGGGACGTGGAGAACCTTTATGTCTAGCTCAGGGATTGTAAATACACCAATTGGCACTCTGTATCTAGCTAGGTTTATAAACACACCAATCAACACCCTGTGTCTAGCTCAGGGTTGTGAGTGCACCAATGGACACTCTGTATCTAGCTACTCTGGTGGGGCCTTGGAGAACATTTGTGTCCACACTCTGTATCTAGCTAATCTGGTGGGGACGTGCAGAACCTTTGTGTCTAGCTCAGGGATTGTAAACACACCAATCAGTGCCCTGTCAAAACAGACCATTAGGCTCTACCAATCAGCAGGACGTGGGTGGGGCCAGATAAGAGAATAAAAGCAAGCTGCCCGAGCCAGCAGTGGCAACCCACTCGGGTCCCCTTCCACACTGTGGAAGCTTTGTTCTTTCGCTCTTTGCAATAAATCTTGCTACTGCTCACTCTCTGGATCCACACTGCCTTTATGAGCTGTAACACTCACCGCGAAGATCTGCAGCTTCACTCCTGAGCCAGCGAGACCACGAACCCACCGGGAGGAAGAAACTCCGAACACATCTGAACATCAGAAGGGACAAACTCCGGACACGCCGCCTTAAGAGCTGTAACACTCACCGCGAGGGTCCGCGGCTTCATTCTTGAAGTCAGTGAGACCAAGAACCCACCAATTCCAGACACGAAGTACAACCTCAGCCTGGCTGGCCCTGTGCTGGGGGCCCCAAGGCCAGAGGCTGGGGGAAAGCTGGGGCCCCACCCAGGCCCTGCAGCCGGTCCCGAGTCACTTGCCCCTCAATGCCCCAGGAAGGCCAGGTGCCGCGGGGGTGTGTGACATTGCAAGGCCAGGCTCTGTGTCCCGAGCCTGTGGCCCACCCAGGTGGAAGACGGGCACCTCCAAACAGGGCTCTGGGGAGTGTGTGCCTCTCAATCAGTCAGCACCTCACTGCACACCCCACAGGCTGGCCAGGGCTGGGCAGTCCAGGGAGAGGGGCCCCTCCAGTTTCCAGCCAACTCCCCCAGATGGCCCTTGAGCCACCCAGAGGAGTCCCCTCTGCCACCGTGACTGTGAGTTTCCTGAGGCCTCCCCAGCCACACAGAACCGTGAGTCAGTTAAGCCTCTTTTCTTTATACATTACCCAGTCTTGGGCAGTTTTTTATAGCAGCATAAAAACACACTAATACACCAGGCTCAGGCGAGGTGTCCCAGGCTCAGGTGAGGTTTCCCTGGCTCAGGCGCGGTGTCCCGGGCTCAGGCGCGGTGTCCCGGGCACAGGCGCGGTGTCCCGGGCTCAGGTGAGGTTTCCCTGGCTCAGGCGCGGTGTCCCGGGCTCAGGCGCGGTGTCCCGGGCTCAGGCGAGGTGTCCCGGGCACAGGCGCGGTGTCCCGGGCTCAGGCGCGGTGTCCCGGGCTCAGGCGAGGTGTCCCGGGCACAGGCGCGGTGTCCCGGGCTCAGGCGCGGTGTCCCGGGCTCAGGCGAGGTGTCCCGGGCACAGGCGCGGTGTCCCGGGCTCAGGCGCGGTGTCCCGGGCTCAGGCGAGGTGTCCCGGGCTCAGGCGCGGTGTCCCTGGCTCAGGCGCGGTGTCCCGGGCTCAGGTGCGGTGTCCCGGGCACAGGTGCGGTGTCCTGGGCTCAGGTGCGGGCCTACACTGGGCACCACCTTCCCTTCTCTCCTCTCCTATGAGCACCAAGCCACATCACTTGGGCTGGAATCCCAGCGCCGGCCTTGGCCAAAGGGGTTTACTGGGTCTGGGCACCCCCTGCCCGCCTGTGCTGTGGGACAGTGCGTCCAGGTGGCCGTGTGGCCTGAGGGTCTGGCAAGGAAGCTGTGGAGCCGCTTCCCCACTGGCGTCTGTGTTGGGGTTGCCTCTTCCAAGGAGGCCCCACAGCCCGGCACTCCCCACACCCCACACAGGCCCTGTCCCAGAGCCTCACCACGGGGTGTGCTCGAGGGCCATGGCAGTAACGGGTCTACAGCTCCCCTGAACAGCCAGAAGCCTCCCCTTCTCCCGCCACAGAGGACGGCAACTTCTTCCCAGGCCCCTTCTCCTACCTCACTGAGCAAAACCCCGGAGCAACCAGGGCCCAACACGAAACGGCCCTGGTCCTTCCAAGCCGGGTCCTGCAATGAACTCCACAGCCACACACGCCCCACTCAGCCCATCCCCACACGCTTGAACTCCACAGCCCCACACGCCCTACTCCGCCCATCCCCATACGGCTTGTGAGCCACTGTGACCCCAGGCTTCCTCCTAGATGTACCCACCCTGGAATCCCATACATCAGGGCAGCACGTGTGAGGCCTCGGGCCACGAGACTGCGGCCTGATTTCAGTCCCCACCTCATCCAGCTGCCTCGGCCCACCTCAGGGCCACACCGTCCAGCCCAGCTGCCTCGGCCCACCTCTGGGGCACCTCGTCCAGCCTCGGCCCACCTCAGGATCACACCGTCCAGCCCAGCCGCCTCGGCCCACCTCCGGGTCACACCGTCCAGCCCAGCCGCCTCGGCCCACCTCAGGATCACACCGTCCAGCCCAGCCGCCTCGGCCCACCTCTGGGGCACCTCGTCCAGCCTCGGCCCACCTCCGGGTCACACCGTCCAGCCCAGCCGCCTCGGCCCACCTCAGGATCACACCGTCCAGCCCAGCCGCCTCGGCCCACCTGCGGGTCACACCGCGAAACACGTCTCCTAACGGGACTGTTGTGTCACGTCACAGCGGTGGAGAACGCTGGGGGAGGCAGGAAGGGCCGTGGAAGAAAAAATAATCCAAGGCCAGGCAGACCCGAACCGCACGCCGGAGAGACACGGGGAGAGGAGACGCGGAGCCATGTTAAACCAGAATTATTCAACCAGTGCAATGTGTCCAAAGAGTCGTCTTGATTAAAAATACTACATGAGCTTTTTTCTTAACAATGACATACAGGTATCGAAACTCTCAAGTTTGTTTAAAAGTCCGTTTTTCCTTCTTATCTTATAACCTAGTGACCAAGTAAGAAAAAAAAAAAAAACCCAGAGCCAGCAACAAACCTACGGTACAAGGAGTATTTTTTAAATTTTTAAACTTTTCTTACTTTACCTGAATATAAAAAATCATTAATATCATTTCTAAAAGCCAAATGGAAAAAAAACCTCACACCAAATAAATGTTAACAGAGTTTATTTATCATGTTTCACTCTCCCCAAAGGTAAAGTTATATTAACGAGCTTGATGAAAGAAATATTTCCTATTCATAAAACACACCGTTTTAGCAGCTTCGCGAGACCCCCGAATTCGAGGCGGACGGCGCAGTCCTGCGGGAATGCTGACCGTGGCAGTAGCAGTGACATGCGGTGAAGCATCGGGGAGTCCTCTGTGGAAGGATCATTATGAAAAACCTGCGCAATCTTAGGCTTCCCTCGAATTTAGCAGGATAGGGTTTTGTCTCTCGTGATGATGACAATCTCCTGTCTTTCCCAATTCCTCACGAGGCACCGGTTTGGAAGCACCCCATTGTTTGAAGGAATGGCTGCCCCGGCACCCAGAGACCGAGGCGGCATCAGGCTCTGACCTCCGCACACGCTCCAGCGCCTCCCTGGGTGTAGCGGCTCCCACCTTGGCGCGGGCACAAAGAGGGTAAACAGGCAAACAGCAAAAAGGCAGTTCTGCACCCCCATCCGCTGCCACCCGCAGGAACCTGATTCCTGTCATCTGCCACTGCGGAAATCACGAAGCAGAGCCTCCAGTTCCTGCGCTGCTGGCCCGGTGTGGACACTGAGCCGTGCCAGTGAGAACGGGCGCAGGGGCGTTGGGAGGCTGAGGGCCCGGGACCAGGCCAGGCACATCCAGGTTCATGCTTGACGGCTCCCAGGGAAGGACCCAGGCAAGCTCCCTGCGGAGCCCCAGGAATTAACTGTCACCACGGCTCAGACTCTGGCGGGTGGAAAGAACAGAAAGGTTTACCTGCAGAGTGCGAGGGAGCAGCCTTGAGAAGGGCCGGCCCGCCCAACAAAGCACAGCGGACGCCAACGGGAGAAAAACCACCTGCCGTGCTGCCAAGGCTGCGTCTCTTCATTTAGCTAGAGACGCTGCCGCCGCACCAGGTGGCTCAGAAGTTACCTCAAATCTCCAGGCATCCCCCGAGCAAACCTCAGGAGTGAAATGGTCACTCGTAGGAGCCCTGGGTTTATGGAAAGGATTCCAGGTGTTCTTATTTGGGGACCAGAAGCCTGCTGGGGTGACCCGACGTCCTAGTGCGGTGTGGCCTCCACTGCCATCATGGGCAGTGTCTGGCTGTGACTTCGAACCTGGTCCGAACCTGGTCAAACCATGTGACCCCTGAGAGTGCTGGGAACAAGCTCAAAGCCCCCTGAACTCAACGTCTTCAGCATCAAGGGAAGCTTCCGGAACCCACTGTGCCTGAGGGTTGGTCCCAGGACTTCCAGGACCTCAGGCAGCACCTGCTCTGTCTGACGAGGCGAGCTGCCTGTGACACATTTCCTAAATTGTGTGTTTGTTGTTTTTTATGAATAAAAATAAGACATGTTCACAGGAAAAAAACAAAACAAAACAAAACACGAAGCACAGCAGATAATACAATGAAGATGCAGGGTGAGCCTGCTCCTCCCTCCGGGGCGCCCACAGGTTTGGTGCCCAGAGGCTCCTCTGGGCTTTTCTGGTGCATGCTTACACAGTTAACGATGAAATGACACAGATCTGTTTGTTTATTTATTATTATTATTTTTTGAGACGGAGTCTCACTCTGTCATCCAGGCTGGAGTGCAATGGCACCATACCAGCTCACTGCAACCTCCGACTCCCTGGTTCAAGCAGTTCTCCTGCCTCAGCCTCCCTAGTAGCTGGGATTACAGGCATGTGCCACCATGCCTGGCTAACTTTTGTATTTTTAGTAGAGACGGGGTTTCGCCATGTTGGCCAGGCTGGTCTTGAACTCCTGACCTCAAGTGATCCACCTCCCTGGGGGACTGACCCTGGGATGTGGCCCATGCACACCTCCTCCTGTGTCCTCTCCCTGAGTGGGCACCCCCATCTCCCGGGGGAACGTGAAATCCGGGCGCCGGGAGCCCTTTGCACCTGGGAGGGCAGGTTCAGTGCTCCTGGGAGAAGCCGAGCAAGTACTGTTGTCTGGGCAGGGAGGCGCAGCGTCGCTGGGAAAAGTGGATTAATTTAGATTAATTGAATTCAACTCAGCCAGGGATGGCAGAGGCCGAGAGGGACCGGGCATCTTCCCCACCTCCCATGTCCCCGCCCCATCAGTCCCCCCTGCCCTCCCTGACCCCCTGACTGCCTCCACTGGCCCCCCACAACTCCGTCAGCTCCCACCCCTCCCTGCTGGCCCCCCACAATCCCGCCAGCCCCCACCCCTCCCCACTAGTCCTGTCTTCCTGTTGGGCTCCCGTTGACTCCAGGGCCTGAAGCATTTCCAGAAACAACCATAACTGGGAAGGCCGTGACCCCTCTAGGACGGCTGTGTGGGCAGCCTCAGGCTGTAGGTCAGGGACCTGCGACTCCAGGCAGGGGGTGCCAGACCCAACTGTGGTGGGAGAGCTGCGAGCCACCCAGCCTCAGGGCACGTGCCCAGACTAGGACCCAGGGCAGTGGCTCTCCTCCCCAGCCCTGCCCTGGAGACACTGACTCACCCGAAGCCTCAAGGCCTCAGGCCCCAGACCTGCCTCCAACTCCCAGGCCAGACAAGACCCCGTTTCCGAGGGGAGCGCCCCTCGGCTGGAAGAGGAGGCTGGGGGGCAACACTCCAATCACAGATGGTGTTTCTGTTAAGCTGACTCAGGTGGAATGGCCGGGGAGGGGCAGCTCGGCCAGGGGGCCTCACACGGCGGCTGCGTTCCCCAAAAGTCAGAGGCCATTCCCCATGCAGGGGATGCCCCAGGACAAGTGTCCCGTCCTGGATAAACGCTCTCACACGTGATGCCGGCGTGAAGGCTCTGGAGACGAGGCCCTCCCGAGCCTGGACACCCGGGGAACGGCGGGTGACTCCTTCACTCTCATCTGAAACCATCTTGTGGGGGCCCTGCCCTGGGCTCCCCAACCAGAGAGACCATTTTCTCCTCACACACTCGTGCCTGCCCGTGTGCCCCCCCACCCCCCCCCGGTGAGGCCCTGGGGTGGACTTCTGCTGCCGGGAGAAACAGCCACCTCTGCCGTCCCCCATGACTGGCAGCTTCCTCCCCTCTTTCGGGTCTTCCCAGCGACCCACACTGCGTCCTGGCGGCACCCCCGGCTCCCCCACAGCTCCTGGGCAGAGGGCACCTTCACTGGCACCGCACGGTGACCCAGCACAGGCTGGCGGCCTCCGATCACACCTGTGACCCTCGTATTGCCACTGTCCCTGCTGGCGCTGCTGCGAGCACTGCTCTTGTCTGAGCTCTGTCCGCCACTGGAACTCACCCAAGACCCGGGATAAATGGGCAAAGAAGCAACGCCCTGAGAGCTCAGAGCACCCTCGCAGGGTGGGGCTCAGACAGTCCTGAGCTGGAGCCGTCCCACGCTCGGCTTCTGTCACGCAGACACGGCTGCCGAGGCCACTGGGCACCCAGTGCCGGGGCCTCTGTGAAGACCTGGACGGGAAGGGGCCCCGAGGACCTGTGGAGGCGTCCATCACTGGGAGGCGCCATTGTCGGGAGGTGCCCATCAGCAGGGGGCGCCCATTGTGGGGAGGCACTGGCTGTGGCACCACACGACCCGTCGCCCGCCCGGGGGCCCTCACCCCCCTGGAAGCCCCCACACAGCGCCGTGGCCCAGCCTGGAGTGGCGCCAGGAGCGAGCCTCTCCGGAAGCCCCCCCTTGGCCGGTGCCGGTCCCATCTCATCCTCGGATCACAGCCAAGGCGCCGGAGCAGGCTCCTGACACAAATCTCCAAGGGCTCAGCACTCAATTAGCGCGTGCGCCACGTGGCCAGACACCCGAGAGGCCCCAGGAGAGAGCTCATTACGCCGGCTGCACATCTGGTGCCCCAGAGCCCTGGGGAATTAGCTCTGGGCGTGATTTACAGCCACGTCTCCTTGTCCTTTCCTGAAGGAGACAAGATTCTTTGGACCCCAGAGAAGAGGGTTTCTGAGGAGATGCGCCGCTGTCCCACCGACGGCGTGGCCCCTCCGCTTCGGCAGCCTCAGTGGCCCACCTGCTCCTGGGGAGTCTCCTCCAGTGATCGAGGGGGACTTAGTCACCCCCAGCCCGGCCTCTGTGTCCACAGGTCACACAGGTGGGAGGGTGGCTTCCTGCATGGGCTCTGATGTCCTCAAGGGATGCTGTTGCCCCAGGGCCTCCCCAGCCAGAGCCCACAGCAACTGTGTGCTGGCCACTGCAGGGGCGAAGAGCCCTTTCTGGCCCAGCTTGTTGGGTATTGTGGGGGCCAAGGCGGCCAAAGGTCTCCAGCTGAGGGCCAGGTGCCTCCAGAGGCAGGAGAGCTGCGCCCAGCTGCTCCATGGAGACGCCCTCCAGTGGCAGAGGCCCCCTTGGAGGGCCGCTCACCAGCTGTGGGCTCCAGTGAGCTCCTCCAGGTGTGGGCATCTGGTGTCCTTGTCCCAGGGGCCATGCAGGACCCGGGAGGAGAGGTGGCGCTGTTCCCTCAGGGGCTGTGGGACACCCATGTGAAGACAGGGAGGTTCCGGGCAGTGCACCCCGGTTGGTGGTACAGATGTGGGGTCCTCAGTGCCCGGCAGGGAGCCAAGAGGGCCCTAGAGGTGTCTGTCACCCACCAGGGCCGCGGACCCAGGGGGTTCCCGAGGATGGGCCTGGAAGTAGAGGAAGAAAAATGAGCAACAGACAGGGAGGAAAACTAGCTGCACCTGTAGCCTGGAGGCGGGGGGCAACGCAGGCGGGCGTCAGGGCCGAAGTCACATGGCCAGAAACCTGAGCGGTGCCAACAGATGGGGCAGCTCCGCTGGGGACCAAGGAGCTTGGGCCGTGCCACCCTTTTAAGAACTTCACCTGAGAAGTGAATGAAGATGACAGATTCCATCTGCAGAAGGCGGGGCACTCGCACGGGGCAGCTCCCAGCAGCCAGGGGTCCCAGGGACGCGTCCCCAAAGCACGACCACCAGGGAGAAGAGAAGCAGCCTGCCCGGTGTAGACGCTGCACCCACACGGTTCCCGGACCCAGTGTAGACGCTGTACCCATACGGTTCCCGGACCCAGTGTAGACGCTGCACCCCCACACAGTTCCCGGACCCAGTGTAGACGCTGCACGCACACGGTTCCCGGACCCAGTGTAGACGCTGCACCCACACGGTTCCCGGACCCAGTGTAGACGCTGCACCCCCACACGGTTCCCGGACCCAGTGTAGATGCTGTACCCATACGGTTCCCGGACCCAGTGTAGATGCTGCACCCATACGGTTCCCGGACCCAGTGTAGACGCTGCACCCCCACACGGTTCCCGGACCCAGTGTAGACGCTGCACGCACACGGTTCCCGGACCCAGTGTAGACGCTGCACCCACACGGTTCCCGGACCCAGTGTAGACGCTGCACCCCCACACGGTTCCCGGACCCAGTGTAGACGCTGCACCCACACGGTTCCCGGACCCAGTGTAGACGCTGCACCCCCACGGTTCCCGGGCCCAGTGTAGACGCTGCACCCCCACACGGTTCCCGGGCCCAGTGTAGATGCTGCACCCCCACACGGTTCCCGGACCCAGTGTAGACGCTGTACCCACACGGTTCCGGGACCCAGTGTAGACGCTGCACCCCCACACGGTTCCCGGACCCAGTGTAGACGCTGCACCCCCACACGGTTCCCGGACCCAGTGTAGATGCTGCACCCACACGGTTCCGGGACCCAGTGTAGACACTGCACCCCCACATGGTTCCTGGACCCAGTGTAGACGCTGCACCCACACGGTTCCTGGACCCAGTGTAGACGCTGCACCCACACGGTTCCTGGACCCAGTGTAGACGCTGCACCCACACGGTTCCTGGACCCAGTGTAGACGCTGCACCCACACGGTTCCTGGAGTCCAATGTGTGCATGAAAATGCCCCGCAGCAGGGCTGAGGCTGAGGAACGGCGTCCCCTGAAATCTCTGCATCAGGGCTCAAACACCTGGCAGGCCCACCCGCAGCCCCCAATGCCGCCTTGGCAGCTGGTCAGAGCTGGCCTGTGCTTCAGCAGAAAAAGGCACCTCCACTGAGGCATTCCAGCCTCCTGCAGTAGAAAAAGTGTCCTCCCAATGAGCAAAGGGCCCCTCCTCTTCCTCAGATGGCGTCTGGGTGTCGAGGGACCCACTGGGGCCCCTGCCGAGGGGTCCTGTGGTGAGGGCGCGCCTGCTGCCCCTCTTCCCCCCAGCTCCACTGCTCAAGCTTGGCCTGTCTGCACCCAGCACCCCCGGGTGTCCTCCTGGGAGGGCTGGACCTTGTCTCTTGGCAGCACCGTGGGGCCCTCAGAGCCCTCCATCTAGTTCCGGGCAGGGCAGGGCCCCTTCCCAACACCATCGGCTGCCTCTGGTCACTCCCACCCAGGGGCACAGGGAATCTCTGAACACCCCTTCCCTGGGGAGCAGGAAGACTTGAAACCTCCTTGGCCAGGCCAGGGCGGTTTCTACTGTGCCCACCAGACCCCCAGGCTAAGCCAGCAGGGAGACTGGAAGGCCCAGTGTCCAGCCCCTGCCCTGCCTCAGGGTGGCTGCTCGCCCTCTCCCCTCCCACCCCACCTGGACAGCCTCGGTCCTCAGGGCGCTGTAGGGAGTGAGGCACCTGTGGGATGGAGCCTCAGCGTGGGTGGGAGAGATGCTGCAGGGCCCAGGTGCGGAGCCGCGTGTGAACGGGCAGGCGGCCCGCAGCGTCTCCGTCACGAGAAGGAAGTGGATGCTCGTGACAACAGAAGAACTCGGTTCGGGGGAAGAACTTGGTTGTTCAGGGGAAGAACTCGGACCATTCTCTGTGTGTCTCTCTCTGTGCTTTCGGTAGGTGCTGCTCCGTGGCTGCTGCATTTACAAGTGACTTTTAAAGAACAGAAGCTGGAAGGAAACCTGGGGCTCAGGATTCAGGGAGGGGGCCCTGCAAGGTGGGAGGGGCCCGGCCAGGGCCCAGGCTGTGCAAGGAACTTCAGGCCCAGTGAAGCTAGAGGGTCCACAAAGGCTGGGCAGGGGCCACCCTGAAGGGGTGCTCAGAGAGTTCAGGCAAGCTCTCCCTCCCCTGCCATCCAGGTCCTCCCAGCCCCTGCCCTCTTAGCCCCCCTTCAGGGCCTCCTCAACCCGCGGGTGTTCCAGATTCCACAGCCTGGCCCATATCTTCCAGGGAGAGTGTTCGGGTGCCCGGGCACCCACTGTGGCCCCACCCCAGCTTCCATCAAAGCCTCCCTCCCTGTCCTGGGCCACTCGGCCTGGGGAGAAGCGGCACCCTCTCCCCAGAGCCTGATCCTCCACTTCATGTGGACCTGTAGGTGTTGGCAAGTGGGCAAGAGGCCGCCATAGCCTGGGAAGAGGGGGCACCTGGACGCCCCACCTACAGCTGGGTACCCCAGAAGCTGCCGGGCTCTACCTGGACACCCTCCAGCTCAGGAGATGGGGTGGGGTTGAGTTTGGTCTAAACAGCAAGACCTCAGGCTCAGCTGGGAAATGCCACGGCGCCAGGCCCCACATCCAGCATGTCCTGTGGCTCAGGGTTCCTGGAGGCACCTCCACAGTACCTGCTCCTCCCGGTGGGAAGTCAGGTGCGCGGTCCTCCCTCTCCAACCCGCACCCGGGCTCTGAAAATTGCTCTGAGGCCTGCAGCTGTCACACTTGCGTTCATTCACCCACCCAGCAGCATGAATTCAGTCCTGGAGGCGCCCAGAGGACAGAGCCCCTGCATCCATCCATGTCCTGAGCAAGGTGGCGAGGAGGCGGACATCAGACACATCCACTAATGCCTTCGGCAGGGGGCCAGTGCCAAGAGGGGCAGCCGTGCTGAGTGGGAGTGTGGGGGCTGCACCAGACCGGGTGGCCAGGGAGGCGTCCCTCAAGCTGAGACCGCGTGGAGGAGGTGAGCCCTGTGAAGTGGGGGGGCAGAGTGGCCGGGGTGGGTGAGCCTGGGGGCCACGAGGGGACCAGTGGAGGGCCTGGCAGGCATGGGATGGCATTAGGTGGAAACAGGTGGAGGTGGAGACTCGCGATCTCTGAAATAAAGCCGCTGCTAGCAGGCTGGTGCTCAGCAGGCAGTGCTGGAAGTGTGAGAAGGGGCCAGGCTAGGCCAGGATGAGGAGTGGAGCCTCCTCTGCCCACCTAGGGGCGTCAACTCCCACCCCTGGGCGGTCCCCACCCCAGCCCTCAGCGCTCATGGCCTTTCAGACCCGGCTGGGTCCATGAGCCCAGTGGGACGCCGGGGCTGCCTGGCTGGGATCTGCGCCTGCCTCCCAGCCCTTTCCCGCTGCCCTGGCAGGGCTGCCCCCAGAGGGCACGGGAGATGGGGTTGGGGTCTGTCCTGCGTGGGAGGCAGGGCCCCTTCGAGTTGTGTTGTGGGGTGGGGTTTTCTCTAGCCCCCCTTCCCCTTCCAGCAATTCCAGAGCGTCCTGGTGGGCTCCTCTGTTTCCAAGCAACAGAAGGCACCCCGCCTGGGCCCGGGCTCCTGGGGGTCCTGGTAACCCCACGCCGCTGCTTCCGTGGGTGGGGCCCACAGAGGGGTCCCTTGAGTCATCTTGGGCCTTTTTTGGTTCTTTGGTCATGAGGACCCCAGGGAGGCCCCGTCTGTGTCTGGAATGCCTGGTGCGGTTACCTTGTCAAGCCTGGAGAGGCCGGGAATGCGCTCACTTCGGGAAAAAAGACAATGCAGGGCCTTTGCCGGGAACTGCTAGGAGACCCCCGGCCTGGGGGCGCGGTCAGGGCGGGCAGCTTGGCAACTCGCCTAGGGCTGCGCGGGACAAGTCACCTCAGTGATAAATCAGAGTTTGTGAACTCTATGGCCTGGGCGGCCGAAGGCGAACGCAGGCTCCTTCCCTCTGTGGAGTTCCCCCGTCGCCCCTCAGCCCCCAGCGCGGGGACACCGGGGCCTAGGCCGGCTCTCCTTCCGGGCCGACACCCCCGCCGTCCTCCCCGTCGCCCGCTCCCCTGCAGACGCCGCGGGGGTGCCGGGGGAGCGCGTTTGCTGCTCTGACCCGCCCGCGCCCGGGCCGGAGCCCGCTGCGTTCACGGTGCACCCCCCGGACAGCCCGGGCGCGGTAGGAGCCCCACAAATACAGGCTGAACGAGTAAAACAAACTTGAATGGCCTCTGCCAAACCCCGCGCTCTCGGTTTTCCAGCGCGGAGCGTCGGCGCCGATGCCGGCAGCCTTCCTCGCGGGACATCTGCTCGCGGGCCAGGAGGTGGCATCGCGGACCTCTCCAGGCAGCGGGGCCGCCGGGCGGCGGAGCCCAGGCAAAGACATCGCGGTCGGAGGCGCTCGGACCTTCCCGGGAGGAGGGGGAGTTGCCTCGGTGGTTTCCGAGAGGGCGGCACCGGGGGACGCAGGAGAAAAGGTGCGGGCGGGGGCCGGAGAGGGGACGGGGCCCGGAGTGGGCGCCGGGAAGCGTAGGAGGTGAAGCCACCGGACCCACGCGCAGCTCCGCGAGGAGGAGGGCGGGAAAGCGCGTGGGGCGCAGGCCGGGGAGCCGGGTAGGACGCGGCACCTGCGGAGCGCGCCAAGACTTCCACGGCTTACAAGAACGTGGGAGAGGGACCCCCCCTTACCCGGCTCCTCTGCGCCCCCAACTCACCCTGGCCCCTCATCCCGCGCCCCTGAGCCCTGGAGAGCCGCGCGCTCCGCAGCCAGTGACACGCCAGCCCCACCCGCGACCCCACGCGTTCCCTCGGCAGCCCAGGGAGGACCGGGGGGCGCAGACAGACCCAGGGTTTATCGGGCCGCAGCGCAGCGCCTCCAGGTCCATGTTTCCTCAGCCATAAAACAGCGCTAGCGACGCCCCCTGCCCCGCCCCTCCAGGCTGTGAGAAGAGCCAGAGCCTGTCCCGAGCGCGGCTTCCTCCCGCCGTTCCGCCCGCGCGCGCCTCCTGGGCCTCAGTTCGGGCGACCCGCACCCCTCCCGGCCCGCCCAGGGTCTGCCCGGCCGCGCAGAGTGGGGGATCCCAGGGCGACAGCAGCCCCCGCCCCCAACTCCCCCTGCCCGCCCCCCCCGGCCCCGCAGTTCCCGCGTCTCAGCTCAGAGCCCGAGCCTTGGGCGCGGGCGCCGTCGCCTTGGGGTGCTGGGAGGGGCCCGAACCCGACCCGGGAGGGCCCTTCCTCGTGTCTCCTCCGAGGGAGCGGGGCGCAGGACAGGCCGGGGCGGGTCTCGGGGCCGGACGGGCGCTGGGGGTTCCCGGGCCAGGCTCCGCGGGGGCCGATCACCGGTGGGGCGGCCGCGCCCAATCGAATCCCAATCCCAGTCGAATCGAGTGCGGAGTCGACGGGGGAAGCGAACCCCCCGTGAACGCGGGGCTGCACCTCAGTGGAGCCGGAAGCCGCCGGGGCAGCCCCGAGCGCGCACACACCCGGCGGCCGCACCACTGCCCCGGAGTTTGGCCGCAGGTGGCTTTTCCAAGCCGCCATCCAGGAGCGGCCGACGGCGCCAAGTCCCCGCCTCGACCTGCACAAAACGAAAACGGACGCTGGAGGGGGGCGAGGGGGCGGACGTGAGACCCCGGCCCCGAACCCCGGGCGCCGCCTTCCTCCGCGGCACAGGCCCGAGAGAGGCCACGCAGCGGCGTTCCCTGCGCACAGACTCGGGCTCCCCACGAGCCGTGGGCCACAGCCACAGCCGCCCCGTGTCCCTAAATCAATACGAGACGTCACCACAGACGTCGGAGCGTTTGCTCGCGGCCGCCGTGCGCGGGGCTCGGAGTCATCTCACCGCCCGGTCTGCGGGATGGATGAGCGAGCGGCTCCCGGTGCCGTGGGGGCGGGGGGGACACCGGCCCCCCGCGCGCGTCTAAGGCCGCGTTTCTGCCGCTGCGCCCCCAGCCCGCACCCACGTTCGGGCCCTGGACAGGGCTTCCGCGCTGAGGCCGTCCTGGTCTCTGTTCTCCCGGCCGGGGATTCGCGAGAGGCGGCCCGTGGGCGAAGTCGTGGGCCCAGGTCACATCCTGGGGGACCCCCAGCGGGAGACCTGGAGGCCGATGACGGGGAAGTGCCGAGCCGCGCGTGTGGTCCCGGGACCCGCCTCCCCGCCCCGCTCCCGCCTGCCTCACTCCTCCACCGCGCCGGCCGCGTGTCGGCGAAACCAGAGGCAGCTCCGTGCGAGCCTCGCCCGGCCGTGAGGCCCGTGGATTCCGTGGACTCGAGGCCCGCGTCCTCCGCCCTCCTGTGGCCCCGACCTGCCCGGAGCGCGTTCCCCGCCGGCGTCCGCTGCCGCTCACACCCACCCCAGCCACGGGCGGCGGAGCAGTCGCGACTGGGACGCGGGCCGGGACTCTTCCCCGAGTGGGGCGCTCCGAGCGCGCGGGCGGGTCCTCAAATCTGCATTCTTTCCGTTAATAAAATACGTTCTCGTATTTTTTCCTGATTTCGCATGAAAACCTTTGCCTAACTACACTCCCATCCAAGCTGGATTTATTTCGTCCCCGGGGAGATAAATCGGGGCGAATTTACAGCCCGGGAGGCACCTGCCGCGCTAATGGGCCCTTCATGGAGTGCGCGGCCGGCGGGGGCGCGCGGGCGGGGGGGGGGCGCCGGCCAATGGCCGGACCGCGGGGTCCGCAGCCAATCAGCGCGCGCGCCGCGCCCCGGGGAGCCCCCGTTATCAGCGCGTCCGTCCCGCGCGGCGCCGCTCCGACCGGCCCCGGAGCCGCCGCCGCCGCCGCCCGCCCGCCCGCCCCGCGCCGGAGCCGCCCGCCCGCCCCCCGCGCCCCGCGCCCCGCGCTGCAGCCGACGCCCGCCCGGGCCGCGCGCAAACTTCCCGGGCCGGCGGGCAGGGGCGGCGGCGGCGGGGCCCGGATGGGAGCCCGGGCCGGCGGCGGCGGCGCCCATGGACACTAACCGCCCGGGCGCGTTCGTGCTGAGCAGTGCCCCGCTGGCCGCGCTGCACAACATGGCCGAGATGAAGACGTCGCTGTTCCCCTACGCGCTGCAGGGTCCGGCCGGCTTCAAGGCGCCCGCGCTGGGGGGCCTGGGCGCGCAGCTCCCGCTCGGGACCCCGCACGGCATCAGCGACATCCTGGGCCGGCCCGTGGGCGCGGCGGGCGGGGGCCTCCTGGGGGGGCTGCCCCGGCTCAACGGGCTCGCGTCGTCCGCCGGCGTTTACTTCGGGCCCGCGGCCGCTGTGGCGCGCGGCTACCCCAAGCCCCTGGCCGAGCTGCCGGGGCGCCCGCCCATCTTCTGGCCCGGCGTGGTGCAGGGCGCGCCCTGGAGGGACCCGCGTCTGGCTGGCCCGGGTGAGTGGCCCGCGCGGGGGGTGCGGGGCGGGTGGGCGCGGAGGGGGACCCCGCCGGCCGCTGACCTCCCTCCCTTCCCCTCCCTTGCAGCCCCGGCCGGCGGCGTCCTGGACAAGGACGGGAAGAAGAAGCACTCGCGCCCGACCTTCTCGGGCCAGCAGATCTTCGCGCTGGAGAAAACCTTCGAGCAGACCAAGTACCTGGCGGGCCCGGAGCGCGCGCGTCTCGCCTACTCGCTGGGCATGACCGAGAGCCAGGTGAAGGTGAGCGCGGCGGGGCTCGGGAGAGCAGAGCCGGGGGCCCGCGTCCTGCGAACGGCCCCAGCGCCAGCCCCGGGCCCCGCGGCCGCCTGACCGCCCCGTCCACTCCCAGGTCTGGTTCCAGAACCGCCGGACCAAGTGGCGCAAGCGGCACGCGGTGGAGATGGCGTCGGCCAAGAAGAAGCAGGACTCGGACGCCGAGAAGCTGAAGGTGGGCGGCTCGGACGCGGAGGACGACGACGAATACAACCGGCCCCTGGACCCCAACTCGGACGACGAGAAGATCACGCGGCTGCTCAAGAAGCACAAACCCTCGAACTTGGCGCTGGTCAGCCCGTGCGGCGGCGGCGCGGGGGACGCCTTGTGAGGACCCGCGGGGTGGGGGCGAATCTATTTTTGCAGAATCCGGGGGCGGCCCCGGGTGGGCGCGAGTCGCTTTGTATCATCAATAAATTATTTAACGGGTCCCCGTCGGAGCCGTCGCTCCGGAGCCTGCGCCGCGTGTTTCTTCCGTCTCGAACCCGGAGCGAGGCGGCCCCTCCCCGGCCCCGGCTTCGCCCCTGCGCCCGCCTCGGGTCCTCCGGGTTCCCGGTGCGGAGGCTGCGGGCCCCGGGCAGGCGCGAGGAGGCGGCGAAGGCGCAGGGAAGGGGCCCGGCCCGCGGGAAGGAACCGCAGCGACAGCCGCCAGGAGCCCGGGACGGAGCCGGGGACGGAGCAGCAGGTACGGCCCGGCCCGCCTCGCCTCGGGGCGGATTCGGACGCGCTTGGGGGTTCCCGAAAGGGCGGGTGAGCCGCGTACCCGCCTCGAGTCCCCGCGGGAGGTTTTTCTTCTTCCGTTTTCCCGCTTTGGGGCCACGTACTCGTTGCCACCGGGCACCCGTTCCCGCTTGGCCGAGGGCTTCGCTCTGATTATTTCCAAAGTCCCTCTGCGCATCAGCGGATCCCATAGGCCCGCCCTGGGCTCAGCCGGTGGAACCGGGTCTGATCCGCTGCACGGAGGCCCTTCGGTCACCATCCCGCCAGATCTTCCCGCGGTGGAAAGCAGTTTCTTCCGAACTAGGACCGCAAAGAGAAATCCGAAATAATTCCGCCCGCGGAGCGGCGGGGCCTCCCGTGGGTCACGCGGGGTCAGGGAGCCGGAGGCCCCCTGGGCAAGGCCCGCAGCGCCCAGCCGGGGGCTCGGGGGACCCGTCTCCTGCCCTGAAATGCCGCCAGCTCCGCGGGGCTGTGACTGCGGCTGACAAAACCCCTCCAGCCTCCCGCAGCCTCTGTGGCCGGGGCTGCCCATCGCTGCATCTTAATGGGCGTGGCTGTTGAGTTTTAATTTTTAAAAATTAAATGTAAATAATGATATCACTGCGGTGGTACGATTTCTCTTGGCATTTGCGGAAGCGTTAAAGGGAAATAGAAAGGGCTTAAACTCGGCGCGTTTTGTTTTAGGCTCTTAGCAGCCTTCTTTACAAGGAAGCAACTCGAAGGGCAGAAGCAACGCTTTTCTGTGGGGAGCCCCTCTCAGCTCAGAGCAGAGGGGCTTCTTAAAGTTTTGAGGAAGGCAAAGCGTTGATATAATCCCGTTTTAAAATGTTGAGGGATAAATCCTTTATTACAGTAGAAAGTCCAAAAGGCTGTGTTTCTCCTCTCAATGAACGGCTTAGTGTTTTGTGACAGCGTGTGATACAGTGAAATTCCAGGATTTCTAATGAGCTTGATCTCAAATAACAGGCTATACAGGAGGCCGCTCCCCTGAGTTAGCATTTCAAAGGTGGCAGGAGAAGGGAAAGGAAGAAAAAGCAACACGGGACTATTTTCACCACGGTCAATTTTATTGCTTAGGAACCAGACCGGTCACTTCCAAAGGCCCCTCAGAACGACCAACAGCTGAAACCCGCGGGGCGGACTCCGTGTTGAACCGCGGACAGCGGCAACCACAGCAGCGACACGGACCTGTGCTTCCACCAAGAACAGATTCCGCAGCGGACAGCAGTCACTTGCAGTGGTAGTATTTATCCCACACAAACACCCAGCTAATGCCTTCACCCGGTCCAGGAACTCTGTAGTGTTCTAAAGTAAAATCAATAAAACATACATTTGTGTTTCATCAACAGACTCTCTAATCACCTTCTAATGCTGTACTTACTGCTATAGGAGAAAAATATTTGCAACAAGGTTATGACATGGGTTGTCTGTAGCGGAGCAATGAGGAAATGTACAGTTTTGTTTCTCTTTAATATTTTTATATACAGCCCATGTTAAAAGCAGTTTCTATTGGAAGCAAACTAGGCTATTTCTATTTCTCCCATGATATTATTGTTGTAACGTAGGATACTTGGCACCATAAAACAGTAACAAAAGACAGACAAACGGTTTACAAAATTCTTAAAAGGTACACCCAGGCTAGCTATAAACTTCACATTCAGTTCTTAATATTACACAGAAGAACGGCATGGGAGTAACGGCCCGCTGGTGCAGACGTGCTGTGGGGCCGATTTTACCCACGATGGCGAGGCCATGTGTGTTTTTTACGAATTTGTGTGTTGATGGACACACAGCTGAGCTCCTAGACTCCAATGCCGCCTGCTGATGGGACTCTCCTGTGCGTTCATACTGGAAAGTATATTTAGCATAAGTTTTGGTAAGATTTATAAATTATTTTTAAAAAGTATATATTTATATATATTTATATATATATAAAAATGGAAAGCAGCTGCAGTGTGATTCAAAAACCATGTGACACGGCGCAGAGTCAGTGCCGCGGAAGGAGCATCGGCAGAGACAGACCCCCTTGCCATGCTCAGGGCCACGCTGCCGGCCGGCAGAGGGAGTGCCCGTCTCGGCTTCCCCAGCCCCTGGACACACCTCCACCTGGCAGAGGGGGTCCCTGGACACAGTGGGGGGTCTCTGTGCTGAAGAAGCCCCTCCACTGGCAATCATTAAAAACTGAAAACTGTGAAGTCTACGGTACAGACCCTCTTTGCTGTCTATTAGAGTTTTGACAACAGGACTGTGACTTATTTAAAAAAAAAAAAAAAAAACCAATATTTCTACTTAATGTCACATAGACAGACGAGACAGTGAGGTATGTGAGGCTGCTCCGGAATGGTCCGGAGGCTGAAGCGAAGTGTGGGGCTGGCCGTCTAGCAGGTGGCGCTTGGGCGGGTTCTCGATGCAGCTTTCAAGAGTGCGTATTCGGTCCACGGCTACAGGGAGGCTCACGAAGTGTCCTCTCGTGGCGCTGGCATCTCTTCCCTGTCACGGAATTCGTAATTTGTTAAAGGAACAAACGCACCAGGAAAAGCTGCGTAAAAGCTGAACTGGAGGGAGGAGTCATATTTACCACCACGTCACTGCACGACACAACACTTGTGCACATGGGCATGAGGTTTACCTGCCCCGGGCATGATTCGGAAGGCCAGGAACACGGGCTGCAGCAGGAAGAGAGGACGGTGTCAGCACGGCGCACGCGGGACAGCACAGCACATGCCGCCGCCTCCCGTTGCACCCCCAGACCCTGCGTCTCACCAGGGCAGCCATGAACCGGGCTGGGAGGAGCTGATGGCCAGCAGAGGCAGCTCGGCCCTTGTGCACAGCCACGGCAGCGCAGGGGTTGGGGGCCCCGTGAATGTGGAACTGGAGCCAGGCCGGCCATGAGAGGTTTTGCAAGGAAGGTGTTATTTCCAGGTAAAAAAATTAATGGAAAAACTGATGTAAAAGAATGGCTAAATAGGCCCCAAATGAAGCGGGGAAGGAAGGCTCTCCCGTCCTCGGCTCTGCCGCACCTGGCAGGTCCAGCGTCTTATCCGGGTGTGTTTGGGGCTCACAGCTCTGGGCCTCCAACGTGGAAGAAGCTAACTCATTTATTGGCTGAAAATGAGATTTGATCTGTCTCCTGTGCACACTCTCGAGGTGCAGTTGCCTGAATAAACGATCTGTGCCAGTGCTGCCCCTTGGCACACGGTGGGGAGCGCCCTCACCCCGGCTCCTCGGCTGACAGTGAGCCTGCCCCAAGAAGGCCATTAAAACACTGAAGCTGCATATTTGCAAAACAGCCTTCAGAAACAATCAGCTGTGGACATTTTTTTACAAATATTAAATTATGTATTTTATTCTATTGTAACGTCATTTCTGCCTTCTTCCTACTTACCCACCTAGCTTATGATATTTTATTAAAATTAAATAAAAACAGACCAACTTGGCCTACTCTGTAGTCAGACTAAGAAGACAGGAGAACAGGAGAGGAGAGACTGGCCAACCCCCGCCCACCTGCCTGCCAGCCCCAGCACCCGCCCACCCACTGGCCCCAGCCCCCCGGCCCCCTAGCTTCCCCTTGGTCCCCCAGCCTGGCCCCTGGACCTCAGTCTATGTCACCTTGTGGTCTCCCATGCAGACGTTGGGCCCAATGTGGTCATAGGTGACAACCTTCTCCTCGCTCTCCGACTGGAAAGGGGAAACAGACAGGTGAGTGTGGGGAGGTGGGGCACCCTGGGTCCAGTTGGGAGCTGACTGGCAGGAACATCAGGGTTTTGTGGGGGCAGAGAGATGGGGATGTCGGCCCCTGCCAGTACCTCCCCAGCCTCTGCCACCCGCCCTGCCTGGCCCCTGAGAGAGAGGCCAGCTCATGGACCAAAGGCTCTGGTGATGTGGCAGCGCCTCAGCACCTTGACCCTGGCCCTTTTGGACAACAGGTATCTGCCTCTAGGAGGGGTCGCGTGGGGAGCCGCGGGTGCTGGCCCGGCTCCCAAGCTCCCCTCTCCCGGACATGCTCCTGGGCTCTCAGGGGAGTTGCAGGGGACCCTGTTCACAGGAGTGTGTGCGCCCCAGCTTTCTGTGCAGGTGTGCTCCTCTGAGTGCGGCAGCCCATCTAGTTCCAATCTTCCCACTTTGATTTGTTTTTGACTGTTCTATTAACCTAGAACTCAGTGTTCAAACGAGAACAGACACCGAATTCCACACCACTACACAAAGCAATCTGTGCACAGTAATTCACGGCTGTGTGCGCACTTCCCAGCAGGTGCCTGTATTCCGGGCGCCTCCGGAAGGGGTTTGCTGCTGGTCAGCACTCGGCTCTGGTTGGGCTGGAATTTTATATCCACAGCTGGAGCATCTGAGACTATCCAGGTAAAACTGAGTTATCTTTAATGCAGTGGGAAGCTCAAGGTCAGATTTACTTTCCAGCATGGGCGCCTGCCAGAAAGAATGAGAAAACAAGCTTCGGCACCGCATGCATGAGCACCTTCCCGCCTCTCGCGGGTGAAGCGGCGCCTCCGCAGAAGTGGAGAAACATTCATCAAACGCAGCGTGGTAATTTACAAAGGCAGCATAAAATTGTGGATTTTCAACTGCATAATCTTTGGACAGATAAACAAATTACGGCGGGCACAGGCAGCGTGCGGCACACCTCACTGAACACTTGTCACCGAGGCTCCCCAAGCAGCACCGCCCGCGTCCCGAGCCCCTTTTGGTGTTTTAGGGCTCCGGAGGCAGAACGGAGCTTGGTGACGAGGTGACGGCGCGTGTCATGATGGATGAGGCTGCGGAGCGCGCCCGGCGCCCGTCTGCTTGTCCTGCACACCCGCTGCCCACTGGGTGGCCCCATGGGGAGAGCCTGTCCAAACTCCAGCCCCAGAAGGCAGGGGCTGTCAAAGGCCGCCAGGTGTGTGTTGTGAGGCTCTGTCCCCCACCCTGAGCATAAAGTGTCAAGTCCCGGATCCAGAGAACCCGAGAGGCTGTGAGTGAATGGAAAACGGGCTGCAACGCTGCCCTGCTCTGAGCTGGTGGAGCCCTGGCAGCGGCAGCACAATGTGGGGAGGCCACAGCCCTGCCAGCCTTCTGCCCTTGGGCGCTGCTCACCAATCTGCACTCGCGTGACCTCCGACGTTTTCCCAGGGGATGGCATCTGTGCCCGAGTCCCCGGGAGGCTCCTGCCCCGCTGGTGGCAGCCCTGGGCTCCACATGCCTGACCCGCTCTCAGCACTGGCAGATGGGAGCACCCACCATGTGGCACCGAGGGACTGGCGTGCCTACCAGTGAGCCCAGCCAGAGGGGCAGTGGCAGGTCCACAGCCAGGCTCCAGGCCGAGCCCACTCCTGGGCTTTTGGGCTTGTGGCCAGCACACTTTCCTCAATGATGGGCACAGGCCCTGCCCACAGGCCAGAGGTGGGGCTGCGGAGGAGCCAGGCTGGCTGCAGACCCCAGGGACTTCTGGCCAAGGGGCCCCGCCTCCAGCCCAGGCCCCCACCAGGCAGGCTCCTCACAGCACAGCCAGGGACGGAGGGCAGGCTGCACCCAGGGTGCTCCAGGATGTAGGAAGGAACAGTAAGGAACCCGGCCCGGCAGACAGAGCCACATGGCAGAGGCCAGCAGGGTGCATCTCAGGGACCAGGGCTGCAGAGGTCCCCGCCCTGCTGAGGGCACACCTGTACCCAGGTGTTTGCTGTGCCTGGGGTCTGGTGCCGTCTGGCACAGACACAGATGGGCAGTGAGGGACAACTGGAGCCTCACACAGCTGGTGTTGAAGTCGGGGTTAGTAGGGGGCTCCTGTCCCTGCTCTGGGCCTGGGACAGTGGAGAGGGGGCAGAGCCCACCAGGCTGGCAGTGGAACCACCAGAGTCTCCAGCCTCCTTCCGATTGCACACCCACGTTATGTTCAGAGGCCCCGGCTCTGGGTGTTGGGCACAGCTGCAGTTCCCACGCACACCCGCAAGCTTTCATTACTATCTGCATTTAATTTTCATTCACGGGGTTGACAAAACCAATTCAGATATTGATTCTTCTGAAAACACTCCTTGTATGTTAAAATGTGGGAATTGAAAAATCACAGGATTGACCGGGTGCAGTGGCTCCTGCCTGTAGTCTGGGTACTTTGGGAGGCCGAGGTGGGTGGAATGCTGGAGCCCAGGAATTTGAGACCAGCCTGGCCAATGTAGCAAGCAAGCCCCTATCACCTCTTTTGTAAAAAAAAAAAAAAAAAAAAAAAAAAAAAATTATTATTAAAAAAAAAAAATCACAGGAAATCTGAAAATTTCCCAAGGCCCAGGCCATCTGAAAATGTCGCCTATTTATTTTTAACTTATCGAGGCTCAAATGAATCTGGCTCTAATTTACAACTTAGGAAAACAACCTCAGACATTTCTACTGCGCTTCACGGCCCAGCCCATGAGCGCTGGAACGCACAAGAGCACGTTGACTTCCAAGGATACAATGAACCACGATTTGAAAACACTTCCTGCTAACCGCCTGTGTTATGTTTCAAACTCAGGATGACGCTGGCTGCCCATGGCCCAGGAACTCGGCTCCATCTGCTGCTGCCCCAGCCCAGGTGCTGGCTCAGAGGTGACCCAATGCTGGGGTGCAGCTCATGGCAGCACGAGGTCAGGGCCCAACCTGGCAGCATTCCCCAGACTGGGTGCCCCCACCCCTGGGGCCCTGTCACCAGGGCTGGGCCAGACCAGACCCAGCGCTCCACATCCCTCTGTGCCCAGGGCTGGGGCAGCACACACTCACCCGCAGCACCAGCTCCTTGGCAGACGGGGACATGAGGATGCGGTCACACCAGGCTGGGCACCGGGTGTTCATGTACTGCTCACCCTGGCGGGCGTCCTCACTGTACGGGTAGCTGGGGAGACATGAAGGCAGAGGGTCAGCCGGCCGGCTCGGGCCGTCCTCAGCCCCAAAGGGACGGCTGTGCCGATTCTCTCCCAATACACCTTAGAATGGCCAGCACTACCTGGGGAATGAATACACACATGGAAGTTTCTAGAATATAAAACCAAATTCACAATTTAAGTTCTATATCAAACTGTTTTTATGTGAGACTAAATTTTAGCTATAGCACAGTATCTTCACATCAGTCCTTCCTTTACTGCATGAAATTGTCTGTTGAGCTTTGGTTTTTGTTGGTTTTTTGAACATGGTCTAAAGTATGATGAAAACCTCCATGGAAACAAAATGGCAGCCAGTGTCATCTGGTCCCAGGACGTTCCTCCACCTGGTGACCTGGCCCGGATCAGCTCGAAACGCCTGTAAGTGCAGGCAGCTCTGGGGTGTGGCACACGTGGTCTCCGCTTTGACCAACGCCGCTCCCACCTCGGGGAGCATCCAGGTGCTCAGGCTGTGGCCCCGGGTCACTGCTGCAGTGGAGGGTGACTGTCCCCGACTCACTGCTTCCTGGGCCTGCCCACGCCCTCTGCGGGTCTGGGAATGGGGCTGGCCACATGGCGGTGCCAGTAGCCCTGAGGGCGGAGCCCTTCACCCACACAGTGAGCGCATCCCACACTGCCTGGGGTCTGCTGGTTGCGTCTCCACCACCCACCGCCGGCCAGGGCACAGCTCATCTGGGCTCCTCCGCGGCCTTGCTGTGTCTCTGAGCCATTGGCCCCCGCCCTCACACAGCAGAGCAGTCCACGCACACACGGACTGATCACTCCCCCACCAGCCTGGAGCCTCATGGCCATGGCCCCCACTACCCGCCGAGTCTGGAACACGCAAGCACAGCCCCCACTTCCGGGCCTGCAGGTTCTCAGGGGGCCCGACCCACCCATCAGGCTGCAAACCCACCCCCAAATGGGCATGTTGCTTGGGACTGCACTGAAGTGGTAACGAATTCCACTTGGAGTGAACGAACCCCGGGGGTCCTGTGGCTGAGCTCAGCCACCTGCCCCTAAGTGCAGCGTCTCTGCTTACTCTCAACATCTCTGGGGCCTTCACCAGAGTCTCAAGAGTTTTTTCAGTTAATTCCAAAATATCATACAGCACCTGTCGCGACTGGGATCTGATTCTCTGTGAAATTTCCCTGTTGGCTGTGATTGGGTTTCGGGTCCATCCCGGCACCTCAGCTGCGGATTCTGCAGCCCCTCCCATGCCCCCCGGACCCTGCCCACAGGGGCGCCTGTGGGCCCTGTGCCCAACCACCTGGAAACAGCCGGGGACTGGGAACTTGCTCTGCCCTGACGCAGGAGCTCCCATCCTCCGCGCGCTCCAGCGGGAGCCACACTCACAGGAGCCACGGCTGCCACCCGGCCTTGGGCAGTCACTGCTTGGTTAAAAACGTAGCTACGCAGGGCCTGCGTGTCATGCATGTCTCTGAAGAGCACAGAGCAGAGAACAGCTGCACATGCTTTCAGGAGAGCCAGCAACCTGGTGGCCTGCCCCATTTCACATGTTTGAGAGGCTGGGCCACTTTGTTCAGGAGCTTCTCAGCTGATCCCAACCGCGGACACGAGTGGAAACTGGATGCAGGCAGGGGCCTGCCCAGCCCCTGACACACGTCCACTGCCCCTGGACACATGTCCATTGCATCCGCACACACGTCCACTGCCCCCCGGACACACATGCACACAGCACACAATAGGTGACTTCTAAATAGGAAGCTGGAACCGAACCAGTTCTCCCTCCTCATGCACCCCATGGAGCTTGGAGAGCCCGTGCCACCTGGCGTCCCCTGGGGGCACGGAGAGAAGCCAGGGCGTGGCAGGAAGCACAGCCGCCCTCTGTCCATGGGACAGGGTCTGATGGGCATTGCTGCTCAGACAGACTGGGCTCTGGGGATGAGCAAGAGAGAACAGGGATGCCAGAGTGGCAGCGGCTTCCTCAGCCCATCTGCTCCAGGAAGGGCTTCCCTGGGAGTGTTCACAGACGACTCAACAGGAGGAAGAAGCCTGGGTGAGAGAGGTGTCCTGGCCAGGCTGTTGGGGGCAACACCCTTAATCCACAGCCAGGGGTGCTCCCTGTGGCCCCCAACACCCAGGGAGAAATGCAGGAGGGGCTGGTTCCAGCTGGGTCTGGGGAAGGCCAGTGTGGACTGCACACAACCGCTGTACCCACAGGTGGGAGGTGCTGGCGGGGCCACGCTGCAGAGCAGCAGGACGCGGGGCCTGGACGCTGCCCAGCAGTGACTGACGTGGGAGTGCCAGGCATGTGGGCTTATCTGAAAGCATACCTGCTGGGTGGGGGGGGAGGCACACAGGACAGGGGCGCACCTGCGCCTACAGCGTGGGAGCGGCTGTGATAGGGCGAACAATCGTACTCCTGTGCTAGCCTCTGCAGGCACTGCCCCTCCCCCTGCCCCTCCCCCTGCCCCCTCTCCTCCCTGCCCCTCCCTCTCTCCCTGCCCCTCCTCTCTGCCCCTCTCTCCTCCCTGCCCCTCTCTCCTCCCTGCCCCTCCTCCCTGCCCCTCCTCCCTGCCTGTCTCTCCTCCCTGCCCCTCCCCCCTGCCCCTCTCTCCTCCGTCCCTCCTCCCTGCCCCCCCTCCTCCCTGCCCCTCCTCCCTGCCCCTCCTCTCTGCCCCTCTCTCCTCCCTGCCCCTCCTCCCTGTCCCTCTCTCCTCCCTGCCCCTCCTCCCTGCCCGTCTCTCCCTACCCCTCTCTCCTCCGTGCCCCTCTCTCCTCCCTGCCCCTCCTCCCTGCCTCTCCTCCCTGCCCCTCCTCCCTGCCCGTCTCTCCCTACCCCTCTCTCCTCCGTGCCCCTCTCTCCTCCCTGCCCCTCTCTCCTCCCTGTAGGATGCGGGCAGCAGCCCCTGTGTAGGCTGCACGGCAGATTGTTTGCTGTGGCCAGGCTGACTGGCCCTGCTGACAAGGCCCAGCTTTAGAACCTGAGCAGGCTGGGCTGGGTAGGTAGGGTCGCCACGGGCCCGAGAAGCAGACAACAAGCTTAAAAGCCCGGCTATGTCGAGGTCTTGGGGCAGGGCTGACGGCACAGGAGAGACCAACGGGCCTGGGAGGACCCCAGAAGGCAGGCTGGGTGGGGGCCCACGGCTTCGCCACAGTGCTCAGCCGCCCTGAACCACAAGTGAACGGCGACAGTTCACGCCAACTCCCCGAGCTGTGCTCAGAGGAAGCGGCAGGAGCGCAGCCTCACTTCTCCAGGTGGGCGTCAGGGTGAAAGCCCCTCCTCTGACTCCCGCCTGGTTAAAATATTAACCAATTACCACGCCGCTCTTGTGTACACGGAGCAGGAGGGTGCAGCACACTACAGAGAAAACGGTTCTGACACACCCCCGTCACAAGCAGGACCTCATCAAAGCTCTGCCTTCCCGTGCAGCCTGCAGGCACCACTGGCAATGCTGGCTTCAGACACCCGCTTCCAAACACACCAGCTGCCACTGGAATTCCTGAAAAGGAGAAGGCCCTAAAACCAAAGAGAAAGAACTAAACGATTACAGCTGTGGCAATGCTGAAGCTACCGAGCGGGAGAAGGAAGCGGCACAGACTTCCAAGAGGGTCTGGGGGGCTGGGCATGGGGGCTCACGCCTGTCATCCCAGCATTTTGAGAAGCTGAGGCGGGAGGATCACTTGAGCCCAGGAGTTTAAGACCAGCCTGGACAACATAGTAAGACCCCTGTCTCTATACAAAATAAAAAAGTTAGCCAGGTGTGGTGGTGCACACCTGTAGTCCCAGCTACTTGGGAGGCTGAGGGGGGAAAATCGCTTGAGCCCAGAAGATGGGGCTGCAGTGAGGCAAGATCACCACTGCACTCCAGCCCGGGCAACAGAGCAGGAGGCTGTCCTGGGTGCTCCCCTCGCCCGTATCTCGAGGGACAAAAGCTCTCCGGGTGACCAGAACCCTTGGCAGGCCTCTTCTGTGGGACGGGTTCCCTCACTGTCCTCCCCCTCGGCACAGGTCCCACAGTCTGTATGAGCCACAGGCACCCAGGGTTCCTGACCACCAGGCGGACGGGCGGCCTCGCTCCCTCCTGAGCACCCAGCTCGCAGGCAGTAGAGTTCATTTTGCTAGATAATTATTACACTATAAATACACATCTAAAGACAGGAGAACATAAATTATGGCCCACGGAAAGTTTGAAAGGGGCCTCCTAATCCCTAATTTAAAAATATATGTGTCCATTAAAGAGAGACGACCTCTGGTTGGACTTGTCTGCGCAGTTCATTCCTGTGTTGCGTATATTTTTGTGTTTTTCAGAAGCTAAAACTCGATCTTGCTCAGTAATTGTTCAATGAAAACATCCCTCTCCCACCTCTGAGAGTCAGTCTTTCTTTGGGAAGGAGTGATTTTTTCCCACTGGACCTGCTCTGCGTATGATAAAAACTTTGAAACGTTTTGACGGGTAGCAATAGAACTTCTAAACTTTTCCATTTATTTTAGTAAATTTCACTTCACAGTGAGGCACACACAAGGCTGAGTGCACACGGGACATGGGTGTTCACCAGCCCACCGCACCCTGCGCCGGCCCACAGCCCAGAGGCCTCCACCGGGGAGGGCGGTGGGAGGTGATTCCCCGCCTGCAGTAACAGCACCCTGTGGAGTCCCAGGGCGTCCTCTCCACCTGTGCAACCCGGCTTTAAACTCACTTGTGGAGCTGTGCGCAGCGGCGGCTCGCTGCAGGTGGCTGCCGTGGCCTCCGTGTCAGTGCTGAGTGTCCGTCCCACTCTTCGTGGGGCGGCTGCCGTGGCCTCCGTGTCAGTGCTGAGTGTCCGTCCCACTCTTCGTGGGGCGGCTGCCGTGGCCTCCGTGTCAGTGCTGAGTGTCCGTCCCACTCTTCGTGGGGCGGCTGCCGTGGCCTCCGTGTCAGTGCTGAGTGTCCGTCCCACTCTTCGTGGGGCGGCTGCCGTGGCCTCCGTGTCAGTGCTGAGTGTCCGTCCCACTCTTCGTGGGGCGGCTGCCGTGGCCTCTGTGTCAGTGCTGAGTGTCCGTCCCACTCTTCGTGGGGTGGCTGCCGTGGCCTCTGTGTCAGTGCTGAGTGTCTGTCCCACTCCTCGTGGGGTGGCTGCCGTGGCCTCTGTGTCAGTGCTGAGTGTCCGTCCCACTCTTCATCGGGTGGCTGCTGTGGCCTCTGTGTCAGTGCTGAGTGTCTGTCCCACTCTTCATGGGGTGGCTGCCGTGGCCTCTGTGTCAGTGCTGAGTGTCTGTCCCACTCCTCGTGGGGTGGCTGCCGTGGCCTCCGTGTCAGTGCTGAGTGTCCGTCCCACTCTTCATGGGGTGGCTGCTGTGGCCTCTGTGTCAGTGCTGAGTGTCTGTCCCACTCCTCGTGGGGTGGCTGCCGTGGCCTCTGTGTCAGTGCTGAGTGTCCGTCCCACTCTTCATCGGGTGGCTGCTGTGGCCTCTGTGTCAGTGCTGAGTGTCCGTCCCACTCTTCATCGGGTGGCTGCTGTGGCCTCTGTGTCAGTGCTGAGTGTCTGTCCCACTCCTCGTGGGGTGGCTGCCGTGGCCTCTGTGTCAGTGCTGAGTGTCCGTCCCACTCTTCATCGGGTGGCTGCTGTGGCCTCTGTGTCAGTGCTGAGTGTCCGTCCCACTCTTCATCGGGTGGCTGCTGTGGCCTCTGTGTCAGTGCTGAGTGTCTGTCCCACTCCTCGTGGGGTGGCTGCCGTGGCCTCTGTGTCAGTGCTGAGTGTCCGTCCCACTCTTCATCGGGTGGCTGCTGTGGCCTCTGTGTCAGTGCTGAGTGTCTGTCCCACTCTTCGCGGGGTGGCTGCTGTGGCCTCCGTGTCAGTGCTGAGTGCCCCACTCTTCACGGGGCGGCTGCCTGGGCCTCCGTGTCAGTGCTGAGTGTCCGTCCCACTCTTCATGGGGTGGCTGCTGTGGCCTCTGTGTCAGTGCTGAGTGTCTGTCCCACTCTTCATGGGGTGGCTGCCGTGGCCTCTGTGTCAGTGCTGAGTGTCTGTCCCACTCTTCGCGGGGCGGCTGCCGGGGCCTCCGTGTCAGTGCTGAGTGTCCGTCCCACTCTTCATGGGCACTGGGGATACTTCCAAGTTTTGGGCAGTTCTGGAGTTGGCGTGTGGCCCCCTGTGGGTCCCTGGGACCCCTGCGGCAGTCTGAGAGGGGAGATCTACATTGACGAGCACACTAAGGTGATATTCACTGATTTCATGGAGCTGGCATTGCACGGATGTGGCAAAAGCTGCCCAAGGTGGTAAAACTGCCGGCGCCGGCGTGGGAACCAGGCAGAGGCCGGGCCGTGCTGGGCAGGGTCTCTCCCAGGGTCAATCCCTCAGCACTAAACAAAAAGCTACCTTCACTTACGAGGGAAGCAGGAGAAATGATTCCTTGTGTTGAACCCCAGGCCTGGGAGATGGGGTCTTGGGCTGGGTGGGATGAGATGAGGCCTCCAGGGAGTCCTCTGCCCAGAGGGATGACATGGCCCTCATCTCTCAGGGGAGCGTGCCTGCATCTGAGTCGTCAGCTAAAGCAGCTGCTCGTTTTCACGGACACCATATTTTGCCAGAAAGATTGACAGACAGACTGTGGTAACTTAGACCTCGGTGGCTAACAGGCATTTTCTCCAGAAGGGCGGACGAGCCTGCCTCTTCCAGCAGCAGCGGATGCTATTTGTTGCCAATGACAAAATTTAAGCTTTCAAGGAGACCCGAGGGTGTTGGAAAACGTATTCCTCCCAGAGGCTGGCGGCGTCCCCACCACAGAGACCCCTCCCTTGAGCTCTGCCATATTCTGAGGAAGGTGCTGCTCGCACTGGGTGCCAGACGTGCCGCGTCGAGACTCCCACACCCTGGGTGGCTGGGATTTCCCGGGACCTGTGTGTGCGGCTCCCAGATCACGCCCTGGCGGAAGGAGACCTCCCCGTGCATGGGTACTTTTTTCACAAAAATGTTACTTATGTAAACATGTAATTGTGTTATTTTTAAAACGGACTAATAAATATTTAAAAACTGATGGCCATGACCAACAGATGGAACCCACATAGACAAAAGCTCCAGGGTCCTCAGTAGCTGGAAGAGGGAAGTGGCCAGGCCACCGGGGCGGCCAGCGAGGCTCTGCGGGGCCATTTCGATGGTGGCATGTGGCTTTCTTCTTAATAAATGAATGATGCAGTCTCTTCACTATGTAAGGAGTCCACAGACACAGGGAGCCCCCAGGCAATGGACGTGACAATTCCCATCCTCCATACGCTCAGCGTCCACACAGACAAAGAGGGAGAGCCAAACCCCGGCTGACTATGCACAGCACCACGGCCTCCGCGAGGAAACGCAGTGCCCCCCACATTCCGGAAGCTGCAACAGGAGCCACCCGATGGCCGGCGACACTGCGGTGACTTGGGAGCGTTCGGCTCTCTGGCTGCGGAGAGGCTGACCTGGGGGTGGGTACCGTCGGGCAGGCCTGGGCCTGAAGGCTCAGCCTGCCCAGAGGAGACGATAGCATCCTGAGGGGGACGCTGAGGCCACGAGGGGTGAGCAATGTGCCCAACTCTGCAGTGTCAGGGCAGAGGTGGGACTCTGGTTCCAGAGGCGCCGCCCTCGCCAGCCCTGTTCTACATGGGGTTTCGTGAGAAATGCTAACGCCTAGAAATGTCGGGCTGTCACACCAGTGGAGCGGCCACCGAGGAGCCATCTTAAATCTCTTTATCTTAGAGTTAATGGCGGTTAATTCTCAAAGTTAAACTAAAAATTAGAAATTCACTTCTAGCTAGGATGCGCAAAAAGGCAGCAGCTCCATGCTACCACTGGGGTGTCCAAATCGCCGCCACCTGAGCCTGGGCTGTACCGGGAGCCACACGTATCAGGAACTTGGGGGGGGGGAGCTACGGGGTGGGGGCTGCAGGGCTGCTGTTGAGGCGCACACCACAATCCTGCCCTGAGGGCCTTGGCGTCTGGGGAGCCGGGCAGACCAATGCTGGGTGAAGAAAGCCCATCGCCGCCTCTGCTCACCACTAAGGGCTGACGCCACCTGACCCCGCATCCACTCATAGCCGCCTGGTTTCCAGAGACCAGAGTGGGCAAGACTCATCCCTGCCACCATGGGTCCCTCATCCCCCAGTAACTCTAAGCACACGTGTAGAGCTTTAACACGTCACACCCGATGGAAATAGCACATGGCATGAAAGGCCTTCGGGAGGCTGTATCCTGGGTGCTGTCCTGGCCTGAAGGCACCATCTTACAGCTCAGGGTCCCGCCCGGGAGAGTTCCTTATGCAGAGGCAGAGGCAGCCCAAGGTCTGGCCAGCCTCCTTCCCGCCTGCTCACTCTCCTGCTCCTGACCGCCTCAAACAGGTCACTTTTGTGGCTGTCCCTAAAGAAGGCGCTAGGAAGAACCGTGCTTTTAGTTAAGGACAAAAATTGAGGGTTGTATAAATGTCTGAAATATTAGCACCTTTTCTGGCAAAATGACAGACAGCATTCAGTTACAATTCATTCAGAGCAGAGTTCTATTCATCCATGGGATCAGTGGCAAACACCTTTGCAGGAGAAGACCCCGCTGGTCTTCAGAACCATCCGCCAATGACACATTTCCTGGCGTCACTCTGCCAGTGTACGCACCAACGCCCCGGGTGCGGCTGTATCCGGAGCTCTGCGCTAGGAATGCTGTCTCCTCTCAGGGTCAGCAGGTGCGGGCTCTCCCCATGGAGGGTCTACTGCCCGCGGGAGGGTCCTGCCCACCAATGCTGATAAGGTGCCTTGAACCACTCCAAGGTGGTGAGCTCACCTCTGCCCAAAACCAGGGCGGGGACTGTGGCAGTGATGGGAAGATGTACTTGGCTGCTCGGCCGGTTTGCAATGCGTTCACTCAAACAACAACAGCAAAAACCATGAAACGATTCTGAAAACCGGGAGTCACCGCAGGAAGGAGACGCTGCCAGACCAGCAGGTACAGATGGCGGCTCGGCTCCCAGCTTCTGAGGAGCTGGGTCAGACACAGGCCTCAGGGGCCAGGCCGTGGCAAGGACGCCTTCCCACGGCCTCAGAGCCCTGGCAGCCTTCAGGAAAGCACAGGAAGGCCAACGTGTCCTGACAGGGGCAGAGCTGCACGGGGAAGAGTGTGAGGCGGCAGGTGGACGAGCCTGGCACGCAGAGGCACTCGGGACCCCCCGCCAGGGCAGACGCAGCGGGAAAGCGGAAGCTGATCTCACCCAGCCAAATGCCGAAGAGGAAGCCAGGCCTGTGTGAGCACCTGGGAACACTGAGGGTCGGGGTCCATGGATCTTTCTGGAATGCCACTGGGCGCGTGAGCACCTGGGAACGCTGAGGGTCGGGGTCCATGGATCTTTCTGGAATGCAACTGGGCGCGTGGGCACCCTGGGAACGCTGAGGGTCGGGGTCCACGGATCTTTCTGGAATGCCACTGGGCGCGTGGGCACCCTGGGAACGCTGAGGGTCGGGGTCCACAGATCTTTCTGGAATGCCACTGGGCACATGGGCACCCTGGGAACGCTGAGGGTCAGGGATCCATGGATCTTTCTGGAATGCCAATGGGCACGTGGGCACCCTGGGAATGCCGAGGGTTGGGGTCCATGGATCTTTCTGGAATGCCATTGGGTGCGTGGGCACCCTGGGAACGCTGAGGGTCAGGGTCCACGGATCTTTCTGAAATGCCACTGGGCACGTGGGCACCCTGGGAACACTGAGGGTCAGGGATCCATGGATCTTTCTGGAATGCCACTGGGCGCGTGGGCACCCTGGGAATGCCGAGGGTTGGGGTCCATGGATCTTTCTGGAATGCCATTGGGTGCGTGGGCACCCTGGGAACGCTGAGGGTTGGGGTCCACGGATCTTTCTGGAATGCCACTGGGCGCGTGGGCACCCTGGGAATGCAGAGGGTCGGGGTCCACGGATCTTTCTGGAATGCCACTGGGCGCATGGGCACCCTGGGAACGCTGAGGGTCGGGGTCCATGGATCTTTCTGGAATGCCACTGGGCGCGAGGGGCTCTCTGGGGGCCCGTGTGTCTAGCAGTCAGACTTCAGATCCAAGCGGGATGGGGGAGCCCTCCAGGAAGAGGGGTGTGAGCCCGAGATCCCCTGAGGCTTCCTGCACCTCCCACAGGATAAGGCTGGCATGCCTGGCAGGGAGCCTCGGTGTCTTTGCAGAACAGGAAGAAGCTCGTGAGGAGGACGAGAGGCCTGGGCCACCACTGCCTTCTGGAGGCTCCTCCAACCTGTCCAAAAACTTCCCCTGGACACCAAAGTGCTCCGTCACTTTCAAGGCTCAGACCTCAGCACTGCCTCTGGCTTCAGGAAAGCCTGTGTCCCCAAGCTGAGGACACATCCTCCAGCTCCCACCCAAGCTCCGAGGCCGCATCCTCCAGCTCCCACCCAAGCTCCCTGAAGCCGCATCCTCCGGCTCCCACCCAAGCTCCCTGAGGCCGCATCCTCCAGCTCCCACCCAAGCTCCGAGGCCGCATCCTCCAGCTCCCACCCAAGCTCCCTGAAGCCGCATCCTCCGGCTCCCACCCAAGCTCCCTGAGGCCGCATCCTCCAGCTCCCACCCAAGCTCCGAGGCCGCATCCTCCAGCTCCCACCCAAGCTCCCTGAGGCCGCATCCTCTGTCTCCCACCCAAGCTCCAAGGCCGCATCCTCCAGCTCCCACCCAAGCTCCGAGGCCGCATCCTCCAGCTCCCACCCAAGCTCCGAGGCCACATCCTCCAACTCCCACCCAAGCTCCCTGAGGCCGCACCTCCGGCTCCCACCCAAGCCCACCCAAGCTCCCTGAGGCCGCATCCTCCAGCTCCCACCCAGGCTCCCTGAGGCCGCACCTCCAGCTCCCAATCTTGCTCCCAGCTGACAGGCAAAGTCCACATCTGCCAGTGGAAGTCCCCTGCGGCTTCCAACAGTGAGAACTGCTCTGTGCTGGCAAATCTGCATAAAAATGCACACAAACATCCACACCCAGGCACACATCTCCACGCGTGAACACACACACATGTGCACACACATCCGTGGAGCACAGCCACATGCATGAGCCCTACACACGTCACACATGTTCTCACTCATGCTCTCACTCATGCTCACATATGCAACCATGTACGCGAGCACACCTTATGCACACACATCCACAACTGTGTGACGCACGCCCCACGCACATCTGCACCAGGTCTGCACACACACGGACACCCACGCAACATCTGCACATTCAAACCCAGGCACACACACGCATGCCTTAAACACATCCACACCCACATAGACACACTGCATTTGGAGGCCCCGATATTGCCAGAAAGATCCATAACACACAGTCCCCGTAGGTCCCTCGTGAGCAAGTCTGATAAGAAAGTATTTTGCATATTGGAAAAAACCTTTTTTGGAAAAAGATAACAGAATTACTTATTACTCTCAGCTGCTTTTTTCATGTCATGAAAAGGGCAGGAGAAGGTGCAGTTTGCACACAAGTGCAGGACACACAGATACATGTGCACACACAAAAACACTATGCACACAAGAACACACACGTGCACACACAGATGCACACGTGCACACACAGATGCACAGGTGCACACACAGATGCACTCGTGCACACACACTCGTGCACATGTGCACACACACAGACGCATACGTTCACACACAGACGCACCTGTGCACACAGATGCACAACACACACGTGTACACACAGGTATGGTACACACACTCTGGATGCACACAGAATGCACACACTCATGCCCAGCACAAACTGGCACACACAGACACGCAGATGCACCAGAGACTGGGAGGGTGGAGACGCCACCTTCCCGGCCGGGTTCATCCAGCAAACAGCATGTTCCATACCTGGGAGGGAACGAGATGTCCAGTTCATACAGTCTGTCCTTAAAGACAGACAACTCCTTGTCAAACTCCAAGAGCTAAAGAAAAGAAAGAGCAGAAAATAAAGTCACATTGGTTTTCCTCGCTGGGGGCACGTGTGTCTGTGTGCAGCTGGGACGCTCAAATGCTCGGTGTGACATCTGCTCTTCCCAGAGCCGCCACATCTGTCACCAGAAAGCTCTGTGGTGCCAGCAGGCTCTGGTGTTCGCCTGCCTCTGCTGCAGACAGTGGGACCTGCCCTGCCCGTTATAGATGTGCTCTGCCCACCCATAAAGCTTTCTCTGTTGGTGACGCCAGAGAAGCACTCATGGCCTCGGGCACTGCCGTGGCAGCCCCAGTAGCAGCCCCTCTCGGCCTCTCCTCCCTAGTGCTGGCTCCCCCAGCAGAGGGAACACAGCTCCTGTCCTGCCCAGAGTGTCAAGTAACCTGCAGAGTGAGCAATGTCAGCTTTGTGAGAACAGGTCAGGGAAAATGGCCCCAAGGTGCACACTGGTGAGATTCTGGCAGCAGTTCGGGGGCAAAATGTTCATTCTCACATGCACGGGAGGCAGCAAATGGCCTTGCCCCCTGAGACTCTTCCAAAACAAGCCCCAGGCGGGCATCACCTCCCACACCTGCAGGACTGGCCCACCGTGTTTCTGAGCGGTCACCACACACACCCTCCCACCCCTGCAGGACTGGCCCGACCATGTTCCTGAGTGTCACCACGCACACCCTCCCACCGCAGCAGGACTGACCCGGTCGTGTTTCTGAGTGTCACCACGCACACCCTCCCACCCCTGCAGGACTGGCCCGGCCGTGTTCCTGAGTGTCACCACGCACACCCTCCCACCGCAGCAGGACTGACCCGACCGTGTTCCTGAGTGTCACCACGCACACCCTCCCACCCCTGCAGGACTGGCCCGACCGTGTTCCTGAGTGTCACCACGCACACCCTCCCACCACAGCAGGACTGACCCGGCCGTGTTTCTGAGTGTCACCACACACACCCTCTCAACCCTGCAGGACTGGCCCGACCGTGTTTCTGAGTGTCACCACGCACACCCTCCCACCGCAGCAGGACTGGCCCGACCGTGTTCCTGAGTGTCACCACACACACCCTCCCACCACAGCAGGACTGACCCGGCCGTGTTTCTGAGTGTCACCACGCACACCCTCCCACCCCTGCAGGACTGGCCCGTGTTCCTGAGTGTAACCACGCACACCCTCCCACCCCTGCAGGACTGGCCCGGCCGTGTTCCTGTCACCATGCACACCCTCCCACCCCTGCAGGACTGGCCCGACCGTGTTCCTGAGTGTCACCACACACACCCTCCCACCCCTGCAGGACTGACCCGACCGTGTTTCTGAGTGTCACCACGCACACCCTCCCACCGCAGCAGGACTGACCCGACCGTGTTCCTGAGTGTCACCACACACACCCTCTCAACCCTGCAGGACTGGCCCGGCCATGTTCCTGTGCGGTCACCATGCACACCCTCTCTGGTGCTATTCATTAGTCATGGCCCCACAGCTGTGCAGGGCATGGCATTGAGCTAGAGCTCCCTCAAAACCACACCATATCCCAGCTCTTCCTGTGACCTCGTCCATTATCCCTGAAATGGGCAATCAGCAGCCTCATGCACACAGTCATTACCCTGTGCCAGGCTGCTACCTGAGCCACCGGCCCAGGCCTCCTGCCTGGAGCACAGGCGTTCACAGCCCCACTGCCTCCTGCCTCCTAAGAGGGTACAGCTCCAGTTCCCCTTCCAGGGAGCAACTCCCTCCCTCCAGCACCCACAGCCTCTGGGAAGGGCCCCAAGTCAGCTCCTAAATGGGGTGGGGATGCAGCGGAGGCCTCGGGAGACGGATGCCCCTCCTCAAAGGCAGAGTAGGGGCATGGGCTCTGGAGCAATTCTGCACATGCGTGTTTATGTGTACACAGGCATGTGTTTGCATGCAGGCACGTTTATGCATGCACAGGCATGTGTGTGTTTGCATGCAGATGTGTTTATGCGTGTACAGGCATGTGTGTTTGCATGCAGGCATGTGTTTATGTGTGCAACGGCATGTGTGTTTGTATGCAGGCATGTGTGTGCATGCAGGCACATGTTTATGCATACACAGGCATGTGTGTGTTTGCATGCAGGCACGTGTTTATGTGTGCACAGGCATGTGTGTGTGCATGCAGGCATGTTTATGTGTGCACAGGCATGTGTGTGTTTGCATGCAGGCATGTTTATGTGTGCACAGGCATGTGTGTGTTTGCATGCAGGCACATGTTTATGTGTGTGTGCATGCAGGCACGTGTTTATGTGTATGCAGGCATGTGTGTCTTTGCATGCAGGCATTTACTCAGATACATTCACACACAGGCCTATAAACACGCATCATCTCTAGGTCATTCTGGAGCTTGAGTTTGAGGCTTCCCCACATCAGAGATGCAGCAGCGTCCCCAGTCCAGCGTGGGCCCTGCTGGCTTCTCAGGTGTGGAGGTGAGGAGGCAGCAGGGAGGCTGCCAGCGCTAGGTGCCATGCGGTTCTTGGCTCTGCAGGCACCAGCTATGAGACTAGGAGCCCAGATTTCCCTAAGGCCTGCCCAGGAGCATCTATGAGATCTGCTGAGAGTCAGAAAGGAGCCACTGCCATCCTGTGGCTTTCACCAAAATGCTGATGGCAGGTTCCCTGAATCTCTATGATACAACATGTTTCGAGATTTCAGGAAGGCACTGGCAGGAGGGGATCAGATCTCCCCTGCACCACCAAACCCTCTCATTCCTCCCAGTGTAACTCAGACCTTTCAAGAATCCCAAGTATGGTTTTTAAGTTATTTATTTATTTATTGAAACAGAGTCTCCCTCTGTCACCCAGGCTGGAGTGCAGTGATGTGATCTCGGCTCACTGCAACCTCTGCCTCCTGGGCTCAAGTGATTCTCCTGCCTCAGCCTCCCGAGCAGATGGAATTACAGGCGTGTGCCACCACTCCTGCTAAGTCTTTATTTTTTGTAGAGACGGGGTCTTGCCACATTGCCCTGGCTTGTCTGAGACTACTGGCCTCAAGCAATCCTCCTGCCTCGGCCTCCCCAAGTGTTCTACCGTGCCCAGCCCCAAGTATGTTTCTATATTACCGCCATGCATGAGTCCACAAAAAGCAGCTCGCCTCAGCCTACATGTTTTTAAGCTTTACACAAATGTTCTTCTTCCTTCTTCATCCCACCCTGCTCCAGAAGCTCAGCTACTCCTGGTTCTCTGTGGGACCTGCTGGTGGGGCTGTGTCTCTCCATCGCCAGGTACTGTCTTTATGGTGGCCAGTGTTCTGAAGGCTGACTTGGCTGCTGAGAGAACTCTAAGTGTGTGGGTGGGGTTTTCCACCAGCTCTTTGACTGAACGCCTCCACTTCTCCTGGTGTGTATTTTTGTGGTTGTTCTGGAAACCCGCCGCCACTTGCATTCTTATGTAATAGGACATTTTTCCCACAATGCTTCAAAAATATTCTCTTCGTCTTTGATGTTCCGCTGTTTCACTCTGACATGTCTGTGTGTGGATTTACTTCCATTCCTCCTGCTCAGGACTCACCATGCTTCCTGAGGTTTATGTCTTGGATAATTCTGGAAAACGCCCAGCCATTGACTCTCCAGTGTGCCCCTCGTGGACCCTCACTGCGCAAGCGCTGGGCTCTTCCCTCCTCTCCCAGCCCCGACCCTCCTGTCCCATCCTGCCACGTTTCTGTGCTGCATTCTGGGCCATTCCCCAGGCCTGCCATCCCATTCCTCAATCCCTTCTCCAGCTGTGTCTACTCCGGCACTTAATTCATCCCTGGAGCTTTTAATTTTAATGATAATACTTCTATGAGTCCTACTTTTTTTTATCTGTTGGGATTTTTTTCATAGTGTGGTACTTATGTTTCTAATTCTGTCATGCTTTTAATAATTTACAATATTATAATTTGTATCAATTATTCGATGATTTGGCATTATTGACGGTCTGTCCTGCCTTTGTTGTATTTCTGGACTCTTGCTATCTGTGGAATGTGTCCTTACGTGGTTCACAGTTTGCAACTGTAAGATCGTCTTTGGTGGGTCTTGATTTTTGGGAATTTTTTTAGTTGTGACAATGAATGTGGACCTGCCCTCCAAAGTGACCGACTGGGTCCCTGCACCGCACTGGCCTCCCACAGCTTGGAGTCACCCAGGGTGACTGTTTATGGCTCTTCTCAGCAAGCCTCCGCATGGCACCCCCAGGCTCCGCCCCACCGTGCTGTCCCCCACCAGCCATGCCATCCTCAGCAAGCTTCCTCGTGGCACCCCCAGGCTCCTCCCCCACAGGTGCTGCTCACCTGCTGAGCACACTATTCCCAGGCTCCTCCCCACCATGCTGTCCCCTGCCACCCCCAGAGCTCCATGGCAGGGATGTGTCTGTCTGTCTTGTTAACCCAGAGCAGGGCCTGGCTCAGAGCAGGCACCCAGAGTGCTGTCAAATGAACACATGCCCCCACAGTGCACTGCAGTGCCTTTCCTGTTCCCAGCGTGTGGTCTCCAGACAATCTAGGCATTTGCTTTCTTTCTCACATCAAGTTACTGCCTCAATGACACTCCAGTAAAACTTGAAAAGCTGGAGATGCAAGTTCATAGAAGTCTCAGGGGCCCGTGCCACCCAGAGACGGGCATGTGGCACCCGAAGACGCCATGACCTCTGCAGAGCACACCAGGGAGTCGAGGTCGAACCAGACGTGGCACGAAGCCTGGCGGTCCCAGCACATTTTTAGTCTAAGAATCCAAAGAGCCTGGCTTTGTGTTTTGCTTTTGCCAAGTGTGTATTTATATTATGCGGATGCAAACTCTTTCTGAAATTCCCCCTGGAAACGAGATGCTCTCACCAGATGCCAAATTCTTTCTCTGAAAGTGGGTCCCTCTCCCCGCGTTTACAGTGGAAACACTGCCTGCTGTGTCCCGAGATGCAGGGCGGTGGGCCTGTCTGCCACAGAGTTAGACCTGGGGCTTCTCCTCAAACTCCCCTCAGGAAGACAGTGGACAAAGGACCGCCCAGGAAGGACAGGCCCAGCTGTGCAGATGGGAAACCGAGCGTCCTCCTGCCTTGACCTGGGCCATGGGAGAGAGGGGCCCGGGCGTCATGAGGAAGCACACGCTGCGCCACAGTCACCCCGTACCAGAGATGGGCACAGAGGAAAGGAGAGTCCTCAGCAAAGCTCCCGCTCAGGTGAGCCAGAATGACAGCTCTGCTGTGTGGGGCCCTCCGATGCCACGTCCTTAATGAAGTTGTCCCGGATCAGCATTCCTCCAACCTTCTGCAGTGACCCCAGAGCTTTCACAGCTGTGGGGGACGCAGTCCTGGACAGCACCAAAGTGCAGGGGCACAGATGGCCTCTTGCAATGAGGGCTCTGCTCACAGCGGGCCCACAGCTCTCATGGAGCACTCAGGGAGCTCTGGAGCCCAGAAGGACCATCGCCCCTCGCAGGCGTGCGGCACAGCGTCCGACCCTGGCTCTGCCTCCAGCAACCACCAGCACCCCTCAAGTCCTCAGCACCCCCAGTCCTCGGTGCTGGCCCTGTGCCTGTCTGGGCTGCAGCCAGGCCCGGGCTGTGCCTTACCACGTAGGCCTTTGAGGGCCTGGGGCTGCTGGGGCTGCTCCACCTCCTAGAAGCAGCAGGTGCTGCAGAGAGGCTGGGCATGTGAGCAGAGGGAACGAGTAGCTGGAGCTCTTGGCCGACATGAATTCGTTTAGCTTCAGAGAGCAGAGCACCGGGCTTCCTGCACGGTGTGGCTATCGCCCAGGGTGGGTCATCCCTGCCTCTGGCCGCCAGGGTCCACGGCGTGGGGTCTGTGAGCACGGTGCTGCGTGGCTGAGCACCGAAGTCGTGAGGCCGCAGCCCTGAGTGAGTGTCCCCAGCCTGGTGAATGCACCGGGCACAGTGAGCACGGGACTGCGCATCAAGGGGCACGTGAACAAGAAGAGGGAGAACAGGCCCAGGGGACTCTGAACAGGGCCGGGGGGCTCTGAGGACGCCAGGGCTACCTCCATGGGCTGGCGTGGGCATGGGGCCGGGGCTCCTGCAGGGTGAGGGGGTCACTGATGCTTACGGCCGGGGCTCCTGCAGGGTGAGGAGGGCGCCGGGCCATAGAACACAGACTGTTCACTGTAGCCGGACCCCCGAGAGCCCCCCACCACCTCCCTTCCCGAGAGCTTCGATGTTAGCAGGAATGGGGGTGCCTGGGGACACACCCTGACGTGGAGCCCCACCTACTGGAACTTCCGATGCTGGGCCCCTCCGGCTACCACAGCACAGCAGCGAGCGAAGCCCCAGGCAGCCCCTAACGCCTGTTGGTGCAGGTTCTGGAAGCCGGAAATCCCAGGCTGAGGTGTTTCTGAACCATTCCAGGCCTGTGCACCCTTTGCAAGTTCCTGAGGCAGAAGCCACGGAGTGTGGCCACAGCTTCTGTCTGGCATGAGGCGCCTCAGGGGATAAGATCCCCGACCCTCCTCTGTACACTCGTGGGTGGAGAGACCTTTGCCCAGATCAGGATTCTGAGGACCCCTCACTACCCCGGGGGTCTTCCCTGGTGCATCCAAGCTGGCACTGAGGGGCCTGGGGACTTCCTGTCCCCCTAAGGACACTGTTGGTCCCTGGGGGCTCTGAGCGTGTGGACGGGCATGGCCTCACTGAGGCCTGGGCCACGCTGACCTGCTGCACACTCAGGGCCTCAGTCAGAAGCATACCATGCACAGTGCTCTGGAAATCAGAACTCCGCCTTCGGGGAGAAAAGTCTCTGCAACTCCTCGCCCTAAATGTAAACAGAGTTCAATATCACTGTTGGCTGAACCAATGATTTGCATTGACAGGGAAACGTGATGGCAGAAAAATTAAAAACCCAGCTTTCCGATCCTTTTCAGGAGGAACGCGGGTCTGAATCCAACTGACGAAACCCGACGCTCAGGAGACAGGGCCGCCGGACACCGTGGGAGAGTCCCACAGCCACAGGAGACCCCACGTGGGCCACATCCACAGATGGCAGCTCCCAGCCTTGTGCTCCTCATGAGAGGAGACAAAGGACGGTCTAAGGCTTTTCAGCAGCTCTGGGGGTCCTTCCTCAGCACCTGCCCATAGATAAGACAGTCCATGACAATAGGAAAACAGCCGAGCTGGGGTCAGCTGGGGACCCATTCCATGGTGCTGTGCTGTCGGGTCAGCTGGGGACCCACATCATCGCACTGGCCCATGGGGTCAGCTGGGGACCCAACGACATTGCACTGGCCCATAGGGTCAGCTGGGGACTCAGGTCATGGCACTGGGCTGTGGGGTCGGCCGGGCACCCACGCCATGGTGCTGGGCTGTGGGGTCAGCCAAGGACCCACGACATCGCACTGGCCTGTGGGGTCAGCCAAGGACCCACACCACGGCACTGTGTTGTGGGGTCAGCCAGGGACCCACAACATTGCACTGGCCTGTGGGGTCGGCCGGGGACCCACGCCATGGTGCCGGGCTATGGGTGTGGGGTCAGCCAGGGACCCACAACATCGCACTGGCCTGTGGGGTCGGCCGGGGACCCACGCCATGGTGCCGGGCTGTGGGGTCAGCCAGGGACCCACGACATCGCACTGGCCTGTGGGGTCGGCCGGGGACCCACGCCATGGTGCCGGGCTATGGGTGTGGGGTCAGCCAGGGACCCACAACATCGCACTGGCCTGTGGGGTCGGCCGGGGACCCACGCCATGGTGCCGGGCTATGGGGTCAGCCAAGGACCCACGACATCACACTGGCCTGTGGGGTCAGCCAGGGACCCACACCACGGCACTGTGTTGTGGGGTCAGCCAGAGACCCACAACATTGCACTGGCCTGTGGGGTCGGCCGGGCACCCACGCCATGGTGCTGGGCTGTGGGGTCAGCCAAGGACCCACGACATCGCACTGGCCTGTGGGGTCAGCCGGGGACCCACACCACGGCACTGTGTTGTGGGGTCAGCCAGGGACCCACGACATCGCACTGGCCTGTGGGGTCGGCCGGGCACCCACGCCATGGTGCTGGGCTGTGGGGTCAGCCAGGGACCCACGACATCGCACTGGCCTGTGGGGTCGGCCGGGGACCCACGCCATGGTGCCGGGCTGTGGGGCTCGGCTTTCCAGCCTCTCTGCTCCGCTGTGGTCCAGCCCTCAATAGCCACCAAGTCATCCTTCCAGGCTGTTTGGCAAGGGTTCTGCACACACACAGTCACGTGTCACGGAACGACGGGGATACGGTCTGAGAAACGCACCCTTAGGCGATTTCGCTGTGGGACATCACAGCGCGTGTACGCTCCACGCCTGGGCTGTACAGTGGGAGGCCCGTGGCTCCAGGGCTGCAGACCCGCACAGCAGGCCACCGACCACCGCAGGTGGCGTAACACACTGTAAGTACCTGCGCATCTGAACATACCTAAACGTAGAGAGGGAACAGTAAAAACAAGGTCTAAAGAAGAAAAAGCGTGCACCTCTGCGGAGCCCCGCTCGCGAAGGGAGCTGGCAGGGCTGGGACGGGCTCGGGGTGAGCTGGTGAGCGGGCGGGGGTGAGCGGGAAGGCCTGGGATCAACTGTGCACTGCAGACTTTAGAAATGCCCAGCGCTGAGAGTAACAGAATGTCAGACTTTATAAATACGGAACGCTGAGACGCTAAGAGTAACATAATGTACTGAAATGTATTTTCTCGTAATAAGTTAACCTTAACTTATTGTAACTTTTTTACTTTATAAACTTTAACATTTTTCAACTTTTTCACTCTTTTGTCAAATAGTACTTGGCTTAAAACACATTGTATAGCTGTATAAAATATTGTTTATATATTCTATAAACTTTTTGCCTATTCTTTATATTTAATATTTCAAAATCTTAAAACATTTTTTGATAACAATGAAGACAACGACACAGACATGAGCCTAGGCCCGCACAGGGTCAGGATCATCGACGTTCCTCTCTGCCGCCTCTGCGTCCCACGGAAAGGCCCTCAGGGGCAACCACCCGCATGCAGCCTCATCTCCTGTGATAACGGCGCCTTCTTCTCCGTGGACCTGCCTGAAGGACCTGCCTGAGGCTGTTTACAGGTACCTTTTTTTATTAAGTAGAAGGAGTGCATTACAGTAATGGTAAGAAGTGTGGGAGAAGAAACGCAGACACCAGTAACACAGTTGTTTGTTGTTGCTCTGAAGTACGACACACTGCGCATCCCTGAGTGTGCCAGACTCTCCCACAGCAGGCGGCGCAGCGGCTCCTTCACACCAGTGCCGCCACGCTGTGATGTCACAACAGTTACATCACACAGCGAGAGGAAGCTTTCAGTCCTATCGTCAGATTATCAAACCTTAGTCACATATGTAGTCTGTTGTTGACTGAAACGACATTATGTGACGTGACTGTATACACACACGCACACACACAAGTGCATACAAGTACACGCACACATACACACACACGAGTGCACACGTGTACACACACATGCATACACCACACACGAGTGCACACATGCATACACACATACACCACACACACTAGTGCACATGCACACGCATGCGTACACACCACACACGTGAGTGCACACATGTACACGCATACATACACCACACAAAGTGCACACATGTACACGCACACACATATGTGTACACACACACACTCCCCCCCCACACTTGCTTTTCTCTTCAATTCCTGACCGGGCCGAGGAATTCCAGGCCAGGCGGATTCTGAGTGTGTTGCCATCTTTACTTCTGAGCTGCAAATCTGACCACCCAATGATGGGGTCCCTATGAGCAGCTCTGGGGATGCCTCCCTGGGGCCCAGGCAGAGGCGACTCCACACTGTTTGGTGTGTGCACAGGTGTGCCTGGACATATGTCTGAGGGCTGTGTGTGCCAGGTACATGTGCCAAACGTTTGTGTCTGGATACGTGTATGGCTGGACTGCAGGGGATGGCTTCACTGTCACCACTGAACACTCCCCAGTCTTCCTCAGTCTCCAAGAGAGACCTGCAGAGCCGTGTCAGGCCCCTGGAGCCTCCTCTGGGGTCAGCACCTGCTCCTGGGTGGCCAGGACCTCCCTCAGGCCTCAGCGGCTGCCGCTAGGGTCTGCCTAAACTTTCTAACTAAAAAGCAAACCACCCCCCACACACACCCACTCACATGCACACACCTGCTCACGCTCATGCATGCACACGCCTGCTCACACACACACACACACCCACTCACTCATATGCATATGCCTGCTCACACACACTCGCTCACACCTGCTCTCATGCACACACCCACTCATATGCATATGCCTGCTCACACACTCGCTCACACCTGCTCTCATGCACACACCCACTCATATGCGTATGCCTGCTCACACACACTCGCTCACACCTGCTCTCATGCACACACCCACTCATATGCATATGCCTGCTCACACACACTCGCTCACACCTGCTCTCACGCACACTCCCACTCATATGCATGTCTGCTCACACACACGCTCACACAGCTCACACACTCGCCCACTCAAATGCATATGCATACACGCTCACACACACGCTCATGAAGGCTCACATGCACACACCTGCTCACACCTGCTCATGCATGTACACGCCTGCTCACACATGCACACACCCGCTCATGTGCATATGCCTGCTCTCACACATGCTCACACACGCTCATATGCATATGCTTGCTCACACATGCTGACACACCTGCTCACACGCCAGCTCACACACTTGCCTGCTCACATGCATATGCACATATGATCACACACACGCATATGATCACACACATGCATACGATCACACACACGCATACTCACACAGGCTCACATGCATATGCCTGCTCACACACGTCCGCACACATGCCTGCTTATACACACACTTGCCCATTCACATGCATATGCACGCACACTCATGCATACTCCTACAGGCTCACATGCATATGCCTGCTCACACACATATCCACGCACACACGCTGACACACACTCCAATAGGAACAACCCCAAGGCAAGTTGTGGGGAAGCTGGAAAACTCCAGGAAGAAGGAGCAGGCTGGGGCTGCCCAAGGTTTTCGGTGGCTGGGGGCCCCCTCCTTCCCATGGGGACTGAATGGGATTCCTCGGCCGGCATCCTGCCTGGGTGGTGGTGTTTCAGGACTGCTCAGTGGACCAAGGCCACTTTCCCACCCTGTCTTCTGAGTTAGAAGGCCCCCAGTTTTGGCAGTGCAAAGTAAAAATAAAAGGAAATTCGTGTGTGGTTTGAAGTGAACTTGAACCTTCAAGCTGCTTAAACGGTACTGGAGCCAGGGGTGGAGGGGTGAGGGCCCCAGGCTGTCCTCTGTCCACTGTGATGCCCCAGGCCCATAGGTGCTCGCCCCCACACACTGACCAGCCCTGAGCCTGGTGCCTGAGAGAAAACCCCAGGGCAGTCCGGCTGGGAATCCCCATCGCTCACTCGTGAGGCTGTCTCCTGACAGAGGTGTCCTGGCCTGGGCCTGCCTCCATCCTCATTGGACACGGGCTCACCGTGCTGCTCCCACGTCGGCACTGTGCCAGACACTCCAAACACGCGGTCTTTACCCCACGGGTCTTCCCACCTACAGGGCAGGCAGAGGTACACACGACCATGATACAAACGCAAGGCTGCGCAGGGACCATGGCGGCCAGGTGGCGGGGGGATCCTGTGTGGCGGGAGGGTCCTGGCATGTCCCTGCTCAGCCACTGGTTCTGAGAAGTCGGAGGGAGCCTCACCCTGCATGGCTGGCATGGGGGCTGTTGCCCCCGGAATGATGTGGGTGAGGGCCCCTGCTGCGGCTGGAACAAAATACCAGACAGGAGAGGTTTCTGATTAGAAACTGCGCACGTTGCTGTTGAATTGATAATTTGTATCTCTCTGAGATTTTTCACAAACATGATCACCAATTTCGCATGGTCTCCCACATTCTTCTTGATTACAAAGTGAAGGCAGGCAGGGCCGTGTGGACAATGACAAGGCAGCGGCTGATCCTGCCCATCTGTCAGGAGCTGTCCCGGCCGCCGCTCACGCCACTCCTGCAGAGACACTGGCGCTGATAAAGGAAAGAGGCCCAGAAAATCAATGCACCTGGGGCTACAGCGGTTGCTAAACACACAGAAAACACCTCCCTCCAAGAGGCCGGTGCTGCGGAAACTCCCAAGCCCGGCCCTGGGACAGCCGAGGAAAATTTAATCTCTCCAAATCCTCACCAGGGCACTCCATCCTGCAGCCCTGACAGCTACACTTATAATTAATTATACAATTTCGATGGGAATATCGACTAAACAAAGCTATAAATCATAGAAAAAGTCAATAGGCATGGACACATTCAATCATGTCCCGGCCAATGATTACTACTCTTAAAATACAATAATTATTTTCAGGAGCCAGCCTGAATTAAATTTCTGTCAGACGGGTACAAGACCGGCGGTTGATGAAGGATGCAATGGACTTGGGGCTGCGACCGGCGCAGGCACATCCATCCTGCGGACGGAGAGTTTGCTCTCCATGGCTGCGGTGCTGTGTGTTTAACCGGACCGTGGAGATGGGATTATCTCCCCAGGCTCCCCGTCCGACCACCTTGACCCTCCGTCGATGGGGACAACTGCCAATTTCTGGGCACAACTGACTCGGCATGCCGGCACCTCGGGCAAGTGCGAGGGCACCCGGGTCAGCAGGAACCCATGGGGCGTTCCCGAAGGTGCCGTCGTCCCAGGCCCCAAACAGAGAGGATCTGAGTAGCAGGACAGGAACGCCGAGGCATCGGCTCTTCTCATGAGAAACAGCCTCAGAAGGCGCCTCCTGAGCTCAGGCCGCCTTTCCACATGGGACTCCCGACGTATCGACACAGTGCACCAGGCCTCCGCAATCACACCGGGTGCCTCACGTGGCTTCAACCCCACAGCGTGTTTTCATTCAGAACCAAATCCAAAAGTTCTCTCAAATATTCAGATTAATTTTCCTCTAAAGGTAGGAAACACTGTACGGTATGGTGGCTACCGACAGCAGGGGCGTGCTCTGTGTCAAAATGCTGAGAGAAAAGGAGGACTTTGGATCCACATGAAAGACAATTGCTCCCAGATGCTCTAGACACACCCCTCCATGCCGCACCGCCTCCACGCCGCACCCCCTCCATGCCGCACCCCCTCCACGCCCCGTGCCCCTCCACGCCCCGTGTCCCTCCATGCCACACCCCACTCCATGCCACACCCCACTCCATGCCACACCCCTCCATGCCACACCTCCTCACCACTCCCCTCCACGCCACACCTCCTCGCCACGCCCCTCCACGCCACACCTCCTCCACGCCACGCCCCTCCACACTGCACCCCTTCCACTCTGCACCCCTCTCCATGCCACACCCCCCTCCACGCCACAGCCCCCTCCACATCACACGCCCCTCCATGCCGCACCCCACTCCACGCAGCCCCGGCTGGGAACTGTCCCCTGCCACCACCCTACCTGTGGCTGAGGGAGCCTCCCTCTTCCCTGTCTCCTAGCTCCTTCCAAAACATTCCATCTCCCTGGGCTTCCCTGGCATCCTCCTCCAAGGGACCCTCCACTTTTTCATGCCCTGTGCAAGGTCCCCGGAGACTTTGCTCCCCTGGCACTGAGGAGCCAGCTCTGCTAGGGACCCTGAAAGCACCTCCTCCAAACGACGGCAGCCCTGTCTCCCTCCTGGGCACCTGCCTCCACCCAGACGCCTCCTGGGCACCCGCCTCCACCCAGACACCTCCTGGGCACCCGCCTCCACCCAGACGCCTCCTGGGCACCCCCCTTCACGCAGACGCTTCCTGGGCACCTGCCTCTACCCAGACGCCTCCTGGGCACCCGCCTCTACCCAGACACGTCCTGTGCACCCCCTTTCACGCAGACGCCTCCTGGGCACCCGCCTCTACCCAGACACCTCCTGGGCACCCGCCTCCACCCAGACACCTCCTAGGCACCCGCCTCCATCCAGAGACCTCCTGGGCACCCGCCTCCACGAAGGCACTTCCTGGGCACCTGCCTCCACCCAGACACCTCCTGGGCACCTGCCTCCATCCAGACACCTCCTGGGCACTCGCCTCCACGAAGACACCTCCTGGGCACCTGCCTGCACCCAGACACCTCCTGGGCACCTGCCTCCACCCAGACACCTCCTGGGCACTCGCCTCCACGAAGACACCTCCTGGGCACCTGCCTCCACGAAGACACCTCCTGGGCACCTGCCTCCACCCAGACATCTGTGCTCCCCAGGCTCTCCCTGCTCCCCACTGACGAGGCCGGGATGCGCCACCCGGGAGTGTCCTGTAGCTGGAAGCATCCTGGAGCCCAGAGTCCCGCAGGCAGAGCCAGAGAGGGGCAGCGGGAGCCACAGACAGGCGGCCCCACCAGGCCCTGGAGGCTTGAGAAGGAGAGGGGAGGGTGCCTCCCACACATGGCGCAGGAGGAAACCCAGCCTGCCTGGATGGAGAGAAGCGGAGGAAACCTTAGGCTTGCCCAGGCTGATGGGGCCATGTGGGGACAGGACACCAAGGCCTGACCCGACCCCAGTGGGGGAAAGGACCATGGGCTCCTGCAGCAGGTGACAGGGACGGGCACAGGAGGCCCAGGCACCACGGAGGTGTGGGCGTCACGGGAGCCTCGGGCTCTGGGTTGATGAGGGGCAGGAGGCAGAAGTGACTTCCCAAGAAGACAGGAGCGTGGGGTCTGGGGGCCGTTGGGGAGGCAGCGAATGCCATCCTGGAGTGGAGGTTCTGGGCCTGGGACTCGGGGCTGGCAGCGTCCGCTGGGCTGGGCGTGCCCCTCTGTCTGGCACTGAGAGACCCCAGCTCTTCCTAAGCACTTTGCATGCACTCACCCATAAGCCCCCAAACCCCACGAGGGGAAACTGACACACAGACACCTGGCTGGCCCAGGATGCTAGGATGTGAACGCGGCTGCAGTGTCCTGGGTCTACCCGCCTGTGCTCCCTCACCTCTCCCCCGGCCACTCCCCAGACAGCTTCCTGAGGACAGGGGCCACCTGCCCTGACGCAGCGCCAAGGGAACCATAGCTGGCTCGGGAGCGCCCTAGGAACTGATGCCGAGGTTTCCAGATCTTGGATGCTGGCTCGTTGCACACGGCATCACGTGTGGCTTGGAATCGCCACAGTGGGCGTGTTTACAGAAATCGGCCGAGGCCGCATATGGGGCCCAGCCAGCTGCTGCGTGATTCCTGGTTCTTTGCGCTGATAAACATTTGTAAATACATTAAAAATGGGACAAAAGTAGACCACAATAAAAAATAAAAATTGTAAAGAGAGTGTGTAGGCCGCCCCTCAGCGCTCGCCTACACTGATCCCTTGAAGGGAAGACTCACGATTTCAAAACCAACAGCAGGTCCAGCAGCCGGGGCTGTCTCTCACTGGCAGGGGCCACCTCTCCGTGGACCGACCTGAGCCGCACATTCCCATTGACACGCACTTGTTTACACACGTGCTCATGGACATACAGCGGCACACCCACCCCACAGAGGCAGATACGCACTCACGTGCACATGTGCACACGCATGCACTAGAGCACACACACGTGCTCACACACAGACCCACACACAGCAAGTCTAGCGACAGGAGTGTGAGGAACCTGCTCCCTTCAGTCTCCCACTTCAGAGTGAGGCCCGAGGCCCGGCCGGTTCACTCTGAGACAAGGGGCTTTCCTCCCCACCCCACAGCACCAGCGTCTCCCCTCGCACACGGGGGGATCTCTGAAGCTGATGGGTCGAGTGTCATGCTGCCCGTGGACAGGACAGTGATACGGAGCCTCCACCCAACCTGGCCCGGGGTGCCGGACGCACCCAATATGTGTCCCCAGCAGTCTGACTTGCACTGGCTCAGAACTGAGTCCTGGAGGTGGCAGGGACAAGGCAGGGTGGTCCCAGGTAAGCAGAGGTAATGGGAAGGCCTGGGGGCGTGGATGTCCCAGGACGGGGGAGCTGCCACATTGGACCACAAACTCACCGCGGTGCCGTTGTTGTCTCGGAAAACCTCCTGGTTGAAGTAGTCGAAGAGTTTCTTTTCTAACTGGAGCATAACCTGTGAAGTCAGAGTGGCCCATGAGCACCTGAGCTCCCCCAGCCTTGTGCGTGTCCCCTAGCCCCCACCGAACCGGGCAGGCAGGGCGGCTCTGAAGGAAGCTGCAGAGTCCTGCGCAGGCCCCGTGCGTCACCTGCCCAGTCACAGGCCCCGCTCACCTTCCGGTCGTTGTCCGACTCACGAAATATGAGCTTCACCACTTCATTGGTGTCGGCGGCCCGGACCGTCTGCATGGTGGCTTTTGTGCAGAGCGTCTGCAGAAAGACAGCAACGGAGATAAGTCCCAGGGGGGCCCACCTGCCCATGGCAGCGTCACCCGACACCCCGAGTCAGTGGGATAGGATGGCTGGTTCCAGACAGCAGCTGGTGTCACACCCAGATTTCCGCACCTGGGGTCAGGGGCCACTCCCGCAACAGCCGACCCTCACACGTGCGAAGGGCCTGAGGCTGGCTGCTCCCCAACAAAGCGTGGCTGCAACCGTGAGGACACCCCGGAGCTGCTGCCGCCCACAGAGCTGCTTTGGGGCAAAAGCCAGTGCGACACCAGCAGGCTCGGAAGGCACAGCAGCACTGAGAACAGCAAAGAGGGTGCCTGCGGGGGCACATGGCCGGCCTCCTCCCGCTCGCTCTCTCCCGTCCCTGAACTCCCTCGAGAGCTGTTCGACTGTGACAACGGGCAAGGGCTGCAGGCGGCTTGACCGGGAACCGTCTCAACAGGCTCATCTGGGTGAAGCTGACGTGGGAGGGATGGCTGAGGTCACACGCCTGCTTTGTGGTGTTAACAGGCTCAAACCAGTCCCTGGGGCGCAGGCTGGGGTGGGCAGGGGCCCAGAGGCAGGTGGACAGGACCCAAGAACAACTCAGGCTCCCGCCAGGGTCCCAGCGATCACACCGACCAGGAGGACCAAGGAGAGGGGCTGGGGCAGCAGTGCTGCAGGGTCAGGGTTGCGGCCTCTGGTGCCTGTGGATGCTCACTGGCCTGACCAGCTACGGGAAGGGGCAGTCATCTGGGCAGCAGAGGAGAGGGAGGCTGAGTGAGTGCCGATCTCTCTCCCACACTGCATGGCTGAGCTGCTCCAGGAGGCACGGTCCTGGCTGGCGGACAGCCGGCACAGATCACCGCGAAGGATTACATTGAGGCCTGTTTTGAAAATTCTTCTCGTCTTAACCTCAGTACAATGCAGGGAATGGTCACTGAGGGTCAGTCCCTAAAGGTAAGAGAGCTGGAGACCCCTACCTGGGTGGACTGGCCACGGGGAGCCCCTGGCCCCGACACAGGGGCCTTGTGGGCACTGAGCTCTCCGAGCTTGGCAGAAGTCATGAAAACAAGAATGCCTAGAACCTCACCGAACAAGGGAAGTGTGAGACCCACATCTGAGAGAAATCAAAGCTCTGTGTGGACAGCGAGGGCCCGTGCTCATGGCGGGCAGAGGCACCGGCGTTTCTGCATCGCTGGTGTGGGTGGAGGAGGGCACAGCTGCTGCCTTACACAAAAGGCCACAGACTGTAGATTCCATTTACACAAAATACCCAGACATGGCGAAGTCGGAGAGACAGAGGCAGCAAGGAGACTGCGGGGGCCGGGAGGGAACTGACTGGGGCGGGGGCTGGAGGGATAGTCTAGAACTGGATTATATGGAGAGAGAGTCTAGAATTGGATTATAGCTTGTGTGTAAATTATACCTCAATCCAGCTTGTTTTTAATAAAAAAAATTTTTTTGCAGATAGGGTCTTGATCTGTCATCCAGGCCAGAGCGCAGTGGCGTGATCAAGGCTCGTTTTAACCTTGACCTCCTGGGCTCAAGTGATTCTCCCACCTCAGCCCCTCGAGTAGCTGGGACTGTAGGTAATGCACCACCATGCCCAGCTAATTTTCTAAATTTTTGTAGAGACAGGGTCTCATGATGTTGCCCAGGTTGGCCGTGAACCTCTGGGCTCAAGCGATTGTCCCATTTCAGCCTCCCAAAGTGCTAGGATTACATGTGTGAGCAGCTGCACCTGGCCTATAAATCTGTTTTTTTAAGAAAATAATATATGATTTTTGTTTTATAAAATGATGACTGCACCAAAAGTAACTTTGGCTTTAAAAATTTCTCCCTGAAAGGGCCCTTGGGAGCTGGTGCTGCTGAGGAGCACCTCGGTGCCCCGGGCGCTGGCCGGGGCTCGGAGACAGGGCTCAGGAGGACACCCCTGGGCCGGTGCCCGGCCTTCCTGTGCAGGTTCCGGGCATGCGCTCAGCAGGAACTGAGAGGAACTCTGGAGCCCTTCGGCAGCCCGACCCGCCTCTTGCCAAGATGCAGCGTCTACCTCCTGGTGGCTGGTGTGCAGTGTCTCAGCCTGGGCCAGGAGGCGGCCACCCGCTATCCCCAAAGCACACTCCAGGGCAGGCCATTGACATTCCGAGCACAGACCGGCTGATGGGGTCAAGCCCCCCAAAGTGGCTTTTGGACTCATGTGTCACAAATCAGTCTGGAGCCTTCAAACAGCGTGAGGATTAGAACAAGCACCCAAACAGCCACACAGCGGGGCCACCCTGCCCACCCCTGTGTCCCAAGGAGGTCCGGCCCCATCCAGATGCTAATGGGCTTAAGTGGCTTAAGCTGCTTTCCCTGAATGGGAGAAGGCTTGGCAGGCAGACGGCCATTGTAGCCATCCCAGGACGCGGCTCAGGAAATTCACGGCTCTGTCTCCCAAAAGGCATCTGCGGGAAACTGTTTAAAAACTGCTTTATCTCAGCACTTCAGGCAGGCTCCCAAAGGACAAACATCTGATGGACCCCAGAGCCCAGGAAGGGGCCGGCCACCCCAAACCCCTCCCCAGAGCTGCCTCATTCACAGGCTGTAAAGGAGTGATCAGGCCAGGCTGAAGGGGCCAAAGCTGGCCTGTTCCCTTTGCCTTTCAATCCAGCAAAGTCGTGGCCACTCATGCGGAAAGTGGCCAGGCTGGGCCTTTCCGGCTCGCCTACTTTGGGAAGGGATTCTTCTCTTTTGAAAGGAGAAACAAATACCCTAAATGCTATGTTTAAAAAGCCATCTAAGATGTATTTCATTATTAGCAGCCGCAAGGAGAGGCTCTGGAAAGAGTGGTCCGGTGTGCCGTCTTATCCACACTTAGAATTTAACGGGAACGCTGTGTGCCAGGGTCATCCACACGCGTGTGGATCACGAAGTTCCTGCATTTCTTCTTACTGTTTGGATAACCAAGGAGGCATGCTGCCTGGACAGGGCGTCCACAGGCCCAGGGCACAGGTGTCAGCCCAGGAGAAAGGCTGTTTTCTGTGCAAGGAAATAACGCAGTCATTCGGATGTGCACGGAGCTGCATGGCAGGCAGAGTCGCCCCAATGTGCACCTGTGCAGTTGGTCTCACGTTGGGAGCTGAATCTGTCCCATCACCCCCTCAACTGTCCCGGACACTCTGCCACAAAATCCAAAACTCTACTAAAGGCAAACACATCCTCTCAGACCCTGTCAGCCCAAGTTTTTAAATGCAACCTTCAAGAGCTGGTTTATAAAAACAAAAAGTTGTTCTGTACTCTCTGAAATGAATCCTCGCTGGCTGTAGCCTCCAGGCACCGCACGCACAGCCAGCAGGCGCCTGGGCTCCACTCTCTACCTGGAATCACCAGGTGTCCAGAGCGCCCTGCCTGGGCCAAGTGGACACACAGCCTCGGGGGCCCACTCAGGGCTCCGAAGAAGCCATCTGGGCACACGTGCAGGCAACGCCGAGGCCCTACCCCAGGCTTGGCTTCTAGGTCCTGCCAAGGCGTCTCAGGGTAGGCAGGGTAGGCGAGGCTGGGTGGGCAGCATGTGTTGCTCTTGTGGCTGAGCTGGGAGCTCTCACGCACCCGCCTGTTCTCCAGGACACACTCCTCCTCGGGGGCCACCACACCCGGGCCCACCACACCCGAGGCCACCATGGCCGGGCCCACCATGCCCAGGCCCACCATACCCAGGGCCACCACACCCGAGGCCACCACGCCAGAAGCCCACCATGCCCGGGCCCACCATACCCAAGGCCACCACAGCTGAGGCCCACCACGCCCGAAGCCCACCACGCCTGGGCCCACCACACCCGAGGCCACCATGCCTGAAGCCCACCATGCCCAGGGCCACCACACCCGAGGCCACCACGCCCGAGGCCCACCACACCCAGGGTCTGACACACTGTGGGCCCACCACACCCGAGGCCCGGGCTGGGGCCAGTGCCAGCCGTGACATGCCTCACATGAGGAGGAAGGTCCCAGCAGGGCCCAGCACAGATGCTGCCCGGACTCGGGAAGGGAAAGCTGGGATCCCAGGGGTGCAGCTCAGGCACTGGAAAAGCAATCAGGCTCGAAGGCTGGGAGATGCCCCTCCTGCCACACGGAGAGTCCAGTTCCCTGGTTACTCCCTGGTGGTCAACACACTCCCAGGCAGACAAGGGAATCCGTTAGTCACTGGGGCCACAAACCTCCTTCCTAGGGCCAGAGCCTGGCAACAGGGACAGCCCCAGCCCTCACCTTCCCAAAGGGGAGGTGTCCCCAGGAGCATCGTGGCCTCCAGGAGCTCGCGAGGGGATGGAGGACCCCGTCCTCTGTGGCAGGCAGGCAGAACCACCTGCCCCAAGATCAAAGGCTGACAGGCCATAGCGCCCTCCCACCACGTCACCCTGTGTCCCCAGGCCCTCCCAGAACCGCCCAAGCTCGCCTGGAGCAGAGGCAAATGCACCTCTGTGGCCTCCTGAGCCAGCCACTGGCTCGGGCACACCCTGTCCCCAAGCCTGTGCCACGGGAGAGGCGGGCAGCCCGGGCCTCGCAAGCTGCCAGGGGCTGCACCGCCGGGCCCAGGACAGCACTTTCGGGAGGGACAACGGTGCCGTGGTCTGTGGCGGCATGTCTAACATGGCGGCTGCACAAAGTGAGGCTGAGGTTGAATCCTAACCTTCCTCAGTGGATAGAAATCAGTCAGCCCTGCAGGTCGCCTCAGGCTCAGGGACAGCCCGGCCTCATGAAGCCTGGGAATCCCAACAACTTCTTCCTCTCCTTGAGAGCCGTGTCCTCTGTCTCACCTCAATGCAGGGAGTAAAAGGGCGTTCACAGTTAAATAAAATAAAAACGAACCACAAAGCCAACGTTGCCCCCGAATCTAGAAACACCACAGGCAGCTACTAAGGGGCAGATTCTAGTGCGTTCTTAAGGAATGAAACCATCATCAAGGAAATAAGGCTTTTTTCCTCCAAACTGAGACCCCCTAAAGGAGCCGGTATTGAAACTCCCCCATCTGCCCGACACCTACGGGCATATCCCACCATGAACGGGATGTCCGCTGACACCGATTCCATAGACACAGGGACCGGTGGAGCCGCAGTGTCCCACCCTCCCGGGGGTCCTGGAATTCCTGATCTGGCCATTGCCTCGGTGACAGCGGCCGCTCTGCTGCGGGAGCAGGGCCTCCTGGGAGGCCTGTGGGTGGTGGGGGATGGCTCACATGCTGGCCCCAGGACCAGGCCAGTTTCTACATACTCAGCTGCTGAGTCAATCCGTGGGGGGCTCAACTAACTTTTCTCATCCAACCAGAAGAAAAACCACCTTAAAGCAGAAAGCAACAAAATGAGCCTGCTCCTTGAGGCTACGACTCCCAGCCCCTCAGCAGGCACAGAAGCTCTGTGGGTGCACCTGTTTCCCTGGTGGTGTCTGGCAGCTTGGCCAGAGCCGGCCACTCCTCCACCTCTGTGGGGGCCCGTCCAGCCTGGCCCTTAAGTGTCGCAAGACACAGACCTGCAGGTGCAAATCCGCTGTGGCTGGAGTTCTTTCTCATAACAAAAACTTCCTCTGTTCCAAGGATGGAATTCGGGACCACACGCTCAGCCATGGTCTGTCTGCGCCAGAGTGAATGCACTAAAACCAGGAGGCTCAGATGTGGCCCCAGCCTGCCTGTCTGAGCCCCGGGGCCGGCCTTGGAGGGTGTCCTCAGCACACGTGTGCACCCCAGTCCTCATCACAGGTTTCCTGGGAGGGTAACGTCTGCGCTCCAGTGAGGCTGCCCGTCAGCAAGCTTAGCAAGGGTGTGACCGCTGTGGGCTGGCTGGGGTGGTGTGAACTCAGCCACTGACTTCAGTGATTCAGAAGTTTCCTCCCCACACGTGACGAGGAGTGAGTCCAGTCTTGAAGAAAGTGCTGATTCGGAAGCAAACTGCCTCTGGCACTTTGCAGACATCCAATTGATACTCACGGGACAAATGAATGAATGGAGGGAGGGGCAGAGCCCACAGCCCCAGGGTTAGGGTCCGGCCCTCCAGGGTTCGCGCAAGGGGCTCGCCCTCACTCCCAGGCCTGGTCCCTGCTGGGGCTGAGTGCAGCGCTGGTGGGTGGGCTCGCCCTCACTCCCGGGCCTGGTCCCTGCTGGGGCTGAGTGCAGCGCTGGTGGGTGGGCTCGCCCTCACTCCCGGGCCCGGTCCCTGCTGGGGCTGAGTGCAGCGCTGGTGGGTGGGCTGCCCTCACTCCCGGGCCCGGTCCCTGCTGGGGCTGAGTGCAGCGCTGGTGGGTGGGCTGCCCTCACTCCCGGGCCCGGTCCCTGCTGGGGCTGAGTGCAGCGCTGGTGGGTGGGCTGCCCTCACTCCCGGGCCCAGTCCCTGCTGGGGCTGAGTGCAGCACTGGTGGGTGGCCTTGAAGACACATTTTACCAATTTTTCATGCCCTCCCCTCTCAACGTGACCCTGCTCCTGAGCTTTTATCCTGCTGACAACTTCATGCAGAAAAACACGCAGACCTCTGATAGCATGAAATCAGAAACAATGGCCGGGGACAAAGGGGGCGCGGGGCAGGCGCAGGCCGGCTGGGTCGAATTTCAGCCACAAACAGATGTTCGTAGGAACATCTGAAAAGAAACTCTTCTAAAAGAAATGGTCTTAAAAACAATGCCTTCAGCGGTTAAATAAAGGGCCAAAGGACGCAGGATGCCTGTCAATGATAAATCTCGGCAAAGAGAACCAAACCGGCATCATGAATTTCAATGACAGGTTTCTTGACTACCAAGGGCCCCGGTTCACCAGGGATTCCAGACCCCGGGAAGGAAGCATCGGAGCTGGGTGTCCCTCACGGTCCGAACTCATCGGGAGGCACTTTTTGTTTCACGGGGCTGTAATTTATGGAAAGCTGTGCCCGTCTCCAAGACTTCCCTGAAGAACAGCAATGACTAAAACAGCAAAACCCCGCAGGGGAAGCTCTGGCTGGACACAGCCTGACTGGGCGCCGGACTAGATACAACCGCCTTCCACCTGGGGATGGCAGGCAGGACCTGAGACCAACGGCCAGCGAGTGAAGCTGGGGGTGGCCCTCTCGCTCAGACCTGGGGCTGACTTCCACAGGCGGTGGGCACCCTCTCTGCTCAGGACAAAGCTGGGAGCGCCCCTCTCTGCTCAGGACAAGGCGTGGTGTCGCCTCTGAGAGCTGGTGCCACTGTGCGAAGGCTTCCTCCTGCAGGGCGGGGCTGCGCGTGCTGGCCCAGGTCGGGGCTGCATCAAGGGGAACACAGAGTGTGTTCTTGGGGTGGGACTCTGAGCTCTGTGTTCACACGGGACTCACCTGGATTCATCCATCAGGAACAGAACAGGCTCCTATGAGGAGCACTTCGCCATCTCTCCTCGGCCCTATCTGATGCAGCGTGGCTCATGGCGCATGAGCTCTATCTGGTAGTAAGTTCACAGAGCAACCGCCCCTCAGGGCTGTAGGACCCGGTGCTGATTGGCCTCTGGGAGCAGGCTCCTCTCCAGGAGACTCGTGAGGACACCTCCTGTCCCACACAGCTCTGACCTGGCCTTTGCTCTCCCTCAGGAGTGAGCGCCTTCTCTGTAAGTATGCATCCTTTCTGCAGAGGACGGCCACATCTCGGAAAGAAGCCATTCGTGGGTGCTGCAGCCAGCTGCAGTTTATATCAGCTATGGAGTAAAGCAAGCAGACGCGGACGCCAACGTCCACCTCAGTTTACGTCGGCTATTGAGTAAAGCAAGCGGACGCGGACACTGACGTCCACCTCAGTTTACGTCGGCTATTGAGTAAAGCAAGCGGACACAGATACTGACGTCCACCTCAGTTTACATTGGCTATTGAGAAAAGCAAGCGGACGCGGATACCAACGTCCACCTTCATTCCGGGGTATCCTGTTCTGGGTGTGACGAGGGCCGGGGTTCTGCAGAGTGGACAGCAGCCTCCACCTTCATTCTGGGGCATCCTCTTCTGGGTGTGACGAGGGCCAGGGTTCTGTGGAGTGGACAGCAGCCTCCAGCTTCATTCGGGGGTATCCTCTTCTGGGTGCAATGCAGGCTGGGGTTCCAAGGATGAGGAAGCTCTAACTTTCCTGGCACAGATGCCGAGAAGTTCCCGTGGTGTGAACCTGCAGTGTTTGTCCAGCAGGAACCAGACTGAGACCAACCACTTGTGACCCACAGACACGGAGCTGCCCACTGTTAGGCTGCGGAGATCTGGCCAGCCCATCTCATGCTGTCAACCCAAGACAGGCGGTGTCCCTTTTTTTATTTATCTCTATTTTTAGGTTTTTGAGACAGGGTCCTCCTCTGTTGGCCAGGATGGAGTGCAGTGATGTGATCATGGCTGGCTCACTGCAGCCTCGACCTCCGGGCTCAAGCAATCCTCCCGCCTCAGCCTCCTGAGTATCTGGGACTACAGGCGTGCCCCACAATGCCTGGCTAATTTTACTTTCTTATTTTCTGTAGAGACGGGGACTCCCTATGTTGCCCAGGCTGGTCTTGAATTCCTGGGCTCAATGATCCTCCTGCCTCAGCCTCCCACAGTGCTGGGAAGGCAGGTGTGAGGCACTGTCCCTGGCCTTCCCCTTTCTTTGTAGGTGAACTCTTAGGGTTTCTCTCCTCCTCCTCCAGGAAATCACTGTGACGTCAGAGAAGCCTGACCCTTGGGTGGTGAATGCTGGGGGTGAACGATGTGGACCCTGCGAGTGGCTCTCACTGGGAAAACTGACCAAAGGCACGGCAGGAAGAAACTTGCCAAGTCCCATCCTTCTTTATTATCCTGTAGTTTTTGGTTAAATTTTAACCAGAAACATGTCTAGAAATAAAGAAGGGTTATACACAGAAGTTCCACGTAGCCACTCTCTAGCAGCAGGGATGAAAGGAGGAAGTAGAAAAGGATTTCTAAAATATGGTTCACAACAAAAGGCCCGAGTACTTTACATGGGTTTTCCTTAAAACGAGTTAATAGGAAATCATTACGGCTTCAGTTTTTGAATGACTCTAGAAAACAGAACTGACTCCAGGGGATAAACATTTTCTATGCTACAAATAATTCTTCTAGTCATGGTGAACGTGAATATAAATCTGTGCTCCCGGATGCCGCGCCACTACACCAACGTAATGCTTTCGCTGTGAAAGGAGAATTCACTAAGAGGCTCCCACCGCTCCTGCCCTGAACGTGCCTGAGGGTCCGGACCACTGCTCAGAATCGAGGGGGTAATTCCGTTACAGTTCAGAAAACTATGGAGCCTACTGACAAACCAGCACGCAAAGTTCCAGGTTTACTATTAGGTCACTGCAAACAGGCAGAGATAATTCAAACGCTAAGTTCTGACAAACGCCCCAGTCCTCTGGATATCCACCTGGAGAAGCATTACTGGTCCCGTGGGGTTAGCCATTCCTTGGTAACTCACATTATGGACGCTGGTGCAGATCTTAGACATTGCCGTGGAGTGGGAAAGGAGGACAACCAGCCAATCGCTTCACAGGCGGCCCCAACGTGCAAGTCCTGTCTTTAAAACCTGCTTCGTCCTGGGGAGGCCACGGAAAGTGCCAAGGAAGCCTCACCTCTGGAGTCCTCTGGCATCCCGTTGGGGTGGACACAGGCGGCACCCCCGAACGTCAGTGCTCATCAAACATACACGGGCCAACGGACACACAGGGTGGAGACAAGGTCCTCAGACCCTAGAAGACGCCTCTGCTGAGGCCCCTGGGTCCTGGCAGGGGGCATGGCGAGGGCCTCACAAGCACTACACCCAAGCCTGACGATCTTTGATGGAAACAGCACACGTCATCTCAAATTAACTCCCGGAGGCTCCAGACTCCTTTCCTATGGCACACACGTGTGCAGCTTCTTGGAAGCGAGAGTGCGACTCACCCGGCTCCCAGGGCAAGGAGGGCAGCAAAGGCCAGAGAGCGCTGCGTCCCCCTCTGGGAGTGGCTGAGATCAGGGGGCTGGCACTATAGCCACCACCCCCAAGTATGCTGGTGGCTACTAGGACCTATTAGCACACAGGCCCACAGGGCAACAGCTGTGCCCTCCAGGCTCGACAGGCTGGGGGTGTAGCAGGTGCAGGGTAAGGATGAGTAAACCACCTTCCCGCTGCCTTCTGTCGGCACGCCCCCACCACGGGCCTCACACAGGCTTCTCCAGGGGCTGGGCCTGAGCTTGGCAGAGGGACCCCGGCCAGACTTGGCGTGGGAAATGTGTGGTGAGGCCGGGAGGCCAGGGTGGCAGGCACCAAGGACCCTTCCTCGGGGGCACGTGCCCATGCTCAGCCCCCAGTGAAGCCAGGAACGGCGTTCTGTAAAGTGTGCCATGGTGCCAATTTCCTAGCTTTTTAGGACCAGAGTGGGCACCGAACACAGAGAATGACCATCCCAGATGGAATCTGAGGAGCTGAGAGCCTGGCTTGCTGGGAGGGCTGTGGGGCAGGGTTTGCTGGGAGGGCTGCGGGGCGGGCCCTCAGACACTTCGCCGGCCTCCCTTACTTTGACTTCCCAAGAGAAAGCCCTTCTGGTTAGCTCCATCTTCTCAACGGTCTTCCTGGTGAACCCTAGACCCGAAGGGGGACCCTATCACTTGACAAAAGTGCCCACCGTGAGGCCCTGGAGCACAGACCTCACCGCGAGCCCCAGGGCCAGGCACAAGGCCCTGCATCCCAAGCTTATGGGGTGCAGAAATGCAGCCAGTGAAAGGCACTGTCATGGGGAGATGTTGGCGTCAGCATCCGAGTGGCCTCCCTCCTCTCTGTGTTCATTGTCAACGGCCACCCAGAACAACAACATGCTATAAAGACTCTTTCATGTCCTCTCCCAAGGTTGCTCCCGGACTCCAGCAGCCTGGCAGGCTCGGACACAGCGCGCATGGAATGGGAGTGGCGCCCACTTGCTCTCACGCCAGCTAGAGCTCAACAGACTTTCTGGGAAGAAGGCGGCGGGTCTCTTTCTCAGGCTGTGTCTAGCACCATGCCGGGCACCCTCTGCTGGGCCCAGGGGTGGCTCCACAGGACTGGCCCTGCCCGGCGGCAGAAGCACCTGCTGTGCCTCTGGGTGGCTCCTCCCGGACATCCCCAGCCTTCCACTGGCACGGCTGGACGTGGGGAGGGGGATGTGGCAAAGGGAGGGGGACGCAGGACACAGAGCTCAGCCCTCGTCCCAGGGTCCCCTGTATGCTTGTCAGAGCCACTGATTGCTAGTAAGGGAGCCGGGTGCGATGTGTGAAGGAGGAGGACGAATGAGGCTACACAGTGTCCGGGGTCTCCAGCAACCCCCTGCCTTGGCACGAGAGACCTGCTCTGTGCCCTACCTTTCCCATGGGTTTCTTTTAAACCAAGGGCAGTCAGAGGAATTTTTAAATAAAGTATGAGCTCATAAAAAATATAGAAAAGTGCATTAAAGATTAGTGAACACACTACGGATTATGAATCATTTAGGAGTGAGTCCAAAAAACAGTTCCTCGAACAGAGTCCCAGCATAGACCAGAGAAAATGCCAAGCGTCTTTTGTTTTTTGTCTTCTTTTTCTATAAAATGAGAAGATTCTTGGCATCAATATACCAGTTGAAAATATTGGGTAATATTTGCAAAGTGAACTTCCTAGAAAAAATCCCCTAAATACGAAGCCTAATGTCATCACTATAATTAAGTATAACATTTTATTTTATTTTCAGTTGATGTCATAGGCCCTATATAGAAACAGACCAAATAAAATCTCTTTCTAAACAGAAAAATTAAAAAATAAATTTAATGATTTAAATCAGTGCTTCTGTTGTTGCCATTGCTATTTTACACCAAGACTCTAGAATAACAAGTGAGTGAACCGAGCAGCACGGCTTAGCTCACGTGCCCTCTGCAGGCCCTCACCGCCCTGACCTCCACCCTCAGGGAAGGGCGTCCCTGTGGCTGAGGAGCTGGCAGGGAGGGCAGAGAGGCTGCCACTGGCCTGCCTCACCATCCAGAGCACGCTGGGCACGTGGCGAGGGCAGTGCCCCACTGGGTCTGCACAAGGTCTGTCTACACACTGGGTCCCCAGGTAAGATGAGAACTTGACGATGACTAACATTAGTCCACGGCAGTAGGAGGACAGGGCTGCGCTAACATTAACCCACGGCAGCAGAGGACGGGGCTGCGCTAACATTAACCCACGGCAGCAGGAGGATGGGGCTGTGTGCATCTTTCCATCCATGCTGCTCTGGAGACGGTGCTGAGGCTCTACAGGAGTGTCACTCTGAGCCAGGCTTTCTGGGGTCTGTGGGAGTTAGAAGGGACCGTCCCTGCCACCTGCCCTCTGGACACACACTGTGCCCATGTTGCCACATCGAGTCCGCTCATGGCTGTGGGATGGGCCAAATCCTGAATGGTGCAGGGCTTTGGAGGGCTGCGCCGACTGCAGCCGATGCAGGAACATCGTCAGACTGAGGAGTCAGCCGCCATGCTCTCAGTTTTTAGGAGCTCAGGCCTGCCCATACACAGGGCTAGCGACAGCTGCACAGTCATCCCTGTCTGTCACGCCTGATGGGAGCTGCCAGTGGACACAGGGACCTGGCCTCTCCTGCCCACAGCCTCACGGCGCCCACTGTGCCCACGGCTGAGGGATCAGGGGGCAGAGGGGCTCAACAAGGCAGCCGGTAACCAGATGAGGTCACAACTTCACCTGGAGCCTGGCTGGGGCCGGAGCAGCCAGCGGGTCTCAGGAGTCTGTGGGGCTGTGGGGGGCCATGACCAGGTGCGATGTTACCTACTGGCTGACAGCTGCTCCTCCTCCCAGGACGCAGTGCACACTAGAAGGAAGGACGCCTGGGCGCCAGGAATGTCTGAGGTCTGGGCCTGGGCTTATGCTGCTGGGCAGCCTGGCCTTGGCTGCTCTTGCCGGCCATGGTCTCCACTGAACGGCAGACACAGCCTTTGAGGCAGGTGCTGGGATCCTGCCTCGCGGGCAGTGGTGGTATCCTCCCTGGTGCCCATTGAGAGCCGTGTTTTGGGAAGCCCGGCTCTCGGGGTGTCTCCTTGCGACGTCAGCCCCTCTCCGAGGACGGCTCCTTCTGGATGTCAACGCCCCCAACGGCCATTCCCCTGCAGGCCCAGCTGGCACCTGAGCATGTACCTGTCAGTGATTGGTAACTGGTTGTTAAAAATGGCCACCAGCCTCCAAAGACGCATCCATCACCGTCACTGTCAGACGTGATGGACGGCAGGTGTGGTGTGCGGTCGGGCCGCGTGGAGACGGGTGCGCCTGGCACTGCTGTCACTCTTTGTCACCACGGCCAGCTGAGCGCCCCAGCTGCCAGTTGCCACCGCGCGAGGCAGGAAACACACCCTCTGAACATCCCAGCAGCAGCTGGAGCCGCAGGCTGCATCACTGACTCGTGTGAGGACGCACGGCCCTCTCAGATGGCACACGACTGGCGTGTTTCATGTGGTGGGTTGTAATTACAGCTTCCGTGGTGCCAGATCTGACTCCAGTATCTTTTCAGTTCTGCTCTGTGAGCAAGTCTGCATTAATCTGCATCTGAAACACAGGAGGCTGCGCATTCCTGGGGGACAGTCTCTTCGCTTTGCACACAGAGCCTCTTTCACAGACTGGTGTGGGGCAGGGCAGGACTCCCGGATCCAATCCCTACAACCCTCCTGCCACCAAAAATCACAAGCAGGTCTCCACCTCGGGGTCTGAGAGCCTCCAGGGCCACCAAGCTGGTCGTCCTCCCAGACACCCTGCCCCTGAACTCTCGGCAGGGCAAACAACCCTGTATTTAATCTGCTGCTGCCAGCCCGGCTCTGCCCGGCCTCCCATTGCTGTGGAGATGGATTTAATTAACCTCTGATGAGTCTTTCCAGCAAGCCTGCCACTGAGGGCACCAAGGAGGCGCTGTGAGCAGGCAGAGGAACGCGGTCGGCAGTGAGAGCAAGAGGATGACCCCACCAGCCCAGGACCGAGGGGGCAAGGATGGGCTGCTGTGGGTGGGAGCTCAGCAGTGAAACCAAAGCCAGGCCAGCCGTGGTTTCTGAAAGACCATTACACTCACGTGTCCCTTCGTACCAACACCGCCCCAGGGCGCCCGTGCCACCGGGCACCGCCTGCCCCCAGCCTCCAGCATTCCCAGAACACTCCATCAGGCAAGACGCTCTGCACTGTGATAAACACGGCTTCCTGATGCGCTCTGGCTATGCACGACTGTGTCACTGTCCACAAACCTTCAGAACCGCGTATGCTTACTCTGATCCTGGGCAATCTGAAAACCACCCCAGAGGAGGGCACAGATCTCCCCACAAACCCAGGGTGGAGGCTGGGTGTGGCCTTTTCCGGCTCCCAAGGAGCCAGACTGCAGGTACCAACGTGGCCTCTGAATGTGGTATCTCCACACGGGGGGTTGCAGAGGGTGGGGAGGACTAGCCTGCATGGAGCCCACAGGGTCTCACTCTAACCCATGCTGCTGTTTGACAGAAAGGCTCAGGGGAAGGAAGGACAGGTGCTCGAGATGCACCTGCTCCACACGGCTGGGGAGCAGACAACACTTCTAAGCCCTCTGGGAGGCCCTGCCCGCCTCTGTGTGGCCTTCTCTGAGGGGCTCACCACACAGCTGCTCTGCCAAGAGGAAGGGCAGAGCCCATCTCAAGGACTGAACCCACTCCATTCAGCCCCGAAGCTAGCTCCATCCGAGGACCCTGCAAGACACTCCTGCCGGCCTTTGACTCCGACACTCCCTCTCCTTTAAAATGCAGATGCTTCTAGGAAGGCAGAGAGATGTGCACAGACACTTCGGTGGGAAATCACTCCCAGGCAGGGGGAGAACTGAAGAGAGGTGGGGGAGGCAGCCGCCAGGCAAACCCACTGCCCCGGGCACTCCTGGTGCCCAAGGCCATGGTCTTGAGGGCAGGCGGTACCCTCATCCTGGTGCTGGGCCCACATAGCAAACGCACAGGACACACTTGCTGGACCAATGGGGCTGCCCACAAGGCAGCCAACAGTGGGACACTCACCCACCCAGAACCTCAGCCATCCACAGGCCTGTGTGAAAAAGAACCTGCTCAGCTGAGCAGCTGGAAACGCTGCGAATCCGCACTCTGCCCAGGCCATGCTGAGCTGCTGCACGCTCCAATTCCTCCTGATACTTCCCAGCTGCAAAGACACTGGAGGCTGGACCACAGTGCGAAAAATGAAAGCTGTACGAGGAAAATGAGGCCCTGGACCACAGGGATTCCTCGTCCACTTTTCATCTGAGGAAGGAGAAGCGCACAGCCTCAGGGAGCACCGAGATCAGTGGGCAGTGACGGTGGCCACTGCCGGGTGTGGTCCTGCCATGACAGTCCAGCCCAGAGGTGATGCTTCTGCGTCACACGAGAGCATAGCTGGCATCTCAGGTGCGCCTGCAGCGATGCATCCCTGGAGGCTGCACGGGCATGGCACTGCGGGTGGCGTGGACCGAGCCTGAATCCCGACCAGAGGTACCTGCGCAGCCCCGGTTCACCAGCTGCACTGAGCCTGGTGCCAGGCAGACGTGAGGAGACGCTGCCTGGGCCCTGGGCCTGACTCACAGGATCTGTGTGCTGAGGAGCTCCCAGGAGACTCGCAGGTCCGGGAGAGCCCAGGATGTGTGTGCTAAGGAGCTCCCAGGCACTCCTGTCAGTTCTTCATCAAAAAGCTTCATGTGGAAGGAAACTGCAACAGGGACGTGCCACAGGGCCAAGTGGAGATCAAGCTTGTTCACGCGCAGAGGCTGAAATCAGCCTGTTCAGGTGCAGAGGCCGGCATCAGCTTGTTCACACACGGAGGGAGGCCAATATCACCCCGTTCACACGCAGAGGGAGGCCGGCATCAGCGTTCAGCACAGCCTGATCTGGTGCCGGTATGAGGGGTCCCCAAACACCTGCCCTCAATTCCTTGGTCCAAGTCAGCCTCAAAAGAAAATCGTGCAGAATTTTCTTTGGTTTCCACAAAATTTCTACGAAATGTTTTACAGTCAGAAACCTTTTTTAAAAACCATGCCATGCCAACTAGCAGATTTTGATTTTCCATAAGAGGGGCTTGGATGGTATTTTAAAATTCAATAATCTACCTAATTGGCACCTTAATTAATGCAGCTGAAATTAATCACCACCAACAAATAAATCTGGTCATTTTTCAGTGAGATTTATTTTTAGGTAGGGCTTTCAAAGAAACGTTTTCTGTGCTAGTGTTCAGTGGACCACGTGGCAGGAGACAGTCACTCCGGCGCTGCCTGCTGTCCTGGGCTGTACGGTGTGCCCCCAGATTCATGTTCACCCAGAGCCTCAGAATTGGGGCCTTGTTTGGAAATGGGGCCTTGCAGGTGTAACTAGTTAAGATCTCGGGATGAGACATCCTGGGTGGGGTGGGCCCTAAGTCCATGGACTCATGTCCTTGCAAGAAAAGGCCACATGAGGATGGAGGCGCAGACGGAGGTGATGCGGCCATGAGCCAGGGCCATCTGGGCCACCTGTGGCTGGGTGAGGCAAGGAGGGGTCCCCCCTGGAGCCTCCAGGAGCAGCGTGGCGCTAGGACACCTTGATTTTGGATGTCCAGGTTCCAGGACTGTGAGAGAATAAACTTCTGCTGTGTAAGCCACCCAGCCTGTGGTCCTCTGAGCCACTGCCGCAGGAATCTCCCCACACGGAGACAGGAGACTCTGCGCGGGAGGGATCCACCTGGCACGCACATTCCACGTCAACAGATGAGCAAACAGAAGACAGGCCGTGACCCTCCGGAGAGCCTGCACGTGTCTGCGGCCCACAGGAAGCGACATGGCCACGTGGAGGTGCCACGCAGCACTGAGGGGCCGCAGGTGACCCTGGGGATACCGCCCCTGCCCTGGGCCTCAGGGTCCTCCCCGTGGTCGGTTCCAGGGTCCTGTGACTCCTCACGGCCCCCAGCCCTCAGGAAATCCCTGCGGCCATGGGATCCAGGTGCTCAGCTTCGGGCCAGTCCCTGCACCAAGCACTTAGCTTCAGTGAGCTGTGGAATTTGACACACAGCTGACGACTGTGTTGATGATGCCAGGAGGGAAAAGCGGTCCTTATTCCAGAGGTGTGGCCCTCCCTTGACTGAACAGTCCTACAAGAACTCTACACTACACATCATTTTCCCTATTTTCCACTAGGCTCGCTTTACTTACATAGTAAACTGTGTGCAAAATGTAACGAAAGACTTGTCAAATGAACAGCTATGTATCCACAGTCTTAAAGAGCCACGTGGGCAGGAAAACCCTCCAAACACTAATGCAAGGATCTTAGACACTTGCTGAGTAAACAATCCAGTTTAAAACTATTCATTTTTCTTCCCATTCCTTTGCAAATGGCAGACAAACAGCGCAGAACAGTAAGACCCACGTCTGTCCAGCATGAGGGCATTATAAGCCAGGGCCTGGTAACTGCATGGGCAGCTGCTGTCGCGGGCAGCATCCTAGAGCCCAGAGACCAGGGTGGCCGGGCGTGTGAATGAGCCGTGGTGGGTGGAGGCCTCCCTGCTCCCAGGAATCTGCATTGCCACTGCCTGGGGTGCCGGGGGCTCCCCTGGGTGGCATCTACGTCTGTTGGGGACATGGTGTCCAATTCTGGTGCCATTTAGACAGGGGCTCCCCTGGGTGGCATCTACGTCTGTTGAAGACATGGTGTCCAATTCTGGTGCCATTTAGAAGGGACCTTTGCAGACAGAACCTGGATTTCCCACGAACGCCCTGGGCATGCCTCGGTGATAACCACAGAGCACATGCGGCTTTCCTTCTGCCGATTCGTGTGAACACTGAGTTCTGCACTGGAGGAAACCCGCACTGGAGGAAACCCTCACTGGGGGAAACCCTCACCAGAGACCAGCTCCCTCCCAAGCTGATCGCGGGGCTGGAGAGCCCCCACTCCCAGCAGATGCAACGGAGGCTCAGCCACCACCTCCTGCGTGCCCTTCCTTGGTCCCCTCCTCATGTCTGACACCAACAAACGGCACCAGCGAAGAAAACCTGCTGCTGAAAACACCTGCGTCTGATACGAGGCAGGGGTGCGGTCACTCCCAGGGTCGTCTGATACGCAGGAGGGATGCGGTCACTCCCAGGGCCGCCTGATATGGGGCAGGGACGCGGTCACTCCCAGGGGCGTCTGATACGCAGGAGGGACGCAGTCACTTCCAGGGGCGTCTGATACAGGGCAGGGACGCAGTGACTCCCAGGGGCATCTGATATGCAGGAGGCACGCAGTCACTCCCAGGGATGCCTGGTAAGTGGGAGGGGGCGCCTGATGCGCAGGAGGGACACCTGATACGCAGGAGGGGTGCCTGATATGCGGGAGGGGTGCGGTCACCTCCAGGGCCGCCTTCTCTGTTCTCTGACCTCTCACCGGGGGGAACCCAGGCCTGACTCTTCCCTGGGATTGTGCAGGGCTGACCACGCCATCCCATGTGAATGACCGCCACGTCTGCCAGGCAGCGTGGAGACCCCACCCAGGGCCCACCTCAGGGCTGTGGTTCCGAGAACAGGGATGCACTGGGGAGCAGCTGAGCCCAAGCTGGCTGGACAGCAAGTCCACGGGAATGTTCCTCCCCCGTGGTAGCCCCTGCACTGGTTGAAAGTCACCTGGTCTGTACTGTCCCATGGAATAGCCACGCGGCTCTATCAGATCTGAATTATCAGATCTGAATTAAAATGAAATGAAGTGAAAAATCGGGTTCCTGGGCTGCCCTCGGTGCTTGTTAGCCTCATGTCCTGGCAGCCGCTGCAGGGGCAGAGGGGAGGCAGCTTGCGGTCAGGCTCACAGCAGGACACGCCAACGCGGCTGGGACTTCAAGACGCCACCTGGGTCAGCCAGGCCCGCAGGAGCTCTGCCACGTTCCTGCTTACTGTTCCTTTGAGAAATCCACTTGGGGCATGCAGAGGAGGTTCCAGGAAGACCGCAGTTTTCTTTCCCTTCCTGACTTATAGTCACCTCTGACGCTTCGATGGCCAGGCAAGCCCCACACCCGCTGTCTTAACAAGCTGCACGCAGGAGCTGCTCTTCCTACACCCAGGACACCTCTCCACAGAGCTGAGTGGGTGGGGCTGCAGAGCGGCCGAGGAGCCTGCAGACAGGGCGTGAGGGACAGACGTGAACTGTCCTGCAGCAGATGGCGCCCCCTCCCGCGCTGCCCACGCAGCCCCGGCCAGCACGTCCACCAGCCCACCCGGCTGCACTGGGTCTGTCACCCGACTCGCCCACGTGGCCCCGGCAAGCAGGACACCAGCGTGATGGGGGCGGAGGCAGATGGGTGGCAATGATGCACCCCGTGGAGCCCAGAAAGGGGCCTGGCCGGTCCAGGGCAGAGGGGCTGAGGGAAGACCAGGAGGTGGTGGGGAGGGCCCCGCAGGGGCTGAGGACAGGGCAGGTGGACCCAGGCTGCTGGACTCCATTTAAAACCAGCTACTGTGGGGGAACTGAGAGGAAAAACAGCATTTCAAGTAACTCCATGTCTGTTCCAATTACTGTGGATGGGAAAGTGATAAAAAACAGTGACGACTCAATTCCTGAAGGACGGGAGCTGGTGAGGCTTATGGTGGTGTGGGCGGCTCTCAGACACAGGTGCTCACTCGCCCTGGAGTGCTCCACCAGCCGCTCGAGCAGCTGCCTGGAGGTTGCTGAAGCTCTTTACTGACTCTCAGGAGAAAGTGGCAGTTTCTGGAGAACTGTTTATCACCAGTTCACAAAGTAAACAGCCCCTTAAGCACAGCCATTAGAATTCCCGTCCTCTGTAGTTTGATGTTTAAAGTTAAGCATGAAGGCTGCCGTGGAAGATCCCACTGGTTTATTGGTGATGGGAATCTTCGAACTCTGGCTTCAGGCCAGTGCCCTCCCCAGCACTGGCCCTCTGCGTGGACCCCTTCAGCAGCGCAGAGGGCTGGGACGAGGGCTCCTTTAGCGACAGCCTAACACGAACACGGAGGACGGGGTACAGGTGGGGGCGAGCATGGTCTTGCTTCTTCCTGGGTAAAACTCAGGCAGGTCCCAGACCTGAAACTGGAAGGTCCGGAGAGCCCACTGAGGCCCGGGAGGCAGTTCCTGCTCTGCACCCACCCTCCCTGGCGGGGTCCAGGGCACCAGGGCCATCTAGACCTGGGCAGGAGCTGCCGTGCTGCGACTGCCTGTGTGAGAGGAACTCTTTAAGAAATAGGACTGATCTTGGTGATCAAAAAACACTGCTGACAGTGACCCATGAGGGTTGAGGGCTGTGTGTGAAGGCACTTAGGGAGGCCAGGGGAGCAGGCCAGGTGATGCAGGAGAAGATGTGGCAGACTCAGGCCGGCTCCCGAGGCCCCTGCACTGTTCTCCCGCCATGCCTCCTCTTACGGCCACACCCACAGGCAAACCCCGGTGAGGTGCTTTCTTCCTTTTCTGCTCAGCAGAAAAAGGAAAGCCTTGCAGTCCTTCATAGGAGTTGCCCAACGCCCCACAGGACCCAGCGTCCAGGCCCCCCACGCCTGCTGAGACCACAGCGGCCACGCAAGCCCCACAGGCCCTGGAGTCCAGGCCCCCCACGCCTGCTGAGACCACAGCGGCCACACAAGCCCCACGGGACCCAGCGTCCAGGACCCCCACGCCTGCCAAGACCAGAGCGGCCACACAAGCCCCACAGGCACCGGAGCCCAGGCTTCCCACTGCCCCCGACGCCTTGTGGTCACACGGCCCGGCCACCGGGCTCAGCAGCTGGCTCCCTTCACCAGGGAGGCTCCCGCGGCTGCTCCAGTGCGTGCCTCACCACGGCTCTGACCCGGCCAGGACCAGCTGCCCTTTACTGTGACATTTGCTCTACCAGAAGGAAAAGGCCCTTTCCAAGCTCCCTGACCTTTCCCCAATTGCTGGGCGCCCGGGATTGATCGGCTTTGGTCTTTCGCGGGTTCTTCTTGACTTTCATCCTGGCCCCTCCCAGTCAGAGCGGGAAGTACTTATGTGCACTGTGGACTCACTGGCTCTCGAGTAACAGGTTAGAAATGAGCTCACTCAGAGATGTTCCAGACCTGCCGGAAATGCCGCTTCCAGCCCCCTGTGGCTTGGCGGGGGTGGAGGAGGAGCCTATGACAGGGCCCCGCCTCTGTGGCCCCCAGGCCTTGCTCCCGGGTCCCGCACAGCCTCGGACGCGGGGACATGGATTCTAGCAAGGATGGGCACAGCCCCTGCCCTCGAGCCCTCACCGAGCCTGTGGGATGGCAGGCCAGAGACCGATCCATTTGACAGCCTCTACGAGGAGAAAGGAAGCACAGCAGCGGGATGGAAAGGACTTCGGGGCCCCTGCTGGGGGATGTGTGCTTTAAAAACTCCATGTGCTCCTCAGCCCACCACACGCAGAGGCCCTGCCTTCCTCCTCCACAGCCAGATGAAGGGATGCCTCGACCAGGAGCCACTGAACGTTTAGGCAATGCCACCAGCACGGCCAAATGTTGATACACAGGCATGCGGTGGGGCCTTGTGACAAGGTGCTGCCAGCTCAACCCAACAGAGGGTTTTAGGGGCACTCATTTCTGCCAACCACAAGAGACCCAGGATGATCAAAGCCAGCTCAGTCTGTCTTTCAGAAACAATGTCCTGCCACCGTTGGAAGATGAATACGTGTGGGTGTTTGGAACTGGAGACTAAAATGGGAAGATAACAGTCTCGGGGACCGCCATGTCCCCGTTCGACTCACCGTGTTCCCATCCAACTCACTGTGTCCCCATCCAACTCACCATGTCCCCATCTGACTCACCGTGTCCCCATCCGACTTACCGTGTCCCCATCTGACTCACCGTGGCCCCATCCAACTTACTGTGGCCCCGCTGTGGGCTGTCAGCTCATGCCCAGCACCTGGAGGGGCCACCAGGGAGGCTGAGGGTGAGGGCAGCAGGGCCAGGGCGGGTGGGCAACAGGTGCTCCACCATTTCCCACACCCCCCTCTTCACAGCTGCCCGGGAAGTGGAATCCCAAGTCATGAAAACTGGGAGGGAGGACCCACAGCCAGCGTGGACTGGACCACAGAGAAACATCGGCCCTTGCACTGAGCCTAGAGGCCCACTTCCTGTCGGTGGCACCTCGGCGCCCAAGCTGCTGGTCCCCGGCCAGCCCGAAAGCACACCCAGGAGCACCCTGGACCCCTGAGTTCCCACACCCAGGAGCACCCGGGACCCCTGAGTTCCCAGGCGGGGGTGACGACTCGTTAACTCACGGAATAATGACTTTGCAGACAGAAAAGCACAATGTTTAAAACGGGCTCTGACAGTTTCTACGTGTTATGACAAAAAATCGCTGAGATCAAGTTGGACAGTGTGAAGGAGCTGACACTCTGCAGAGGCTGCAGCTCTGTGGGCATCGAGGGGGTGGCGCTGTGACGGCACTCCAGCAGCTCCTTGTGTGCCGACGGCGGAAGCCACAGGGCAAAGCCCCACAGCACTGTCACCCGCCATCCGGGGCAACCTTGAGGGCCCGCGCACCCCGGATTCCAACACGGATCCCTCTGCCGACAGCAAAACATGCTTCTTCATTGAAAGGTTTTGCCTTAAAAAGTGCATCCCGGGAGGCGGATGGCATTGAAAGTGCCAGTAAGGGGCCACGCTCCTTCCACTGTTTTCCTCAACACAGAGCAAGGCATGAGACCAGGGCGGGAGGGAAGCCAGCGCCTACCTCCACGACGGACTTGGAATCCAGCCGGAAGTTGAAATCACCAAATACAAAGTAGGAAACCTTCTCGAATCGCTGATCAATGATTCTGGAAAGAAAAAGAGGACTTGTTACCGAGGGCGCTGAAGCCGGCCAGCCCTCATGCCCGGCCCCGGTGCTCCTCCACGCTCCCCATCCGCACACTCTCTGTTCTGTCACCTGCTGCAGGGGAACCTCAGTGGTTGCCTCTTTGCACACCCAAAATTCAGCTCTGAGACCACCCCCAATAGAGGTCCACTGAGCAGTGCTCAGCCCTTGGCAACACGGACACGCATCTGTTGCCAGCGACATGGAGGAAGAGGAAAGGCAGAGTCTCAGCTGCCTCCTCACCCACTGGGCCAGGGCAGCGTGAGAGCCTCACGCATGGAAAACCACGGCTGCCCCGAGAACGGGAAAGGGCCGGACAAGGATGCCTGAATAATCCACCACAAACCAAATAATCCACCGCAGAGCTCAGGAAAGGCGGGAGGGAGACAGACGGGAGGAGGGACCGACAGCGGGAGGGAGATGGACGGGGAGGCGCGTGCAGGTGAACCGGCAGGAACCGGAGCCCCCGCTCTCTCCTCCCAGACAGGGATGTCCCCTCAGACCTGTTTTGAAGGTTTACATATGATCTCCACTCGGACGTTTCAAAGTGAGAGGGTAACAGTGGCTGCATACGTGTGTGTATGTTTTTAGCCAGGTACAGCTGTACTCAAGAAAAATTCTTCCTCATATTTTCAATCAATCACAATCAGTTTCCTAAAGGTTTTTCCACTGCGGCTTCCCTTACAGATATAAGCCTGTAAAAAGATCTCAGAAACCGCCAACTCACTCAAACCCCAAATCTCCCCTCAGCGGCTCCAGTCAGTAACGCCGTGAACTGCTTGCTTTTGAGGAGGGCAAGGCACTCAACCCTTCTGGTGTGAAAGCAACACGAGAACCCTTGCAACGTGGCATTGGCCACCAAAACCATCAGTGGAACAGAAACATGTGATCTGTAGACAAAAAAAGGAAATACTCTGGTTGCCAAATTTCCTAATTTCACAGCCCAGAGCCAGGTGGGGCTGCCAGGGCAGGGGCAGGCAGCACAGAGGCTGCCCATCCAACTACGCTGCATTTGGAGATAATAAACTCAGGTTATTAGCCAGGCAAAAGTGAGAGCTTCCAATCAGGTTAACTGCAGGTGTGCACAGCTGTCCACAGGCAGGGAGTGCCAGCCCGGGCAGGTCACTGCTGGGAGCACTGTGCCCTCTTGGAGCTGGTGACAGGGGCATGAGGGGCACGGTAGGGCCCAGTGGGATGAGGCCGGGAGGCAGGGGGCCCAACCAATCACTAACTCAGCCTTTTCCAGCTTGATCCATTCGCTTGAGAAGTAGAAGAATCCCCAAGTGAGCAGATGGTCTCCCGCTTCCCAGTTCTTATGTGGTCTTGTTCTGCGTTGCCCCGCCGCCACCGCTGACACCTCCACCCTCGGGTTGGAGAGCCAAGTGGCCGTGAGGCACCAGCCGGGGCCACCAATGGCTGTGGACCCGCTCTGCACTGTCCAGGGCCTTTAGACCAGAGCGAGGGAGGACGGAGCATCCGTGCAGGTCACACTTTCATGACTGAGTGCGGGTGGAACCATCACCACTGTATTTCACTTTGGCTATGGAGCGTAGGAGTTCATTTCCATCTTAACTTGCACACCCTCAATATTTTTAAATCTACATATCAAAATTTGCATTTTCTCCCGATTTCACCTGTTCACAGCCTGCTGTTCTCTTTGGTTCCTGGCCTTTTCTCTTTGATTCCAGGGGCCTCCCTGTGAGTTCTGGAGAGTAACCCCCATCTGCGGTGAATATGGCGTGTGCTCCTGCTGGCCTGGGGCCCCCCGTGAGTTCTGGAGAGTGACCCCCGTCTGTGGTGAATATGGCGTGTGCTCCTGTCGTCCTGGGGTCTCCCCGTGAGTTCTGGAGAGTGATCCCCGTCTGTGGTGAATACGGCGTGTGCTCCTGTCATCCTGGGGCCTCCCCGTGAGTTCTGGAGAGTGAGTAACCCCTGTCTGTGGTGAATATGGCATGTGCTCCTGCTAGCCTGGGGCCCCCCGTGAGTTCTGGAGAGTGACCCCCGTCTGTGGTGAATATGGCATGTGCACCTGTCATCCTGGGGCCTCCCTGTGAGTTATGGAGAGTGAGTAACCCCCATCTGCGGTGAATATGGCGTGTGCTCCTGTCGTCCTGGGGCCTCCCTGTGAGTTCTGGAGAATGAGTAACCCCCATCTGCGGTGAATATGGTGTGTGCTCCTGCTGGCCTGGGGCCTCCTTGTGAGTTCTGGAGATTGAGTAACCCCCGTCTGTGGTGAACACGTGCTCCTGCTGGCCTGGGGCTGGCCTTTCCGTTTTGCCTGTGGTGGCTTCTGTCAGGCAAAAGTTTTAATTTCCATATAGTCACATGTATCAGTTTCCCCTGTGGCTGAGACACCTGCCCCAGTCCCCACGCGGGCATGGAGCCCCCACCTTCATCTTTATGGTAGAGTTTTAAGGGTTATCCTTTAATCCATCCGGAATTAAGGTGTAGAGCAGGGATCTAAGTTCATCGATTTCCCAAGCGGACGGTCAATTGATCGGCACCATTTATTCAACGTGTCCCATCTTCCCACCAAGTCTGTATCTCAACACAACATTCCCAGCGGCACGGGTTTTTTTGAGACAATCTATTCTTTTCTGCAGATCTTTTAAAAAATCAATTCCTGCATGCTTTTAATTAGTACAACTTTTTATAGGGAAGTCCTTCTTGTTGACAGTTCTTTCAAAAATGGTCCCAGCTATTTCGTGCTCCTCTTGCCTGTTAATTGCTATAGTTTGGCTTGGCAAAGCCCACGAAAGTCTTGTTTACCTTTTTAATTGGAATTCCTTCCACTTTAGGTTAAATCTCAGTTGTAACAAGTTTGATCTATTCTAGTGTGATTTGCTTAAACGAGCCCCAAGCTCTGCCCAGGAGAAAGGGAAGCGCTTGCTGTGTCCCGTGAGCACAGAAAGCTCGGAGGGTGCATGGAGGAAGACAGAGGGCCCTGTGCTCCGAGACCCCAGGAGAGCGGCAGCCCGGGGCACAGAGGCTCCCGAGGGAGGGCGGCAACGCCCGCCGGCCAGCGGGCAGGATGCAGCCAGCCAAGCCCAGGTGTAGGCGAGACCACAAGATACCAAAGCCATCCCCACATGGCCAATCCCCACACGGCCAATCCCCACACAGCCAATCCCCACATGGCCAATCCCCACAAAACCAATCCCCACACGGCCAATCCCCACAAAACCAATCCCCACACGGCCAATCCCCACATGGCCAATCCCCACACGGCCAATCCCCACACGGCCAATCCCCACATGGCCAATCCCCACATGGCCAATCCCCACACGGCCAATCCCCACACGGCCAATCCCCACATGGCCAATCCCCACACGGCCAATCCCCACATGGCCAAGCATCTGTGTGCGGTGTCGCAGGAACAGACGCGGCCGTCAGTTGGCTAAACAAACAGCAGAACCCTGACGGAACAAACTCTAATGAGTTCCCCAGTGCGGAGAGAGAGGAAATGCGGCCTCCCGGCTGGCCCTCACTCCACTGACCGAGTTTCCTCTCTCAATACTCTGGGGTGCCGCCTCACAGGAGGCCCTGCCCAGGCCTGGCTGCTCCTTCTTCCCGAGAAAGCCGCCAGGCGACGCACCAGGTGGGCCTGCAACGCCCTGGAGACGCCGCGTCATCGTCCTGTCTGGAATCCTGCAGGATCATCATGAAACCCTAAACTGGATCACACTTCCTCGCCCTGCTCTGCTGACAGAACAGCTTGAGCCCATTAATAACAGCAGCTGCCTCTAAAGGGTGCACGGCGGCCGCAAGACGAAGGGGCTGTCACGGCCGAGGCAATCACCTGAGTGCCAGCCCCGCTGCCCTCCCAGAGCTCACTTTCAATTTCAATATAGTGCCATTTGGAGCAGGAGAAAAAAAAACAGTTGTTCTAAAATTAATTACCTTGTCAGTAGCTATTATGATTAAAACGTAGGCCCACATCAATATCATGTGCCTAATTCAAAAAGAGAATTACAAGAAGAGCCATAAAAATCAATTTTTTAGGCCTTGAAAATGGGTGTCTCTCTCTGTTTTGACAAGTGGTCTCATTACGCGGCGGAGGCACTGGGAGGAGGGGCTGCCTCATCGTCCCAGCAGCTGCTCCACCGCGACGGCTGGGGGGCTCGTCAGCGTGTCTCCAGGACAACTGCGACCTCACGACACCGCAGATTAAAGACTTAGGGAGAGTCACGGGTTGAACGTTCCGAATTACATTTCCAACAGCGGGCGCTTCCCTAACACAGCAGTGGGAACCGGGCGCGAGGCTGCTGGGGCCTGGGACACCGTGGGAGGCCCCACGGTGACAGGGCAGGTGGCGGGAGAGCGTCATCGGCAGTCTCACTGGGGCCCTAAAAAATATCAGACTCGAATGGGGCTAGTTTTTTTTCCCCCAAGGAGGAGCTAGTGCAGTGTGGGAAGCAAACTGGCCGTGAGACATTCATCCAACCAGGACACCTAACTTGCTAGGAGTTGGTTTTTTTCCTTCTTTCCTTTTTTATTTTTTAACCCCTGAAAGCGACCGTAGCTGAAACCTTTGGCACTGTATTTTTAAAGGCCTAAGTTGTGTACAATTGGGAATCTATTAAAGTTGGTTTGTTTCTCTGCTATGGTAGAGACCACATTCTCTGATCAAACAACTTTACATAAGCAAAAACATCGACAGTATAAAATTACTAAAACTACTGAGAATATTTTAGTTAATCGCTTAAAAGTTTCTCTTAATAATCATAAACACCTCACTGCATGGTTCATCGCAGATGTGTTTAAGCCACTTTAAATAAACTCATCCCCCCAAAATAAACATACCAGCCTGTTTATTTTTACCTTCCTAGAAACTGCTGGACTATTTTTCATGACTTCACTTTTTACTCCACCCACTGTGAGCTCTACCCCCATAAAGCCTCAAGCCCTCAGGGTGAATCTCCCAGCACCACAGACGCAGGCAAGACAGCCATCTAAGGCGCCCCCAGACAGAACCTAGGCACCACAGAACCCGCAAGACAGCCGTCTCAGGTGCCCAGACAGAACCCAGGCACCACAGAACCCTGAAGACAGCAGTCTAAGGCGCCCAGACAGAACCCAGGCACCACAGAACCCGCAAGACAGCTGTCTAAGGTGCCCAGACAGAACCCAGGCACCACAGAACCCTGAAGACAGCTGTCTAAGGTGCCCAGACAGAACCCAGGTACCACAGAACCCTGAAGACAGCCGTCTAAGGTGCCCAGACAGAACCCAGGCACCACAGAAACCGCAAGATAGCCGTCTAAGGCCCCCAGACAGAACCCAGGCACCACAGAACCCTGAAGACAGCCGTCTAAGGCGCCCAGACAGAACCCAGGTACCACAGAACCCTGAAGCCAGCCGTCTAAGGCACCCAGACAGAACCCAGGCACCACAGAACCCTGAAGACAGCTGTCTAAGGCGCCCCCAGAAAGAATCCAGGTACCACAGAACCCGCAAGACAGCCGTCTAAGGCGCCCAGACAGAACCCAGGCACCACAGAACCCGCAAGACAGCTATCTAAGGTGCCCAGACAGAACCCAGGCACCACAGAACCCTGAAGACAGCAGTCTAAGGCGCCCCCAGAAAGAACCCAGGTATCACAGAACCCTGAAGACAGCCGTCTATGGCGCCCAGACAGAACCCAGGTACCACAGAACCCTGAAGACAGTCGTCTAAGGCTCCTCCAGGCAGAACCCAGGTACCACAGAACCCTGAAGACAGCCATCTAAGGCCCCCAGACAGAACCCAGGTACCACAGAACCCTGAAGACAGTCGTCTAAGGTGCCCAGACAGAACCCAGGCACCACAGAACCCGCAAGACAGCCGTCTAAGGCGCCCAGACAGAACCCAGGCACCACAGAACCCGCAAGACAGCCGTCTAAGGCGCCCAGACAGAACCCAGGTACCACAGATCCCTGAAGACAGCCGTCTAAGGTGCCCAGACAGAACCCAGGTACCACAGAACCCGCAAGACAGCCATCTAAGGCGCCCAGACAGAACCCAGGTACCACAGAACCCGCAAGACAGCCGTCTAAGGCGCCCAGACAGAACTCAGGCACCACAGAACCCTGAAGACAGCTGTCTAAGGTGCCCCCAGAAAGAACCCAGGTACCACAGAACCCTGAAGACAGCCGTCTAAGGTGCCCAGACAGAACCCAGGTACCACAGAACCCTGAAGACAGCCGTCTAAGGTGCCCAGACAGAACCGAGGTACCACAGAACCCTGAAGACAGTCGTCTAAGGTGCCCAGACAGAACCCAGGCACCAAAGAACCCGCAAGACAGCTGTCTAAGGCACCCAGACAGAACCCAGGTACCACAGAACCCTGAAGACAGCCGTCTAAGGCGCCCAGACAGAACCCAGGTACCACAGAACCCGCAAGACAGCCGTCTAAGGTGCCCAGACAGAACCCAGGTACCACAGAACCCTGAAGACAGCTGTCTAAGGCGCCTCCAGAAAGAACCCAGGCACCACAGAACCCGCAAGACAGCCGTCTAAGGCACCCAGACAGAACCCAGGCACCACAGAACCCGCAAGACAGCCGTCTAAGGTGCCCAGACAGAACCCAGGTGCCACAGAACCCACAAGACAGCCGTCTAAGGTGCCCAGACAGAACCCAGGTACCACAGAACCCTGAAGACAGCCATCTAAGGTGCCCGGACAGAACCCAGGTACCACAGAACCCGCAAGACAGCCGTCTAAGGCGCCCAGACAGAACCCAGGTACCACAGAACCCACAAGACAGCCGTCTAAGGCGCCCAGACAGAACCCAGGCACCACAGAACCCTGAAGACAGCTATCTAAGGTGCCCCCAGAAAGAACCCAGGTACCACAGAACCCTGAAGACAGCCGTCTAAGGTGCCCAGACAGAACCCAGGTACCACAGAACCCTGAAGACAGCCGTCTAAGGCGCCCAGACAGAACCGAGGTACCACAGAACCCTGAAGACAGTCGTCTAAGGTGCCCAGACAGAACCCAGGCACCACAGAACCCACAAGACAGCCGTCTAAGGCACACAGAAAGAACCCAGGTACCACAGAACCCTGAAGACAGCCGTCTAAGGCGCCCAGACAGAACCCAGGTACCACAGAACCTGCAAGACAGCCGTCTAAGGTGCCCAGACAGAACCCAGGTACCACAGAACCCGCAAGACAGCTGTCTAAGGCGCCTCCAGAAAGAACCCAGGCACCACAGAACCCGCAAGACAGCCGTCTAAGGCACCCAGACAGAACCCAGGCACCACAGAACCCGCAAGACAGCCGTCTAAGGCGCCCAGACAGAACCCAGGTACCACAGAACCCGCAAGACAGCCGTCTAAGGTGCCCAGACAGAACCCAGGTACCACAGAACCCTGAAGACAGCCGTCTAAGGTGCCCAGACAGAACCCAGGTACCACAGAACCCGCAAGACAGCCGTCTAAGGCGCCCAGACAGAACCCAGGTACCACAGAACCCTGAAGACAGCCGCCTAAGGCGCCCAGACAGAACCCAGTTGCCACAGAACCCTGAAGACAGCTGTCTAAGGTGCCCAGACAGAACCCAGGTACCACAGAACCCCCAAGACAGTCGTCTAAGGTGCCCAGACAGAACCCAGGTACCACAGAACCCGCAAGACAGCCGTCTAAGGCACCCAGACAGAACCCAGGTACCACAGAACCCTGAAGACAGTCGTCTAAGGTGCCCAGACAGAACCCAGGTACCACAGAACCCGCGAGACAGCCGTCTAAGGCGCCCAGACAGAACCCAGGTACCACAGAACCCGCAAGACAGTCGTCTAAGGCGCCCAGACAGAACCCAGGTACCACAGAACCCGCAAGACAGTCGTCTAAGGCGCCCAGACAGAACCCAGGTACCACAGAACCCGCAAGACAGCCGTCTAAGGCGTCCAGACAGAACCCAGGCACCACAGAACCCTGAAGACAGCCGTCTAAGGTGCCCAGACAGAACCCAGGTACCACAGAACCCGCAAGACAGCTGTCTAAGGTGCCCAGACAGAACCGAGGTACCACAGAACCCTGAAGACAGTCGTCTAAGGTGCCCAGACAGAACCCAGGTACCACAGAACCCGCCAGACAACCGTCTAAGGCGCTCAGACAGAACCCAGGCACCACAGAACCCTGAAGACAGCATCTAAGGCGCCCAGACAGAAACCAGGCACCACAGAACCCTGAAGACAGTCGTCTAAGGTGCCTAGACAGAACCCAGGTACCACAGAACCCTGAAGACAGTCGTCTAAGGTGCCCAGACAGAACCCAGGTACCACAGAACCCGCAAGACAGCCATCTAAGGCGCCCAGAGAGAACCCAGGCACCACAGAACCCTGAAGACAGCCGTCTAAGGCGCCCAGACAGAACCCAGGTACCACAGAACCCGCAAGACAGTCGTCTAAGGCGCCCAGACAGAACCCAGGCACCACAGAACCCTGAAGACAGCTGTCTAAGGTGCTCAGACAGAACCCAGGTACCACAGAACCCTGAAGACAGCTGTCTAAGGCGCCCCCAGAAAGAACCCAGGTACCACAGAACCCGCAAGACAGCCGTCTAAGGTGCCCAGACAGAACCCAGGTACCACAGAACCCTGAAGACAGCCGTCTAAGGCGCCCAGACAGAACCCAGGTACCACAGAACCCTGAAGACAGCTGTCTAAGGCGCCCAGACAGCTCCCAGGTACCACAGAACCCTGAAGACGGCCGTCTAAGGCACCCAGACAGAACCCACGCACCACAGAACCCGCAAGACAGCCGTCTAAGGCGCCCAGACAGAACTCAGGTACCACAGAACCCTGAAGACAGCTGTCTAAGGCGCCCCCAGAAAGAACCCAGGTACCACAGAACCCGCAAGACAGCCGTCTAAGGTGCCCAGACAGAACCCAGGTACCACAGAACCCTGAAGACAGCCGTCTAAGGCGCCCAGACAGAACCCAGGTACCACAGAACCCGCAAGACAGCCGTCTAAGGTGCCCAGACAGAACCCAGGTACCACAGAACCCTGAAGACAGTCGTCTAAGGTGCCCAGACAGAACCCAGGTACCACAGAACCCTGAAGACAGCTGTCTAAGGCGCCCAGACAGAACCCAGGCACCACAGAACCCGCAAGACAGCCGTCTAAGGCGCCCAGACAGAACCCAGGCACCACAGAACCCTGAAGACAGCTGTCTAAGGCGCCCCCAGAAAGAACCCAGGTACCACAGAACCCACAAGACAGCCGTCTAAGGCGCCCTCAGACAGAACCCAGGTACCACAGAACCCTGAAGACAGTCGTCTAAGGCTCCTCCAGGCAGAACCCAGGCAGATGGCGGGATGTTCTGAAGCAGCAGGGTCAGCCTCAGGGCTAGCAGAGCCCCCAAAGTGCCTGGGGCAGCCAGGCTGCTCACTGGGTGGAGTCACAGCAACCACTGCTCTTGAGGAAGCTCCTTGACCAACCCGCTGATCCCCAGTGCCGCACCCAAAGGCCCCCTGACTTCCCCACCCAGTGAGTCCCAGCCTCGGAGCCCCAACCCTTTAGGGGCCAGCACCTGAGGTCACGGGGGTGGGGGAGGGAGGCGGGGCCCTGATGCAAGAGGAAGGGTGTCCTTGTAAAAGAGGAAGACACCAAAAGCTCACCTTCCCTCCCTCCCTCCCTCCACCACGTGAGGACGCAGTGAGAAGGCGGCCGTCTGCAAGCTGTCACCAGAACTCAGATCTCAAACTGAGAACTAAGGTCGGCTGCAAAGCCCCGCCACAGAGTTGTGTTGCGGTGGGCGGGGCTGAGATGGCCTCTGGACCTCAGCCTTGGGGCTGGGGGCATCCTGGGCCCCAGCAGTATGTGCCTTCTCAGTGTCTGGCACCTTTTAAAGCCCACACTCCCTTCGATGAGTCCATCCCCACATCAAGTGCTCTCGGGCAGAGTCGTGCGGGGAGCCCCGTGCAGGGCGGCAGGAGGGCTGTGCAGGGCTCTCCTTCGGCAGCCGCCGCTCTCATGCTCTCCACACGGAGCATCGCCATTTTACTTTTGTTTTTCTCACTCTGAGACCCACCCTCTCAAACTCTGCTTGGACACCGCCATAAACCACAAAAACTGGTGCGGCACAGAAGTGCCTCAACCTCCAGGACCCCCCACTCCTCTCCAGCTAGCAGAAAACACAACTGGCTGAGATGCCAGTGGTGACGCTGGGGTTCAGGGTGTGGAAAGGACCAGCGGGAGTGGAGACACACGGCCCCCATGGCCCAGCACAGGCATCGTCCTGTCTGCCACCAAAGGGCCGGGAACCACCCAAACGCTCTCCAGACAGCCGGCAGCGAGTCCCATGACCGAGCACCGTGGCTGGAGCTCGTGGAGACGTCCGGCAGACTCCGTTCACAGGATGCTGGACATGTTGGTCACAGGCGATGACATGTGTAAAGACATAAACCACACACAGGCGTCACAGCAACGTCACGTCGACGCTTGCCTCCAGCTGGCACATAATAAAAGTACAGAAACATCCGTGCCTGTGTCACAAGAGGCCAGAAAGCTGCAAAGGAGCGACAGGTGCTGAATTCAGGCTGATGCTGGGGGCCAGGATGGGGTTCAGGATGGAGGACGGGGCACCTGCGGGCCCACATGGTTTGTTTCTTAAGGAAAGGAAACATGCGGAGAACGTGCAGGGTGCGTGGCGGGTGCAGGCGCTGCCCCTGCATCTGCATAGCGGCACCACCTTTCTTGGCTCTTGACTCCATGTTCAACAAAATGAAGATCGCAGCCATGGATCAGCTGAGGCACAGGCGAAAGGAGCCCCTCCTGCCGGGCAGCAGTGGACCGACCACGCCCTGGAGAGGCTAAGGCGACACAGAGGCAGCGGGCTTCACGGCAGCGGAACGGCAGAGGGCACGGGCTTGTGCTGCCAGGAGTCCCGGGCATGCGGAGGGACACCACAGGGTGCCTGGTGGGCTCCACAGACACATGACCTCGGCCACCCTGAGGTCTCCGAGTCTGAGAAAGCCTGATTGGGACGAGCCCACGACCAGCAAGAGCCTGTGAGCTGTTCTCCGAGGCCAGCGGGAGTGTGAGGAGCGCGAGAACCAGCCCTGTGGCCAGGAGCGCTCAGGGTGACCCAGATCTTTAATGCCGAGTTTGCCTTTGCCTGGAGACGCAGCAGCTTTTCTTTACTGGCTGCACAGCAAGGCAAGTTCTGGGAACGTCTAAAGAGAAACATTTAGGTTGGGGGCTCTTTGAGCGGCTGACAGCTAACTGATGGCCCTCCATAAAGCCACAAAGCGGGGCTGGGGCGCGGGCATCACGTCACCTCTCCCTGGGAAACTAATTGCTTGGAATTGTTCAGAAGAACATTATTTTTCTGGCAATCATTTCCTTTGAATGCCCAAAATGAGCATGAAACAACTCTTTTGACTGGACATAAAAGTTAAATGTCCCAATGTTGATCAAATTAACTTCAGCGCCATGACAATGGACTGTATTTGTGAGAAAATAATGGGGGGACAAAGGGGTGCTTTATGCCGAGATTTCACAGTTGTAATGTAAAATGTTTCTGTTGAACTAGCCCAGGCCACATTTCAGAGGGGAGACAAAGAGTCCCGTCACTTATGGGAAAATCTCCTTTCCAGCTGAAAGCTCAGGAAGGTTTCGGGACGCCTCAGTGGATGGTGCCTAGGAAGGCTGACGTGCACCTCTGGCTCAGCCCCCAGATGCCCCCCAAGGGCTGACCTGTGTGTCCAGGAGAGGGACCGGGGCTGCCCCCAACACGGGCTGAGTGCTCGGCGCCTCCAAGAGCCACACAAGGGTGTGCACGGCCCGGCCTCACCCAGGGTCCAGGACCCCAGCCCAGCACAGATGCCGCCAACACCTGCCCAGAGCCTGGTCCTCCTCACTCATTAGGGATTTGTCTTCTTTTTAAACTTCTCATAACAAGAGGTTAACAGCAACAATTTCAAAAATTACACACAAAAAAGTAAAGGTTCGCATCTGTGATAAGAAGTCCAGTGGAGCCCTGTGACTGGCTGTGGTGGTGGCAGGCACCCCGCAGCACTCGCCCTGGGGCTGCTTCTGAAGACTTTAACTCAGAGCTTGTCTCTCAGTTGTTTTACAATCATCTTCCTACTCTGGAATGCGTTTAGGTTTAGAGCAACGGTGCGAAGGTCCTACGGTGCCTCTGGGTTTTAACCTGGCCTGCATCCTCCTCCAGGGCTGGGACCTGCCCTCCCTCCTGGGCCTGGTGCTGCCGGCCCCGCAGCTGATACGGGACATGGACCTGGGAAGCCGCGCGGGGAGATTAAACCAGGAAGAGGCTGCAGGAGCCTCCTCGCTGTCTCCCTGCGGGGCAGACAATGTGCGCCCGGTTCCCAACGCCGTGAATGGGGCCCCGTTGGTGGCAGCGTCCATTCAGAGGCCGCGCGGCATTGTCCTGCCCGATCCGCACAGCAGAATGTGGTCTGCTGGTGGCTGCCAAGAGGTTAGCAGCCGCGGTGAAAGGGCGACCCATTGTTCCAGACTCCGACAGAGCCGCCCTTTGTGTTGCGCGGCCCGCCCCACGCCGCGGAGGTCCGGATCTGCGGCTGGCTGAGCGCGCCGCAGGAGCCATTCATGGGAATGCAGAGACGCAGAAAAGTGGCCCAAAAGCCCAAAGGCTGCTTTCTTGAGGCCGCGGAGCCATGGCAGCGAGGGGCAATGACACATTTTAATGCCATGCCATGCTGACAACCTAACCGCTGTCACCAAGACCCAACAGCAGACACGGCAGGGCCCTCCCTGCTCCTGGGCTCCGTGGGAGGTCCCCGAGACGCTTGGTGCCTGCAAGCCGAGGGCTGATCAGGCAGGAAGAACCGCGCCGCTCCTGTGGGTGAGGCCCTTCTCCCTGGGCGACTGACATGCTGTCCAGGGAGGGCGCCCAGGGCACAGGCGGTCATCAGTCACTTTGTCGCTGACAAAGCCCCAGGCCCCCATCCCCCACCTGTGCTGCTTCCCTACGGTGGGCAGTTGAGAGCACAGTCCCCAGGCTCAGACCGATCCCTGCCTCGGTGTCAGTGCCAGCTCCAGAGATATCCGGGAGGCCGGACAGGTCCCCTGCAGAGGGTGTGGCCGTGCACAGGGCTGAGGGCCGGCCTCAGTGTGTGGCCACGAGCACAGCAGCACCCAGGCCTCGCAGTTGCCACCCTCCCCGGGACCAGGCTAGTGGCAGGGGACCAGGGCTCCATCACTCTGGAGACGGAGGTCAGGGGCGGTCAGAGGGGATAAGGGGCCACGCCTCAGGGCCCTCAGCAAGGGCCAGATGCAGAGGAGAGCCAAGGCCATATACCCGCTAATAACAGCACAGGGATGGGAGCCCAGCCCAGACTCCTTGTGCAGAGCCCTGTGGGGAACCCGGGAGGATCGTGAAGGCGGCAGGCAAGGAGCCACGCAGGCCACACTCACCACAGCAGCAGACGGAGCCAGCATTCAGGAGGGGCCCCATCAGCTCCAACTCCCCCTGGAGCCACACCTACTGGAGAATGCAGCCTTCCACCCCTTCCTCAGGATGCACAGTGCTGAGCTATGACAGGTACACACTTATGTGCACATGCACCCACACCTGTACACCTACACACACGTGTGCACACCCATACCTACACACATACATGTGCACATACCCACAAATGCACACACACCCGCACACACACATACACATGCACTCCACACACCCACAACCTGCATGCACACATACCCACATGTACCTGCACACATATCCAACCCACGTGCATATGCTCTCCCCACATATGCACACACACCCACACACACGCACACATACATACATACACCCCAGCACACATGCATACACCTTAGCACACATGCATCCACACAGATCCACATGCACCCACACACCCACACGCCCACACCCATGCATGCACACACCCACACACATGCACACACCTACAGGCACATGCACACCCACACAGGCCTACACATCGACACGTACCCCCACACAAGCCTACACATATGCACCCACACGAGGCCCCACACACATGCACACATGCATCAGTGCACCCCTGCACACATGCACACACCCAAATACACAGACACATGCACCTACACACACACCTACACATGCATACACCTGCACTCACATGCACCCACACATGCATATACCCACTCACATGCACCCACACATGCATATACCCACTCACATGCACCCACACATGCATATACCCACACACACATGCACCCACACACCCGCGCACACATACACCCGCACTCACATGCAGCCACACAAGTGCACTCACATGTGTCCACGTGTGCACACACAATGCAACCCCCACACCCCTGCAAGTGTGCACACACCCAAATAGACATGTACCCACACACATCCACACCACACATGCACCCACACACACCCACACACGCGTGCACACACATATGTATGCACTCGTGCACCCACACATGCACACACAAGCATCCACACACATGCACACACGAACACACACACGCAGATGTGCGCACACCCACCCCCACACAAACCCCACAAGCAACTGTGCATACACTCACATGCATGTGCATGTGTGCACACACACAATTACATACATAATTGCATGCACACAAGGTGTGCACACTCAGGCATGCACACACGCACAGGCACACACATGCACACTGAACACTATCCTTACAAGGCACTATTAGGAGGCAGGGACCTGCTGGCTGCTGTTCTCCTTCATAACCCCACCTGCCTTAGGGACCCCTCAGGACGTGGGTCTTGGGTAGAAATGTGCTCCACACAGTCCCCAGGGGTGCCTCTCATAGGACTCTCCCACTCCTGCTCTTGAGCATCTGACGGCGCTGGTCACATACCACACATGACTCTGGGGCAGGGGCCCCACCCACGGACCCCTCCACATGGACTGCTCCTCCCACTGTCTTCCCCAGGAAGCCTCCCAGAGGCTCAGAGGGTACCAGGCCCTGCCCAGCCTCCTCCCTCTCTGGGTCCAGACCTCAGTGCCTGCCAATCCCTGCCTCTGCCTGTGCAGCCCCAGGCAGTTGTGACTGCCCCAGGGACAGTGGTGGCCTGGGAATGACTCAGTTATTCTGCTCTGCACAAGTCCAGGCTAAGACAGGTGTGGGTGGGAGAGAACCGGCCCCGGGAACAGAAGGTCGGCGTCTGAGGATGCCAGCTGCTGGAAGGTGGGCGAGGCGCAGGGCAGCTCCAGGCCCTCGCACGCTTAGTCGGGAGTGTAACTCCGCATTCTGCACGCACGGGGGCTGGGCGGGGGCTCAGGTCAGGGGCCCTCTAGGGAGCAGAATGGGGTTCAGGTGGAAATCAGGGACCACCCCAGGGCAGAACTGCTGGTCTCAGGCCTGTGTTCATCACTGCTGCAAGCCCAAGCTGACGGAGCACTGTCTTGTCAACCACAGGGATGCTGGCGGGAAAGGTTTCCATGACAGGCCTAACTGGAATGGGCAGAGAATAAACCCAGACTGCCTGGCTGTGGGGCCTGAGCTTCAGCAAAAGGCCCAGCTGTAGATGGGGAGGGACACGGGCCCCAAGATCAGACACATCCCACCAATGGGGGTCCCCTGCTTCCCAGTGACAGCCCGTCATCTCCACAGTATCACCGGTGGAGCAGCCCGGAGCACTGGGGGGCAGGGGCCCAGGCGCAGGTGGAGGTGGCCCCCACGCTCCCACTGACTCTTCAGTGTCCTATTCACCTCCCACCACAGCACCCCATGGCACCGTTTTCTTATCTTTCCCACAAAAAAGTCAGAGAGAAAGTGAAGCCATCCCCATCCAAGTCCATTGTGAGGGTGCAGCTCCAGCCTTTGCCAGGGCTTGGGGGCTCTGCCACCTCCATGGGGCAACTCCAGTAAGGCCCATCGGCAAATCAGCAAGCGCAGAGCAGAGTGTGCCTCCCAGAGCAGGCACAGCCTTTCCCAGTGGCCAACAGGGTGAGTGGACACACCGACCTGCCCACCCACCTACCCGCCCGCCCACACCTACCTCTCCACCCATACCTATACCTGCCCAGCACACCTACCTCTCCACCCATACCTATACCTGCCCAGCACACCTACCTCTCCACTCACACCTACCTGCCCAGCACACCTACCTCTCCACTCACACCTACCTGCCCAGCACACCTACCTGCCATCCACACCTACCTCTCCATCCACACCGACCTGTCCACTCACACCTACCTGCCCAGCACACCTACCTGCCATCCATACCTACCTCTCCATCCACACTGACCTGTCCACCCCACCTACCTGTCCACCCACACCGACCTGCCCAGCATACCTACTTGTCCGCCCACACCTACCTCTCCACTCACACCTGCCTGCCCAGCACACCTACTTGCCCGGCCCACGCCTACCTGCCCGCCCACACCTACCTGTCCAGCACGTAGCCCAGTGCCTTGTGCCGGATTCCCGAGTACACGGAAGGGCTTGTTTCCCAGGCGACCAGATTGGAAGCATCATGGAAAAGATGGATATTCACCAAGTCAAAGGCACTGCAACCAAAAGAGAAAAGGACACGTCACCAAGGGCCGGAGCCTCCGGGTCACACTTCGTTCTCCCAAGGAGTCCCCGGGAAGATAAGACCTGCACTGGCCTCCGCCGTGCGGAGCCACCCGAGGCGGGGCACCTGTCCACCCACCTGTCTTCCGACAAGGCCAGAGGTCAGGAAACCTCCAGTGAAGTCTGAATATGTCTTTACAAATGCAGTTACTCTGGGCAACTAAAAAGTGAGCTACTTTTCTTTAAAGAGAAAAACTTACAGGTGACTATGGAAACTCTCCCTGATGGCTAAGCTAAGAGGAAGGGCCACCCCTCAGCCTCAGCTGATGCTGCTCAGGGCTGCCGGCTGCACCCATCGGGGACCCTGTAAGGCAGGGTTGGGGGCACAGGGACAGGCAAGAAGAGTGCTTCATTTCACTCCCAAAGGGAAGACCCTTGGGAAGCCCCGTGGGCCGGCTGTGGGCCTGCAGGCACATGGACTCGGCAAGGCCTGATCAAGGCCTGAGCCTCTGTCACACTGCAGGGGACCCTCAGCACCTTCAGCTGGCAAGGACGTGCCCTCTCACCAGGGGAGGTCAGTGCAGGGCTTGGCACAGTCTGGACACTGTCCCACAAAGCCCTCACTGCCTGCGTGTCCTCCACAGGCTCCAAGACCTGGCCGTCTCCCTACCAGGAGGCGCCAGGAATGAGTGCGTGCAGGCGGTCTTGCCCTCCTCCAGCCTGTGGCCCAGCTGCCACAATGACCCCGATGACGCTGCCTGGTGAACGTGCCCCATGTGCCCCCACACCATGCCAAGGCTGTTCCCTGTGACCAACAGCAAAGGGCAGCCTGCAGCCTGCACTGCCTGGGGTGGGCACGGGACCGCGGCTCCTTCTCAGCTCCCTCTGTCCTCCCCCTCCCTCTTCTTCCTCTTTCTCTCCCCCTCCTTCCTCCCTCCTCCTCTCTTCCCCCTCCCCATTCTCCTCTCCTACCCTTCTCTCTCACTCTTCCCCCACCTCCTTCTTTTCCCCCTCCCCCTCCTTCCCCCATCCCCTCCTCCTCCCCCTCCTCCCCCCTCCCTCCCTCCATCCCCCTCACTTTCTGGACTCTTGCTCCTCCTGGGGATGTCCTGCCCTGAGCAGCCCCAGGGAGAGGCCCGAGGGGGAGGGGCAGAAACCCCTGCCCACAGCCCCAGTGAGCTCGGAGATGAGTCCTCTGGAAGCCCCAAGGTGACCAGGGCCAGAGCCCCAGAAAAGCCACTCCTGGGTCCTGAGACACTCACAGCTATGACCTCGTATGTGTTTTTAAAGCTGCTAAGTTTAGGGCGGTCTGTTACATGGCAGCAGATAATCAAGCAGCCAAGTTTTGGAAAATCCATGAAAAGAAAATGAAAACAGTATTCAAATGAGATGTGATGGCTGGAGGGACACGTTGGGGAGCCACCTGGAAGCCACCTTAGGAAAGCAGATAACAGGTTTCTGTTTCTTATGATGCAGAAAAGGTGGGGCGGCGCTATCGAGAACATGTTCACTGCAGAAAGGCCAGGCCAGAGGATATGTGGATGAGACGCAGGCTCCGCTACGTCTGTGCTCAGTCTGCTGATGGACCAGGCTGCCAGGCAGCGCTTACGCCGTCTCACTGGGCAGCCACAGGGCCCCAGTACTAGGGGGCCTCCCTGCTGACTTCTCTGTGCAGCGGGCTCTGGCCAGCGGAACTCTCCAGCTGCGGGGAGGGACTGGGGCCGTCACTGTGTCTCCATTGGCACTGGGCACCCAGATGTCTGACTTACAGGGAACAGTGACAATGCTCCGAATGCATCGCCGTGAACCAAAAGGGTCAGAGTGGCAGGTGGGGGTCAGGCAGCTGGGGGTCCTCATGCAAAATCAGTAGAGCCTCCAATGAGGTGTGTGGAACATGCCGCTGGTGCAAGATATAAAAGGGTAAGAAACGTTATGGAAATTGACAAAGCACAGACACCACGTACCAGTCTGCAATGCACCACCTCGTCCGGATGAAGCCTTTTCTTGACCATTTGCACTGAAAAATAAACACGTCACACAAATGAGCCAGAGTAAGTGAGCAAGAGCAACACGTGGGTCCCACACACCTAAAGGACACAGGAGATGCTTTCCAAACAAAAAACAGCAGGGCTCTTCCGGCACTGATGCCGCCCCACTAAAGAGAACCGAGCTGTGCACCTATCCTCAAGTGGGGCTTCGCACAGAGATGCCTGCAGGGGCTGCTGATGCCCAGCCTGGGGTGGGGTGGGGGGAAGATATGAAGAAACGTGCCAGCCTGCCGCCTGTGAGCCCCATGCCCCCATGTGAGAGCAGCTGCAGGGAAACCACTGTCACCACAGATGCTGATCAGGGAGCTCGAGACACACGGCCGCCCTCGGCTGGACCACAGGGAAGACTTGAGCAGCCGTGCCCAGCCAGGCGTCCTGGACAGTGGGTGACCTGCCCACCCCAACAGTGTGTGTGGTCTCTCACTGATCCCCACCACCCACCGATGCCTCTCACCCACCGATGCCGTTCACCCACCGATGCCTCTCACCCACCGATGCCTCTCACTGATCCCCACCACCTAGCAGAGCCACCGAACGTAGAGCCTGAGCTCTGGTCTAAAAGTACCCCCAAAATTCAAGTGAAACAGTCAACAGCATGAGATTCCAAAGAGGGGTGTTCTTTAAGAGGTGGCAGGGCTCCCCTCGAGATGGCATGGAGGCCCTCCTGCCCTCCCACCTCCCACCATGGTAGGTTCCTCTGCTGGGCCACCCAGTACAGCAGTGGCCAGCCACCGGGGCCACCGAGCGTGCAAAGTGTATGACTGAAGAACTGAATTTTAGATTCCATTTTATCTTCATTAATTTTAATTTAAACAGCCATGCAGAACAGGGTAGCTTCACAGCCTAGGCCTCTTGGGAAACCCTTGAAAACCACAGAAGGCACTGGGAAGAGGCTGACAGAGTCAAGTCCAAGGTCCACAAAGCAAAGCGCTTCAGGCAGTGGCGGGGGAACGGCAGCCAACAGGGCAGGGCACCGCCCATTCCGTTCCCAGCAGCAGCCATATGCCTGGCGCCATCGGGGGCGGAGGTGGACAGGGGCTGCTGTTCTTGGTGCTCATGGGCTGGCAGAGAAGGAAAGCAGGACAGGGAAGACCCTGTCTCCTCCACCACACCCTAAGGTCTGCTGAGGAGATGAAAGCAGATGGGAATCTGGAGTTAACTGTGGACGAAACACCCGTGAAGAAAGGGTCCAGCGTGGCGTGCTCCCTCTATCTAACACGGAGAGCGCAGTGATCAGAGGCTCTCCCTTTGACCCCACCTTGCCACTGGCCACCGTCCCCTTTGGCTCCTCCAGTATGCGCACGTGCCAGACAACAGCTGCCCAAATGCTCTCTGCAAGGTCACCACAGCCTCCACAGGCAAACTCCTACAGACACTCGCCCTTCATCTCGCCTGGCCTGTTGGCGGCACCTGGCAGCACAGTGGCTCCTGCAGCCCTGTCTCCTTCTCCTGGTCCCCATCCAGCACAGTGGCCCCTGCAGCCCCGTCTCCTTCTCCCTGTCTCCCTCCAGGACAGTGGCCCCCACAGCTCCCTCCTGGGCAAGGCTCTAGGGCTGTGGATTCCCAGGCATGAGGCCCTTCTTTGCCTGCCCCCACCACAAGTGCTCCCTGCCCCCTCCCTAAGTGCTCCCACTCATGCTCAAGAAGGGAAATTCCAAGCCCCACACACTGGTGGGGGTGATGCTGAAGCCAGCCAACCCTTCCCGTACACACTGCATTCTTCCCCTGCACTCTGGATCCACCACTGCTGTAAGAAGCACCCCGGCACACGAACTGTGAATCCTCTGAATGTATGTTTTCCTCTCTCTGGCTGTTTTAAAGTTTTTCTCTTTGTCATCAATATTCTGAAGCTTCACTGCCATCCAGGTATGGGTTTATTTTTATATATCCTGCTCTGTATCCAAATTGTGCTCGGGAATTAAATTTTTAAGAATTTCCCCTTATCACTTCCAACACTGCTCCACTGCTTCTTTCTGGAATTTATTTTGAGTTTATTTGAGCCTCTTAATAGTCTTTATGTCTTTTAACTGCTCCTTTCTATAAAAATAAAAAACATACAAACAACCAAACAAACACAAATCTTTGTCCGTCTTGACTATGTTTAGATGAACTCCTTAATGACATTGTCTAATTCTCTGATTCTCTCTTTGACCACATCTAGTCTAGAATCTGTTCTGTAATTTCTAATGCAGAATGTTTAATGTTTCTACAGGCTCCTCTTCATATTCCCTTTTCTTGTTTTATTTCTGTTTTAGTTGAATAACATTTTTAATGAACCCTATCTTTCACTTATCTCTTTGAGCAATTTAAACATACTTAAAGTCTGTCAGCTTTTCCCAAGAAATCAACTTTATTTGGGGTGAGTCTGTATTCTGGTGTCTGCTCGTCTCATAGACGTTCTTGGTTTGCAGTCTCCTGGGGAGTGAGAGGCGCCCCCTCCTCACCTGTGCAGTTCCATGGCCACCCCACCCAGCATTGTAAAAGGTCTGGGCTCTCTGCTCCCCAGTGATACTGAGGCACCCACAGACGCACCCTCAGGGTCCACAGGTGGCTCCAAGCTTCCTCCTTCCAGGGCTGGTCCTTCTTCCCTCACCTGTAAAGTCCCGGGCCCCAGGTAAGCAGACTTTTAAAGAAGTAATAGGCTTTATTTTTCAGAGCAGCTTTAGGCTTCCAGAAGAATTGAGCATAAGGTACAGAGACTTCCTGTACACTCCTCCCGGCCTGGCCACGCACTTGGACGCCAGGCTATGGCTCTACTCGTCGAGGAGGATCCGTCCTCACACCACGAGCTGGCTCTGGTACTGAGCCCACATCCCCTGCTGTGCTCAGGCTGCCCTGCTTGCCAAACAACATGGGCTGTGCCAAAGCTCCAGGAGGCTGGCCAAGGCATCCCCAGGCTACTGGTCTGGCTGCTGCATGGGGCCATGCCCAGACGACCCAGGGAGCTCTATGGCGGGGTGGCGGGGTGGCAGGCTCCCTGCGTGCTGCACCAGACACTTGTCTCTGATTCCAAACATGTCCGCCTCCTCTCTCGGGGAGGCCATTTGCCCCGGGGAGCCTCTGTGTTCATTTCCTGTCGGTAACTGTGTCTGCAATGGAAACACATCAGTGGGAAGCTGAGCTGTGGGGAGAAGTGGGTGCTGCTGATGCCCCACAGCGGGCTCCATGCTCCCACCAACGGTGCAGCTGGGACACCCCCAATGCTTGGACTCTCTCCCCTCCACTCAGCCTGCACTCCAGACGAGCCGCCTGCCACCTGTCCAGACGCCCTTCCTCCATCCTCCACACTCCAGAGGAGCTGCCTGCCGCCTGTCCAGACGCCCTTCCTCCATCCTCCACACTCCAGAGGAGCTGCCTGCCGCCTGTCCAGACGCCCTTCCTCCATCCTCCACACTCCAGAGGAGCTGCCTGCTGCCTGTCCAGACGCCCTTCCTCCATCCTCCACACTCCAGAGGAGCTGCCTGCCGCCTGTCCAGACGCCCTTCCTCCATCCTCCACACTCCAGAGGAGCTGCCTGCTGCCTGACTAGACGCCCTTCCTCCATCTCCCACACGTCCAAATCCAGCCTGCACTTTCCGGGGAGACGGCCCACCTGGAACAGCCACTGCCCCCCCACGGCCCAGCCACGCACAGGATCCACACCAGCAGCACCCAGGGCCTCAAGGCAGTGGGTAAGACAGGACTGCCAGGCTGCCAGGTTCAAGTCCCAGCTGTGGGGCCTCGGGTACAAGGAGGGGAGGACAGAGCCCATGTTGCCGGCGGGCTGCGAGGGGTGGCTCTGCGCACCAGCAGCCGCCGCGGGCTGGCGTCCAACACACAGGCACACACCCAACCCTCGGGCCGACCAGAAAGGGAAACTGAGGCTCACAGGTTAAGAACTGCACCTATGGTCCCTTGGTGGCTTTAGGCCACAGTCACTGGGCCCAAGGCTGGGTTCTCACCCATGGGGGCTGTCATGGGAGAAGGCTGGACGTGTGACTGGTGACAAATCTACAGTAACTGGGTGAGGCCCCTCTACTAGTGACAGTGGGAGGCAGGCGTCTTTCCAGGAGAAAAGGTACCGTCCCTGCAGGCCAAGGCGCCTCAATACACGACTCCCCTAGAGCACCAGCAGCTCATCTTCCGTGCCTCGACACCTCCTGTCTGGGGGGACTGGGGGGCCTGACATGCTTTGGGAACCAGATGCTGCAGCAGAGATCAGGCCAAGCCTTCAGAACCCATGCGGGTGAAGCTGCGTGTGTGTGGGGGTGAAGCCACGCGTGTGTGGGGGGGTGAAGCCGTGCGTGTGTGTGTGGGTGAAGCTTGCGTGTGTGTGGCATGTGTGTGTGAAGCCGCGTGTGTGTGGGGGTGAAGCTTGCGTGTGTGTGTGGGGGTGAAGCCACGTGTGTGTGTGGGGGGTGAAGCCGTGCGTGTGTGTGTGGGTGAAGCTTGTGTGTGTGGGGGGGGGTGAAGCCACGTGTGTGTGTGGGAGTGAAGCCAAGCGTGTGTGTGGGGGTGAAGCTGTGTGTGTGTGTGGGGGGGGTGAAGCCGTACGTGTATGTGTGTGCAGGTGAAGCCGTGAGTGTGTGGGGGGGGTGAAGCCGCATGTGTCTGCGGGGGTGAAGCTGCACGTGTGTGTGTGTGGGGGTGTGCGGGGATGAAGGTGCGCGTGTGTTGGGGGGCAGAAGCTGTGCGTGTGTGTGTGAAGCCATGTGTGTGCAGGGGTGAAGCCACGTGTGTGTGTGGGTGAAGCCACGTGTGTGTATGGGTAAATGTGAGTGTGTGTGTGTGTGTGTGGGTGAAGACACTGTGTGGGGGGTGAAGCCACGTGTGTCTGTGGGTGAAGCATGTGTGTGGGGGTGAAGCTGTGTGTATGTGGGGGGGTGAAGCCGCTTGTGTGTGAAGATGGCCGAGGGCCAGTTCCCCAGAAACCAACTCCATCAGGGGCCTGCGGCTGGCGGGTGAGAAACCTGCGGTCAACATGGATGGGAAGACAGGCACCGCGGGCACAGGGTTGTGCAGGAGGCACGTATGACAACGACCGCAAGAGCCCAGATCCATGTCCTCGCCAGCTGATGACAATCACAAGAGCCCGGATCTGTCCTCGCTGATGCAATCACCAAGCGACCGGGACAGGTGTCTTGCCTGCACCAAGTCACAGGGGTGACCGCAGGGGAAGCTGGCCTTGTGAGACAGTCAGGACCAGCTCCTCTGGGAGAAACGGTGAGTCCGAAGGGTGGGGGGCACCCAACGGGAGGGAGGGGAGTCCCAACCCCGGTGTGTGGGCTCGGCAGGGAGCCTGGAGGCCGCTCCTAACCAGCACCGGCAGGGCGCCCTCTGCCAGCTCCCACGTCCAGACTCGCGGTAGTGCCCCTGCCACTCCCCCAAGCCCACAGTCACCCCTGTGTAAACAAGTGCCCCGGCCCACCCCAAGCATCCCACAGCCCACTTCCTGGGTGCAGGCGCTGTCCACATCCTCTGCTAGGACAGCCCATGGGTCTCAGTCCTGCTGGATGGGGCCAGAGCCCCAGAGCACACTGTGGAACGAGAGAGCAGAGGTGCTCCGTGGCATGTGGAGGCAAGCGCTTCCCATGTGCGTCAGAGCTGTGCCCGGGCACTGCCTCTCCTGCTTCCAGGCAGGCAGTAGGGCCCGGGACACAGGGACACAGCACCTCCCTGCACGCACGCCTCTGAATTCTGACAGGTACAGCAGAGACCCCAAACTGAGCATGCCCAGGTTTTTACCTAGAATTTGCGATAACCGTCAACAGTTTTACTTCCATTAAAAATGGAAGGCATTTGTAAATTTTTGAACCAAAATTAATTATTCTTCTCCTGAGTTTTCGATTATTTGTGTTAAGGTGTGTGTTTGTGTGTCTTGAATCTATGTGCATGTGGGTACATCTTGGTTTTTTAAATTTTTAAGTTTTCCACAGTAATGGAGAATTTTTTCCAACATTAATTATCCATAGACTGAATAAATAAAACGAGAAACAATGTTATTTTTGAATAATATAAATTGGTAATAACTGTAGTTTTAGGATTCTAAGATTTTTAAATAAATTGCAAATGAATCTCAGAAAATTTAACAGTATATTATCATAACCAACTATTTTCTAAAGTATTTGTAGAAAATAAGTTCCTTTTGAGGTAAGCTCGTCAGAGCAGCTACCACTGCACTAAGACTATGTTTCGAGGGATTTTACAGCAGGAACAAATGAAGCCACAGCCCACAGTGTCCTGACACTTCCACGGCCCGTGGCTGCAGGTGCGGTCGCATCCTTGGGTTTAGGGTGGGATGCGCGGTGCAGGGAGAGTCCTCACAGAGGGCGTCCCATGCACCCTTCGGTGGCCCCACCAGCACTCAGGACAGGTACCACCCTCATTTCCCCAGCGAGGAAACTGGGGCCTGAAGACCTCCAGCTCTTTGGAGAAAGAACCAGAACGGGAACCACCGCCCCAATTCCTGCACTGAAGTCCCCGCCTCCCGACGCCCCACTCCCCTTGCTGGCCAAGCCCCAAGCAGGCAGCCAGGGCTGGGGTGGGGTGGGGTGGCCCAAGAGGAAGGAGGTCCCCAGAGTCATCAGCAGGTTCAGGGGCCCCTCCCAGAGGCCACGCCCCCACGGGCGCACCTGAGCACCCCAGCCTGAGGTGGATGCACCCCACACCCAACACTGTCCTCCAGAGCAGGGCCGGGAAGTGCTGGGAGGCAGAGACGGGCGTCCTGGGGCCTCAGCCAACGCTCACATGCTCAGGACTCAGGAAGACCCCAGAAGCTTCTGGATGTACATACTTGTTGCTCCAGCCACGGCAAATGGAGGCAGAGGGTGTATGGCCAGGGCTGGGGGTCTCCTCCATCCCAGGCTGTGTGCGGGAACTTTCTGGTCACCGGCCACCTTCGAAGCCCTCACTTGGGGAGCCCTCAGGAGCCTGCAGATGGGACGGCCGTGGCTCCGCTCTCCCGAGGTGGCCGCCCCCTGGCCTGTGTTGGCTCCTCTACTCCCAGAGAGGTTTTCACCTCAGAAATGACACCCACATCCCGTGGGGGTGGGGGTACATCCTTCACCTGATGATATGAAGTCTCTCTCAGGCCCCTGTTAATAGGGTTCCTTCAGCAGGCAGATGGATAGCGAATCCAGCCGGTTTCATCTACTAAAAGACGGCATAAATCGCCACGGAGAAAAGAGAGGCTGCGGGGAGGTTATTGCCACACAACCCTCACGCCGAAGGCCCGCTCAGAGCATTAGTGGAATTAATTCATCCTTCATGAGAGCTTGCAGCCGGCCCTGTGATCTATGGTAGCAACCAATTTCTCACTACGGGCAAAAGGAAAAAAATGACTCACCCTGATCGACTACACAAATCTGCGTTTTAAAAATGGCCTCACATTATCTGGAGTGTGGCTCCCAGAGGCATCATTTGAAATTCATACCAAGCCAAAAGCATCCATAAATCAGCAGAGAAAGTTTTGTTAGTTTCTGCTGCGGCTGTAATTATCTGAGACTGCATTATACCCCCATCAAGGTAATTACATTTAGATTACCCTTAAGTGATGGTAATAAAAGAAAGAGAAATCAGTCTGAAACTAGTTCCTTCCTCCAAAATGTGTTCAAACACAGCGAGAGGTCGGGTGCAGAGGCACAGAGGGAGGGGCGGGCCCGGCCAGGCTGCCAGGCCGGGACTCCCATGGCTCCCCGGGCCCCTCCCTCCTCCTTCCTCCCTCCAGCAAGGACACAGGGTGCCACATAGGCTCTGTGGGGTTAAAAACCCACACTAGGGACAGAATGTTAGAAGCTTACAGTTTTTAAAATAAGGGTTTCCTTTTGTTAATTTACCAGGGAAGAGGAAACGTCAGAAAACCTTTGCAGATCATCAAACACACGGGTCCCGGGAGGATTTCTAAGACGATGACGTGGCAGGGCTGGCCCTGACCCACAGGGAGGCCTCGGCCCAGGGCAGGGGCTGGCCCCCCGTCCCAGCCACCAGCAGCCACAAGGATCTGCTGAGCAGCTGACCACCAGGCCGCAGACAGCGACACGCTGCTTTCCCAGGGGAGAGACGGGTCCACACAAAGAGGCTCGGTGCCTTTTCCTCCCAGGAATCGTCTACTTTCCAGAATGTGCCTTCTCCTCTGCCTGTGGACACAACACTGCACAACACTGGGGTTGGACCCAGGCTGGGGGCTGGGGTTTCTATACAAACCGGGCCTGAGGCTGCTCTTCCTGGGGGAGGGGCGGCCCCTCGTGCTATGCCCTCCACAGACCCATGCCAGCAGGCCCCCAGCATCACAGAGGCCTCAGAGTACTGGCATTAGGGACCAAGGCCAGGGGCCACACTCAGACCCCTGCCAGGGCACCCACCCTTCAAAGGGTGGCAAAGTCATAGCAGAGGCCCCCAGATCTTGCCCAACTTCAGTCTGGGCCCCGGGCCTCAGCTCCCCGCTTGCTGGGTCCAAAAGAGAAGCCTGAGGCATGGGTGCAAGAAGGAGGTCCCGCTGGCCAGAGTGGCAGGGCTGCTTCGGGGCGGGGCTGAGAGACGGAGGGGTCAGGAGCCTGTGTGGCTGCCTGGGAGGACCCTAGAGTGTCTGTTCCTTGCTGAGGGCCCGCTGCCCCCGAGCTTCCCACCCTGGCTGACCCTGCGGGCCCTGGCCTCTCAGGACACACCTCGGCCCCCACCCCCAAGAGCTATGGGGCTCCCTATGGGCTCTCCTACCCCATCCGGAGTGGACAGGACCCAGTGAATAAGTGGACACCTGGTGGGGAGGGGACAGCCCAGCAGCACCTGGTCCGGCCACGGCCCTGGACAGCAATGCAGCCACATGGGTCCTGAGACGAGGTGCCGGGTCAACAGCCTCTGCCTGGACCAGCCCAGCCACCCACAGCTGCTCTCCTCATGCCATCAGGTGGCAGCGCCTGGCCCTGCCCAGCCCAGCCCCCCCCCACCCCAGCACCCACGCTTCCCACAAAGGGCCCTGAGTCGGTCTCTGGTCACTCTGAGATGAGAGCCTTGCCCGGGTTCAAGAGAGGCCAGAGTTCAGCTCGCAGGCTCTCCAGGGGAACCACAGCCCCCACCCTGCCCTTCCGACGGGCCTGCACCACAGCCCCCGCCCTGCCCTTCCGATGGGCCTGCACCACAGGTGGCCCCTTCAGGGAGGCTGTCATGACCCAGGGACGCAACTACTGTGCGTGGAGAAGACCATGGAGCTTTCTTGCATGTCCTTTCCAACTGCTGGACATCCGGAGCGGAGGGAGGCAAACGGGCGGTGCCGGAAGCAGGACCGAGGACAGGAGGCTGGCCCACTGACACGGCGTCCTTGGCCTTGGGAAGACGGATGAGGAGGCCGAGCCACAGGGTGACAGGAGCACCCCATCCTTCACGGGCGGCCACAGTCCCTCACTCAAGGTGCGGGCCATAAAGCAAGTTAATAAAGTTGTGGCCTTGCTGGAAGTCAGCTCCGTAGCAGCCTCAGCCTGCACAGCTCTCGTGGAGACAGGACCGCAGAGCAATCCTTCTTGGGGCTGCCTGCGCAGACAAGTCCGGACGAGAGCTCCTATATCACAGCCTGGACGCCCCCAAACCTGCGTCCAGCTGCCAGCTCTTCCGTCTCAGTGCCTGGGCTGCTTCTGGCCACAGTGCCTGCACCCCACTGTGATTCAGCAGATGAGGAAGGGCAAAGCAGCAAACGCTGCCTCGACAGGTTAACTACACAGCCAGGGAGACGCCGACAATGCCGCGTGTGAGGTTTACCCAAAGATCACGTGCACAGAGCAACAGCCGCGCACACAGCTCAGCAAAGTGCATGGCCGCCAGAAGGAAACACCAATTTCTCATCAACACCGTGTCTGGCAGTGAGACGACAAATGCCTTCCACACATTTTGATTCTAATCTCTCCGTGTGACGCAGGCATAACTGCCGGGACCCTGCTGCTCGCAGCCTGGCACAACCACCAAGGCTGTATCTGACACAGGACCGTGCCCCTGCCCCACACTCACACCACGGGCACACAGGACTGTCAGCCACTGTCTTGGTTACCACCAGTCAGCCTGACCCTCTCCCAGCTGGGCGTGCGGGAGACCCCAGGTGCACGCCAAGGGAGCTGAATGATTTTCCTACATCTTTTGGCGAAGGTTCTTTCTCCTGGATATGAGGATTCAGGAACTTACTGATTACTTGGTGCTAATGCCTTAGATTCTCACTGCCCTTACGTGTGACAGCCCAGACCAACCACAGAAGCCTGGACTCCCAGGAAGACAGATTATCGGAGGTAACAACAGGCAGCTGTGACTAGTAACAGTGCAATGCGAAAATTCCGTGTTCCATGTCACTTCTGACTGGCTCACTCTGAGAAGTAAACACGTCAGTGAGAAAGCCTCGCTACGTACCTCGGGGAAGTAGTCCTGCGGAAACTTCTCCTTCTCCAGCATGGGCGTGCTCTCTAAGGTATCCGAGTAGATCTCTTTGCCAGCGACCTTTCTATACTTCTTAGCTGGAAGAGACCAGAAGGACGAGGTGACTATCCCATCACTGTGCCCCATCCAACCAGCCTGGAGCACAACCTGTTTCCACCCGACTTCAGCCCGATGGGAGCCAGAGAGGCCCCCCGAGAGGAGGCCCTGATGAGGGGTCCGACCCAGAACAGACCCCCAGCGGGCCGGCTACTCCATGCCTGTGGCTCATAAATTCCCCTCCCATGACCTGGAATCTGACACTCCACTCCATTATCGCCTGAGAGCTCCCAGACTGCAGATTTACAGGAGCTAATTGGCATCCTCTTTTAAACCCGTGAATATATTTAAGAGGGCTGTAGAATTACCATTCACTCAGACCTTCACATGAATTTATTTAATAACATCGATTTCCTCCCCGTATCCAGCCTCCATCACTCATATTCCAGGGAAGAGGTTTATGTGTGATGGTGAGAGAGGCAGCGCGCGGCAGGGTGCCTCCCAGATGGGCTTTGCCAGTGGCTGCTTGGCACCTTTCCTGGACCCCCCAGTGGATAGGCCAGGCCCAGGGACACAGGCCTCGCCATGGGCAGGGCCCGTCTCACTATTGTTCACAACCAGGCCTCAGCCTTTCTTTTTATGGACAGGTAGCTCCACACCCAAGGTGGGGTGTGATCAAGGATGGCAGGGATCCATTCCTCAAACTCCTGCTGGGTCCAGTGGGCAGGTGGCTGCTGGCCTCTTTGCAAGATGCCACAGGATGGCTCCTGGGCCACTGAGGTGACACTCCTGGGTGTCAACGAGGTTCCTGGAGACCGCTTTGGAGCAGTGTGTTGTGTCCCACAAGCAGCTCCAACCTGCAGTTTCTGGGGTATTATCCACCCCACTATGGCAGGAGGAACAGAGGGGGCAACCTGAGGACCACAGCACCATGGGCCAAGGTACTGGGTCACCACTGGGGTGGGCAGGAGTTTCAGGAAAAAACAGAGTGCTGTGGTCTGGCCCAGCCCTGGGTGCTGTGGTGTGGCCCGGCCCTGGGTGCTGTGGTCTGACCTGGCCCTGGGTGCTGTGACCCGGCCCAGCCCTAGGCGCACAGTCCTGGATGTGGGTGCCTCATGGACAGGAGACAGCATGAGATGTTTCAGCGACTTATGGAGCATGGACAGAACGTGAAATAGAGGCCATTCCCTAAACTCGGAGCTTAGACACCACGGATCCTTTCACTGTCTCCACAGTTCTGCCTTTTCCAGAGTGTCACAGAGTTGGAATCACAGTGTGTAGCCTTTTCAGGTTGGCTTCTTTCATTGGTAGCAGGTGTGTCAGCCTCCTCTGTGTCTTCTCGCAGCTTCAAAGCTCATTTCTTTTTATCACCAAATAACACCCCGTGGAGCTGACATGCCACAGTCTGCTTGGCCCATTCACCCACAAGGCAGAACAGCAAGTCTTGAAGTCAGGAAGTGCAGGCTCTGACTCTGCTCTTCTTCTTCAAAACTCTGGGCTATTCTGGGTATTTTGCTTTCCACATAACCTTTACAGTCAGTTTGTCAATGGCATGACACACCTTGCTGGGGTTGTGTTGAATCTATAGCTGAAGTTGGGAAGAGCTGAGCCCTTGACAGTATTGGGTTTTCCCATCTGCCTTAGTCCACTGGGCAGCTATAGCAAAATAGACTGGGTGGTTTGTAAACAAAGTAAGTGTCTTTCTCCTAGTTTGGAGGGATGGGAAGTCCAAGATCAGGGTGCTAGGAGATGAGGTTCCTCACAGATAGTGCCTTGTGTGTGTCCTCATGCATGGAAGGGGCAAATGAACTCCCAGCCTCTTTCATGAGGGCTCCGATCCCATTCGTGAGGGCTCTGACCTCACATTCTAATCAGCCTCCCAAGGCCCCGCCTCTTAACACCATCACCTTAGGGGTTAGGAGGTCAGCAGATGAATTTGGGGGTGGGGGGCACCTACTTTCCAACCATAGAACTATCCATGAAGATGAAATCTCTCTCCATTTATCTAGATCTTCCTTATTTCATCAGAGTTTTATAGTTTTCCTCACAGAGATCTTGTATTAATTTGTTAGATTTATTCCTAAGTACTTCCTTTTGGTGTGTGCTTAAGCAAATGGTATTATGTTTTTAATTTAAAATTCCACCTGTTCATTGCTGCTACACAGGAAAGCAATTGATTTCTGTATCTTAACTAGGCATCCTGCAATGTTGCTATAATTGCTTACTGGTACCAGGTTTGTCTGTTATTGTTGCTGACTCTTTGAGATTCTTGACATAATCATATCATCTGAGAACAGAAATAGTTCTATCTCCCATCACCCCATCAACATGGCTTTTATTTCCTTTTCTTGTCTTATTACATTATCTAAGATTTTCAGTAAGATGTTGAAGAGAAGTAGGAGAGGAGGCATCCTTGCCTTGTTCCTGATCTCATAGGAAAAGCATCTAATTTCTCATTAAGTGTGGTATTCATTGTAGGATTTTTGGAGCTCTTCTTTATCAGGTTGAGGAACTTCCCCTCTATTCCTAGTTTGCTGGGAGTTTTTTTTCAAACAATGAAGAGATGTGGATTTTGGGAAATGCTTTTTCTGCATCTATCCTATGATCATGTGATTTTCCTTCTTTTGCCTGCTGCTGTGATGGATTACATTAATTGATTTTTAAATGCTGAACCAGCCTCTATACCAGGAGTAAATCTCGGTTGGTCATAGTATATAACTGACTCTTGAGAATTTTGTTGAGCATTTTTGTTTACAGTTCATAGTTTTCCTTCTTTGTAATGTCTTTATCTGGTTTTAGTATTAGGGTAATGCTGGCCTCATAGAATGATTTAGGACGTTTGTCCTCTGCTTATATTTTCTGGAAAAGATTGTAGAGAACTGGTATAACGTCTTCCTTAAATGCTTGATAGAATTCACCAGTGAAACCATTTGGTCTGATGCTTTCTTTTTCAGCAGGTTATTAATTACTTATTCAGTGTTGTTAATAGCTATAGACCTGTTCAGATTCTCTAGTTTTCCTTTTATGAGTTTTCATAGATTGTGTCTTTCAAGGAATTGGCCCATCTAAGTTATTACATTTATAGGCAGAAATTAATGATATTCTTTTATTATCCTTTAAATGTCCACAGGATCGGCAGTAATGGCCCCTCTCTAATTTCTGATATTAATAATCTGTGTCTTCTCTCTCTTTTTCTTAGTCTGGCTAGAGGTTTATCGATTTTATTGATCGCTTTAAAGAATCAGCTTTTGGTTTTGCTAATTTTCTCTATTCATTTCCTGTTTTCAATTCTGTTGCTTTCTGTTCCAATTTTCATTATTTCTTTTCTTCTGCTTACTTTGGAATTTTCTTTTCTTCTCCTAGCTTCCTAAGGTAGAAGCTTAGATAATTGATTTTAGCTCTTTCTTCCTTTCTTCTTAGCACTTTTTTCTTTTTAGCTCTTTCTTATATGCATTTGATGCTATAAATTTACCTCTAAACATTACTTTTGCTAATATCCCATGAATGTTAAGCTGTATTTACGTTTTCATTTGGTTCAAAATATTTTTAAATTTCTCTTGAGACTTCTTTGACTCATATGTTATTTAGATATGTGTTGTTTAATGTTCAAGTATTTGGGGATTTTCCAGCTACTTTTCTGGTGCTGATTTCTGGTTTAATTCCATTGTAATCTATGAGCATGCTGTATATGGTTTCTGTTCTTTTAAATTTGTAAAGGTGTGTTTTATGGCCCAGAATGTGATGTCTCAGTGAATGTTCCAGGCGAGCTTGACAAAAACGTAGATTCTGCTGTTACTGGATGAGGTATCCTATAAGTGTCAATTAGATCAATTTGTTTGATGGTGCTGTTGAGTTAAACTATGTCTTTCCTGATTTTATGCTTGCCAGATCTGTTCATTCCTGATACAGGGTGTTGAAGTCTCTAACTATGATAGTGGGTTCATCTGTTTCTCTTGGCAGCTCTACTTGGTTTGCCTTGTGTATTTGACACTCTGTTGTTAGGCAGCTAGATACTAAGGATTGTTATGTATTCTTGGAGATCTGATCTTTTCATCATGATGTAATGTCCCTCTTTACTGCTGAAAACTTTCCTAGCTCTGAAGTCTGCTCTGCCTATTCTGATAATTTCTGACATGAATAATTTGTGTCATTTTTTTTCTTAGTCTGGCTAGAGGTTTATCCATTTTATTGTTTTTTTCAAACAACCAGCTTTTGGTTTAATTTACTTTTCTTCTAGTTTCCTAAGGTACAAGCTTAGATAATTGATTTCAGATCTTTCTGCTTTTCTAATATATGTATTTGATGCTATAAATTAATATAGCTCCTCCAGCTTTCTTTTGGCCCATTTAAGTTTTCCTTTGATTCATGTTAGAACACTATACCTTCCTCCATCCCTTATCTATTAATCTTTAGGTGTTTATATAAATGGGTTTCTAGAAGACAACATATAGTTGGGTATTTTTTTTAATCCACTCTGACAGTCTCTGTCCTTTAATTGGTATATTTAGACCATTCACATTTAAAGGGATCGTTGATATAGTTGGAGTAATATTTACCATATTTGTAAGTTTTCTATTTGTTGCCTTTGTTCTTTGTATCTTTGGGGTCTCCCATTCTTTATCTGCCTTCTCTGGCTTTTACTGGGCATTTTATATGATTCCATTATCTCTCCTCTCTTAACACATCAATTATACTTCTTTTAAAAAGCTTTTTAGTGGTTGCCATAGTTTGCAATATAATGTATAACTAATCCATGTCCACTTTTAAATAATACTATATTCCTTAAAACGATAGTACAGGTTTCTTATAACAGAGTACCCCAAATTCCTCCCTCCTGTCCTTATGACTTTTCTGTTATTCATTCCACTTATCCATAAGCTGCAGTTAACCAATACATGGTTGCTGTTGTTACGTTGAGCAAAAGTTATCTGCTAGACCAATTAAGGGTAAGAAAAATATATTTCATTTTACCTTCACTTATTCCCTCTCTAATGCTTTTTCTTTCTTTAGGTAAACCAGAGTTTCTGGGCTATATGATATTTCCTTCCGTTGAAGAGCTTCTTTTAGCATTTCTTGCAAGGCAGGTCTACTGGCAACAAATTACTTCAATTTTTGCTTATCTGACAAAGTCAATTTCCTTCACTTTTGAAGAATAATCTTTTTCTGAATATGATATTCTTCTTCTTATAATGCTTTAAATGTTTCACACTACTCTCTTCCTTCTTGCATGGTTCCTGGGAAAAGGTCCAATGTAATTGTTATCCTTGTTCCTTTACAGATAAGGAATCACCTCGCCTATAAGGAATCTCCTGGATTCTTTCAAGATCTTCTCTTTTTTCTTTGATTTTCTGCAGTTTGAATACAAGGTGGCCTGGGGTTGACTTTCTGGCATTTATCCTGCTTGGTGTTGGCATTCGTTGAGCTTTCTGGATCTGTGGTTTGGTGTCAGTTACAAGTTTGGAAAGTTCTAAACCATTACTACATTAAATCTTCCTTCTGTTCCTTTCCTTCTACTCCTACTGGGGTTCCCTTTACAAGCTGCACCTGTTGTCGCTGTTTCACAGGTCTTGGCCATTTTCTTCTGTTTTCAAATTTATTCTCATTTCTTCTTGCTTTTCAGTTTGTGAAGTTTCTAACACCTTCCAGCTCGCTGATTCTTCCCTCAGCCGCGTGTGCACATGAGCCACTGCTTCATTTCTGGTACTGTTTCTGATTTCTAGGTTTTCTTTTTGAGTCCTTCTCAGAGCCTCGAGCCCCTAGCCTGACCCCCGAGCCTGACCCTCGAGCCCAACCGCCCAGCCCGAGGCCCCCCGACTGCGCTGAGCATCAGCAGCAACACCTGCCGTGTGGGGCACTGAGAATATCGTCAGCATCCGCATGCCTCCCGGGACCGCACGCCTGCCAGGACCGCACGCCTCCCGCGACCGCACACCCCGCGACCACACGTCTCCCGCGACCGCATGTCTCCCGCGACCACACGTCTCCCGCGACCACACGTCTCCCGCGACCGCACGTCTCCCGCGACCACACGTCTCCCGCGACCGCACGTCTCCCATGTCCACACGTCTCCCGCGTCCACACGCCTCCTGTGTCTGCATGCCTTCCTGACGCACCACGTGCTCAGGACATGCTCGCTGCCCACTCCTCATGTTGTTCTTGTTAGTTTGGCCACATGGAGGGCTCTGGGGAAAGTTTTGCTAGAGTGAAGTGTGTATCTCATGTATAGTTTTAAATACACTGTAGGTTCACCAGGCACTTTATGACTGATTTAACTTAGTAGTAAAACAGGTATTCAAATGGCTACTGAAAAACACAAAAGGTCTGCAGATCCGCGGCACGGCGCAGCCTGACGCACCAGCTCCTTGGCTCCAGCTTCCTGCAGCACACGCTGCGTCGGCGCGCTCTCTCCACTCTCGCCGGCCGCTCCGTGCCTGAGCGCACAGCACGCAGACGCCGTGTCTCCAAAACGGAGCGGAGAGCGCCACCGGCCGGCTCCTGCAATTCTGTGCGGCTGATCCTGCCACGGGCCTCATAGAAGGGCTTGGATGCTATAATTTGGAAGGATCTGAAGGTCTTCAGGTAACGGGGCAGTGACAAATCATTTTGCTGGCCAGAATCTTGCTCTCGTCATCAATGAAATCACCACTCAAGCAACTGAGATAAGACTACCGCGCAATTTCACAGGAGCCGCTCCGTCTCCCGAGGGAGCACAAACACGGAATCCGAACGAAACGACATCGTTTGTGGCTCCACAGTTACTACGACGTGCAGGGCACTTCACATGGATGTCATCTGCTCCGGAGGCCGCGTGGGGTTCTGAGAACTCACACACAGCAGGAAACGATAGCGTCAGACGGGAAGTCATCGCACAAACACCCCCAGGCCGTGTGGAGCACGCACGGAAGCCCCACACCCGGCCTAGCTCACGCACCTGCCCCCGACAAAGAAATGAACAGGAGGGGACAGCTTGTGTCAGCGGAGCGTCTCAGGGCAAGTCTTTTCCGTGAAGACACACAGCACATGACCATCAAACGGGGATGCTGTTCACGGCAGGGAGGACCGTCCCTGCCTGTTCTTATTTCTGAAACATGCAACCCTCTCATTCGGCTTTTCATTTTCTCACACTGGATGGGAACACAGATACAAACTATTCCTTCCTCTTAACTCAACTCTAGGAAAGCCAGGTCCCCACCAGAGCCTTGCCAGGGAGCCAGTGTGGGACAGCCAAGGGGCCTCGAGTCCAGGTCCAGGAGGCCCCTGGAGTGACCTCTGGACAGTGGCTCAAGACACCCAGCCCACAGTGGCCACTCACAGAGACAGGGCAGGAGAGGTCTGGGGAAGCCAGACACCAGGAGGGGTGAGTGCCGAGACAAAATCCCGGAAGACGGCACGCAGTCTTACCTTTAAAGTCAAACTGGTAGATGTTTTTTAAGGACTCATGAAGAAAATAAAAGCTTCCTAGTGCCTGTAGAGCAAAAAGAGAAATCAAATGAGAGACTGGTGCTGGGAATATTTCTAAAGATCATTTTTAACAATAAAAGAAGCTCTTTTAAACTAGCTAGAGCAAGAGTTTCACCAGTTATAATTTAATCACAGTTACTGAGGCACAGGATGTCAGGCAGAGGTAACCTGCAAACACCCAAACTCCACCAAGCTCCAGGCATGCGGTGAGCCGTGCAGCCGCTGCTGGCTCCAGCAGGGACGCAAGTCCCACGGGCCAGGCATTGAGTGGACCAGACCCTTCCCAGGTGAGCCGTGCAGCCGGTGCTGGCTCCAGCAGGGGCGCAGGTCCCGCGGGCTGGGCATTGAGTGGACCAGACCCTTCCCAGGTGAGCCGTGCAGCCGGTGCTGGCTCCAGCAGGGGCGCAGGTCCCACCGGCCGGGCATTGAGTGGACCAGACCCTTCCCAGCACTGATGCTCGGCTTCGTCCTGGGGCCTCCAACCATCAGCTCCACTGCGCCTGGCCCCACCCTGCCCCATCGCCCCAGGAGCTGCCAGTGTCTCCCACTTACAAATTAGCCGGATGGTTGCAGAGCACAGGGATCCCTGCTCTTCATACCAGAGAAGGCAAAAGTACGCGGCTGGACGCCACAGGGCTGGGTCGACGGATACCACACAGACAGTTACTTGTTGATCTGAACTGCAAGTTTCACGTGGTATTTTCTACAGATGAACCTGTGTCTACATGCAGCAGTGTGTTCGTACTGACATGTGTATTATTTCTGTGTATTTTTTTCTTTTGCTAAATCTGGCAACCCCAACACGGGGCCTGGTGCAACTCTGGGGTGATCAGAATATTCTACACTGGTTTGCAGTGGTTGCCTTTGTCAAAACTCACTAAATTATACCCCAAAGAGGGCGAATCTCACCATCTATACATTAATCGTTATAAACCTGACTTAACAAACAAACCTATCTCATAGGAGATAGCTGTGTGCCCTGTGGGGGTAGCAGGTCCTGGGATAAAGCAGGGGAGAGTTTGAAGCGGCGGTGCCAGGTGGGCCAGAGAGGAGGGCACACGGGCGCAGCTGCAGACGGAGGGCAGGGGCTGCCTGCAGGGAGCCCAACCGTTACCAGGTCACACAGGGCCTTCCACAGGGAAGAGACTCTGAGCCACTGGGGGCTCTAACCCCAACTCTGCATTCTGAACAGGGCCTGTCCTCAGCTGAAAGCACAGGGCGTGGTGCATCCCTCACTGTGTCTGTGTGAGCCTGTGGGCAACACAAGGGCAACGCCTGAGTATCACCTCATTCCAAGGCTTCACTTGTACACTCTTGCACATTCATGTACACACATGCACACCACACGCTTGCAAACATTAACACATATATGCACTCACGCACAAGCACTCACAGGCACTCACACACACTTGCACACATACACTCATGCACACACAACATGCATTTGCTCACAGGCACTAACATGCACACATGCACTCATGCACACTCACGTGCTTGCTCTCCCACTTGCACTCATACACTCATGCACTAACTCATGCACACACGCACTCACGCACACTTACACTTGCACTCAGTCATGCACTCACACTGGTGCACACACGCACTTGCTCACACACGAACTCATTCGTGCACTCACATGCACTTGCTCACACACTTGCACACATTCATGCACACAATGCACTTGTTCACACTTGCACACACATGCACTCATGCACACGCACACACTTGTTCACACTCACTTGCACACACACTCATGCACACGCACGCACTTGCTCACACTCACACACTTGCACACACGCACTCATGCACTCTTGCTTTGTTTTGGGCAGAACCATGACCCCACAACCCTGCAGTTCTGAGTGCCCCAGTGTGGACCTCCTGCTGAGATGCTGCCCTACGGGGCTGCAGAGCTATTGTCTCTCTAAGAAAGTCAAAGGCAATGCCTGAACATCACCTAATTCCATGGCCCAAGCTAAACGTCCCACACACTTCAGGCTCTGCAGTTCCCAGGGAACTGCTGCTCCCTCCCTGACGACCGGTCACTGGGGTGGCTGTCCTGGGGGCAGGGCTGCAAGAAGGTGCACCACACTGGGGCGTCAGGAGGCTGCTGCTCCCTCAGAGGCGCAGGGCGGCAGGCACAGTGCATGGTGAGGGGACTTATGTTCTGGGCCTGCTGAGGGCCAATCGTGCCAGTAACTCTGGCCTGGTCCCTGTCTGCAGCCCCCTGGGCCCCTGGGTCAGCTCTCTGGGGCCTGTTAGGCCGTCTCTGGTTTGATGCCGACTCCACAACATGGGAAGCTCCCTGGAGGCTGTGCAGCTCCTGCTCCTAGGGCGTGTGCAGTGCATGGTGGGCTGGGGTGATGGTCCTGCTCCCGGGGACGCTGGCCACATGGACACCTCACCAGAAAACAGTGTTTCACCTTGGGGATGACACAGCTGCCCTCTGACAGAACACACTTCAAGGAGTGCATTTAAACTCCTAAAAAGAGAGGCCGGCTGGCAAGCCTGAGTCCTGTGCACCGACGCCATGGTGGCCTCTGCCTCCTGTCTCTGCTGCGTCTGGTGGGGAAGGGAACACACCCACAGGCAGGAGCAGGGACACGTGCCGCCTCCACCCAGCACAGGTGGCAGGTGCGAGTGCTCGCTTGCATGTGCACACACACATGCACACTCATGAGTGCCAGACCTCGGTGGGAGAACCCAAAGCTGCAGGGTAACCATGGGCCTCCCAGCCCTGCATCCTGGCCACCACCCAGATGGGAGCCCCCAGGCTAGATGACAGGGACCTTCTGTCTAGGGGACGGAGATGAAGGATACCCGAGGGGGACGCAGTGCACTTCCTCTTCTCTCGCAGGTGGGTCTAGGGTGCAGCAGGCAGCATCTCTGCCTCCACGGGAAAGCCAGAAGGTGGGAGAACCTGTGTGCCTGACATGGGGCTGTGTCCTCAGGCCCTCTGTGGTCCCTGGCCCCAGGCCACATGCCCTGGTGAGCTGCTGCTGGGTCCAGAAGGCTGCGTGTGGCCATGATGCACTCGGCTGTGACATGGACACTGCTCGACTGACCCGCTATCTCACTAGGCATCTGCTGTGAACCTGCTCAGAACCCGGGGAACTGAGCCACCTTTACAGCAGGTCTTAAAAACACCCAGTGTTGGCCAGGCTTGGTGGCTCACGCCTGTAATACCAGCACTTTGTGGGGGCGAGGCAGCGGATCACTCGAGGTCAGGAGTTCAAGACCGGCCTGGCCAACATGGTGAAACCCCGTCTTTACTAAAAGTACAAAAATCAGCCAGGCGTGGTGGCATGAGCCTGTAATCCCAGCTACTTGGGAGGCTGAGGCAGGAGAATTGCTTGAACCTGGGAGGCAGAGGTTGCAGTGAGCTGAGATCATGCCACTGCACTCCAGCCTAGGTGACAGGGCGAGACTCCGTCTCAAAAAAATAGAAAATTAAAATTAAAAAGCCAGTGTTCATCCTTTTCTTTGGCAAAATAGAGTTTCAGCACAGAGTTAAGAGAGAAAACTGCAGGCCTATGCCCCATGGATGAAACTTAATGTCTCCTCCACCAACATCAGCCCTTCTTTATAGAAGATATCCCTTCATTTGTTTCAGATAAAGAAAGCACTCTGAAAAAACATAATAAATGTCGCTGCAAACATTTAAATCATTACCTCATTGAATGTTAAAGCTAACAGAATATTATAAAGTTTGCAATAAATAAGTGAAAAATAAATTGCCAGTGCAGGGATAGAAACTGCAATTCATAGTCAGAAAATCCATAATTAGCTGTAATGAACATTTAAAGTCAAAGTTCGACCCAACTTTTTCGGTGTTTACCCTGTCCCATCAATACGGTTCAGGGCACCCATTTATCACAGACACCAGGACATTGGGCCAGGAGCGTGTCCGGGGCCTGCCGACAGGAAGTCCCCAGCTCGCCCAGGTCTCTGACCACAGTACTTGTCAAGAGTATGTCTGTCACATCTGAGAATAATGACTCCTCGCCTCTTGCTAAAAACAAAATACTTTTTACGTATTGATAAACAAGACTGTCAAGAGTGCTCATTAATTCTGCATTAGTGAAATGCAGCCATTAGCTGTGATGCTTCTGCGAGGACTGCAGACACGGGCAGGAGTCCTCCAGCCCCCGGAGGCCACGGCACAGCCGGGAAGCGGCCTCCACTGGACAAAGCCAAGCCCCTGGGGCACCGAAAAGTCGATCCGGTGCGGGCCACACAGGAGATCCAGACCCCGGCTAACCTGGGCCCTGGCTGGGGCTGCACTGGTGGGACCCTGGTCTCTGAAGGCAGCCTGGGAGCTAATGGGCAACTGAAGCTCCCAGTCACCACCATCAGGCTTCCACACCAACTGGCGACCAGGGCGCAACGAACCCTGCGTACCATGGGGGCTCAGTGCCTCTCACAGGGGCGGCTAGTGAAGATGGAGTATTTACAAATGCTATTAAAACAACCTCTCAACTTCAATTGGAGTCCGGTAATGTGATAAATGGCCACACCGTGTCACTTAGCTTGATTTCGGGAGCTGAATTCTGATAGCGGGCCCACTTTGCAAACACAGCCAACTCAGGGCGGGAGCAGACCACTTCTCACACATTTGGAAAGAACAACGCGTCCCGGCAGGCACTGTGCAATCACAAAGCCCGTGTTTGTTGAGCAGGGTCCCACCTCCCGGACGGAGCCACCGGCTGGAAGGCTCGGGATGACTCAGGCCGGGGCAGAGGCTGACAAGCCAGGAACACAAAGCTGCCATTGGAAATGCCTCCATCACTTTTTATTTGCAAACAAGTCAGATGGCCGGTAATTTATCATTTCCGCAATCAGGTGAACGACCAAAGCACACATCATTAACCTGGTCTTCTGCACCCAGCTCCCTCGTGCACAAAACAGAACACATTCCTAAAACTTCAGTCACACAGACCCCGCGCTAAGGGACGCACATGAGCACACACTCTGCTCGAGACAGAAAGGGGAAATGCACAAGCAGTGCCCATGTGAGGCCCCAGGTGGCAACAGGGCCCTTCCCCTGTGCTGGTTCCAACCGCGTCGCGGGCGTGACCACAGGTGCCAGCTCCCAGTGCGCCCCAGGGGGATCTCTGTGGAGCCTGCCACTGCATTCTGCCACTGGGAAGGGAAAAAGTGTTGAGGGAGGAGGCCACGGCCCGCGGCCCAGGGGAGCCCTGACTAAGGCCGACCGTGCTTATCAACAGTGACTCAGAAAAAAGAGTGGCAGCATTTGGTGACTCCCATCTCACTCTGAGACAGCATGACATTTTGTTATTTCTACAGATAAAGCGTTTTCACCTCCAGTTTTTTTTTTTAATAAAATAAATCTAGGAGCAGAAAGAAAAACTTCATAAGATATTGTTGGTAACTAATCTTCAAGTCTGCAACAAAATAGAGAACTTCATTTGTTTTAAATGAGAGTCGAGAGATTACTAAACATGACTCCCCTCATACGCAGCCCACTCCTTCCCCAGCTGCATGCTGTGAGGACACAGGACCCCCAAATGAAGGACGCGGCCTCACGCAGGAGCCCAGGGGCACGAAACCATGCTCACCTGGGCTCTGACACACCCTGTGAGGGCCAGTGGCAAACATCTGTGCTCTCTGAGAACAAAGCTAAGGACATCACGGAGAGGCCAAGCCTGACGTTCCGTCCTCATTAGGGTGAAAGCACCTGCCCGAGCTGAGGCAGGCATGTGGTTCTGAGCCTGATCTTTCAGACATTTCCTCTGCCCTTGTAATACAGGAGAAATGAGAAGACAGGCTCACAGTGACTAATGAGTGACTGCTGAAGACATGAGCCACAGGGACACACCACATCCTGTGAACTTACAACCCCACACCCTCACGGCTGCTTTGCACCCAAGAGAAACTCCTGCACACACACACATATGTACACATCCATGCACACACATGTACATAACCCACATCCATATACACTATAGACAAACATACATATGTAATACACACACATACATGCATACACCTGTAGACATACATATGTCTGTATACACACGTGGAATGCACACACAGACCTCTCTCAGAGACGCTGGAGCTCTCAGGAGACAGGCATGAGAATACAATGGCATATGACCTCTGAAAACACCAACTGAAAATGACCCAAATGCTTAACGTGCAAATGGGTAAATCAAATTTGAAATATTCCTATGATAGAACCAGATACAGCAAGGAAAATACACAGATCAGAGTTACATCCAGAAACACAGGTGGATTTCACAAAGGAAGCCAAGAAAGAGGACAGTTTCTCAAATGTCCTATGGCGTGATACCAAGATAAAGACATATTTTAGCTTATTTTGAATGCTACATAATAATTCACCATATAAAAATACTGTAATTTGGCCAGGCACAGTGGCTCACACCTATAATCTTAACACTTTGGGAGGCCAAGGTGGGTCGACCACTTGAGGTCAGGAGTTCGAGACCAGCCTGGCCAACATGGCGAAACCCCATCTCTACTAAAAATACAACAATTAGCCAGGTGTGGTGGCCCATGCTTGTAATCCCAGCTACTTGGGAGGCTGAGGCAGGAGAATCACTTGAACCTGGGAGGCAGAGGTCGCAGTGAGCCAAGATCGCGCCACTGCACTCCAGCCTGGGCGACAGAGCAAGTGAGACTTTGTCTCAAACAAACAAACAAAAAACCCTGTAATTTATCCATTTCTCTGTTGCACATAAAGACTACTTCCAATTATTTGAGTATTGTAATTGATGCTATAATAATCTTCCCTGCATGGTGTTACTGAGCAAGTGTGTCAGAGATAACAAGCATCCAGGTACATGGGTACTGAGTGTTCACACAGACATACTATGCAGGAGGATTTGCTGGGTCACTGCAGACACGCACCCTCCACATAGGGTAATACACACATGTACACGTGAATTAAACATGCGTGCATATATATATAACAGCCTTGCTGTGTCACCGCAGACACGTGCCCTCCACATAGGATAATACACATGTGTACACGCAGATTAAACGTGTGTGCATATGTATATAATACACAGATGGCCTTGCTGGGTCACGGCAGACACGTGCCCTCCACATAGGATAACACACACGTGTGCACGTGGATTAAACGTGTGTGCATATGTATATAATACAACACATGGCCTTGCTGGGTCACGGCAGACACGTGCCCTCCACATAGGATAATACGTGTACACGTGGATTAAACGTGCATACATATGTATATAATACAACACATGGCCTTGCTGGGTCACGGCAGACACGTGCCCTCCACATAGGATAACACACACGTGTGCACGTGGATTAAATGTGCGTACATATGTATATAATACACAGATGGCCTTGCTGGGTCACAGGAGACGTGCCCTCCACATAGGATAACACACACGTGTACACGTGGATTAAATGTGCGTACATATGTATATAATACACAGCATTGCTGGGTCATGGCAGACACGTGCCCGCCACATAGGATCACACACATGTGTACACACAGATTAAACGTGCGTGCATATGTATATAATACACAGATGGCCTTACTGGGTCACGGCAGACATGTGTCCTCCACATAGGATCACACACGTGTACACGTAGATTAAACATGAGTGCATATGTATATAATACACAGCATTGCTGGGTCATGGCAGACACGTGCCTTCCACATAGGATAACACACAGTTTACACGCTGATTAAACATGCGTGCATATGTATATAATACACAGATGGCCTTGCTGGGTCACCACAGACACATGCCCTCCCAGGCACCACCACGTTGCCCCTCCTGTTGCCATGACGATCCCCCAGTGGTCTCATCAGGGCAGTGCCCACGTTCCACATCCTTGCCATGGCCCAGTGCCAGCCTCTAGTTTTTGCCAACTGGATAGGTGTGAAATTAGACCTTATTGTTTTAATTTGCATCTTCATTATACTAGCATAGTTGGGCACCTCTTCATCGAACTGTGTGGCTGTGGTAAAATGCACACAGCATAAACTTGACCATCGTACCCACCTTCAGGTGAGCAGGTCAGTGGCACGCAGTCCGCGCCTAACGAACGTCTGCACCCGTCACACCATCCATCTCCAGGACACTGTCCACCTTCCCAGCTGAGACTGTTCCCGACCAGCAACAGCTCCCATCACAACATCCATCTCCAGGACGCTGTCCACCTTCCCATCTCCAGGACGCTGTCCACCTTCCCATCTCCAGGACGCTGTCCACCTTCCCACCTCCAGGACGCTGTCCACCTTCCCACCTCCAGGACGCTGTCCACCTTCCCAGCTGAAACTGTTCCTGTCCAGCAGCAGCTCCCTTCCCGCTCTCCCCTTCCCGCTCTTCCCTTCCCGCTCTCCCCAGCCCCTGGCAACCAGGCACTGTACTTTCTGTCTCCATGACTTTGACTAATCCGAGTACCTCATGTAAGTGGAATCATACCATGTTCGTGTTTCTGTGACAGGCTTGACTTGGCATAATGTCCTCCAAGTTCCTCCACCATGTTGTAGTGCTTGCCAGAATTTCTTTCCTTTTTACGGTTGGGTCATATTCCATGGTACTGCTTCCGCATTTTGCAGTTGTGAATAATACTGCTTTGATTATAGGTGTGCAAATATCTGCTGGAGACTGCTCTCAATTCTTTGGGGTCTGTACCCAGAAGTGGGACTGCTGAATCAGACGGGAATTCTATTTTTAACTTTTTGAATAATCACCTCAATGTTCACAGTGGCTGCCCCCTGTTATATTTCTACCCACGTGCACAAAGGTTCCAACTCCCTCCCATCGTTATCAGCACCTGCTATTGTGTCCGGAATTGGTGGGTTCTTGGTCTCACTGACTTCAAGAATGAAGCCGCGGACCCTCGCGGTGAGTGTTACAGTTCTTAAAGGCGGCGTGTCCGGGGTTTGTTCCTTCTGATGTTCAGATGTGTTCGGAGTTTCTTCCTTCTGGTGGGTTCGTGGTCTCGCTGGCTCAGGAGTGAAGCTGCAGATCTTCGCGGTGAGTGTTACAGCTCATAAAGGCAGTGTGGATCCAGAGAGTGAGCAGTAGCAAGATTTATTGCAAAGAGCGAAAGAACAAAGCTTCCACAGTGTGGAAGGGGACCCGAGTGGGTTGCCACTGCTGGCTCGGGCAGCTTGCTTTTAGTCTCTTATCTGGCCCCACCCACGTCCTGCTGATTGGTAGAGCCGAGTGGTCTGTTTTGACAGGGCGCTGATTGGTGCGTTTACAATCCCTGAGCTAGATACAAAGGTTCTGCACGTCCCCACCAGACTCAGGAGCCCAGCTGGCTTCACACGGTGGATCCCGCACTGGGGCTGCAGGTGGAGCTGCCTGCCAGTCCCGCGCTGTGCGCCCGCACTCCTCAAGCCCTTGGGTGGTCGATGGGACTGGGCGCCCTGGAGCAGGGGGCGGAGCTCGTCGGGGAGGCTCCGGCCGCACAGGAGCCCACGGAGCGGGTGGGAGGCTCAGGCATGGCGGGCTGCAGGTCCCGAGCCCTGCCCCTCGGGAAGGCAGCTAAGGCCCAGCGAGAAATTGAGTGCAGCGCCGGTGGGTGGGCACTGCTGGGGGACCCAGTACACCCTCCGCAGCTGCTGGCCCGGGTGCTAAGCCCCTCATTGCACAGGGCCGGCCGGCTGCTCGGAGTGCGGGGCCCGCCAAGCCCACGCCCACCCGGAAATCCAGCTGGCCCGCAAGCGCCACGCGCAGCCCCGGTTCCCGCTAGCGCCTCTCCCTCCACACCTCCCTACAAACTGAGGGAGTCGGCTCTGGCCTTGGCCAGCCCAGAAAGGGGCTCCCACAGTGCAGCGGTGGGCTGAAGGGCTCCTCCAGTGCCGCCAAAGTGGGAGCCCAGGCAGAGCAGGCGCCGAGAGCGAGCGAGGGCTGTGAGGACTGCCAGCACGCTGTCACCTCTCACTATCTTCTGCGCTTTTTGACAACAGCCATCCTAATGGGTATAAGGTATTTTGCAAGTCCTTTTAAACTGACAAATGAAAATGGCAGTTTGGATCTGCATCTCCCTAAAGGTTCGTGGAGCTGGGCGCTTTTTCGTGTACTTATCGGCCGTCTCCACGCCGTCCTTGGAGGGAAGACGCCTATTCAAACCCCTTTCTGACTCAGGTTGGTTTTTGTTGTTGCTGTTGTTGAGTTTTCGGAGTTCTCTATATATTCTGGATAGTAATTCCTTATCAGATTTTTGATTTGCAAATATTTTCTCCCATTCCACGGTTGCCTTTTTACTCTGTTGATGTTGTCTTTGGCTGTACAAAGTGGTTGTGTTTTAATGCAGTCCAATTTGTCTCTTTTTTCTTTTGCTGCCTGTGCCTTTGGTGCTGCGTCTGAGAAATCATCGCCAAATCCAATGTTGTGAAGGTTCTGGCCCATGTTTTCTTCTAAAAGTTTTATAGTTTTAGGTCTTTGACTCATTTTGGGTTAACTTTGTACACAATGTAATGTGAGGGGCCAACTTCATTCTTCTGCGTGTGGGTATCAGCGTCCCAGCACCACTGGCTGGAGGCTGTCCTCTCCCATGGAATGCTCTTGCACCCTTGTCAGAGACCACCTGGCTGCCCAGGCAGGGTGCCTCCTGGCTGTCCCCTCTGCTCCATGGTCTGTGTGTCTGGCGCATCTCTTTTTAAGATTATTGGCAATTTAAGTTTCTTCTGTGAACTCTTTGTATCCTTTGCCCATTTTCCTGTCTCATTTTGTAGATTTTTAATTTTTAAATATAATCCAGAATTATTTATTTGTCTCATCACCTTCTCACGCCCTCCACCCTCCTCCAAACTCTGTTACTTCTAGGCTACGGGACTCCACATTCTCCTTCCCTGGATCTCCTCCTCCTACTTGGGAATAACAGCACTCTGGATCTGCTCAGGGTACCCTACGAGCCCTTCTCCTCCACCTCCTCCTCCCGCTGGGGTGGCCCGTCTGTCCCATCTTCCAGCGGGCAGCTCTTGTGTGTACAGCATGGAGCCTCCTAAAGGCCAGCCTCCTGGCCCGGCGGCTGCACAGTCTCCACTTGGGTCTCCCGTGACAAGTCCGACCTTTCAGGACTGGAGACCTACTCCACCCTCACCCTCCTCCAGCTCCCACTGGAAACCACGGATCTCTCCAGATTCCTCCAGCATCTTGTCCATATGCCTCACCCAAACATCCCTTCCTTCCACAGGTTCTACGGATTACAGAACCCTGTCCATCTCTAGCCTTCCACGTCTCTGCACTGCTGCACACCCACCTCCCTCATCTCCCTGTGGGGCCCCCGCCTCCTCCACAGCTGTAGCCCCCTTGGTCTCTTCTCCACCGGGCACCAAGGTGGCCTTTTCCACATGCACCTCTGGGCCTGCCACTGCACTTCCTCCCAGCCACGTCCTGCACAGTGGCCACCCCAGCTGTCCTCTGGCCCTCACACACCCAGCTGACAGAGCTCCAGCCCCATTGGCCATCTGGGCCTGAGGAGGCTGCGCCCTTCTGTCAGGAGGGTACCTCTGCTGCCTCCCCTTTTCCAGCTTCTCACATGGACCCCCTGCTGCTTCAGGTCTCTGTGGAAATGCAGCCTCCTCCAAGCAGCCCTCTTGATTGGCTACTCTGGGCAGAGGCTTGGCAGTCCCAGTCCCCAGCCTTTCCTTCAAGGTGCTGCATATTCCAGCACTCACTGGTTTCCTCATCTAAATTCTTTCAGGGAAGGGAAGCCCCCTGAGGGCAGGCATGTGGCCTGGGCGCCTCTGAGTCCTCCACCACAATGCCCAGGTCACGGCAGGCAGGAATTCCACGGCTCCTGGGCAATGAGAGAGGCACCACACCCTCTGGGCGCCCGGCTGAGCAGCAGCAGCTCAGGACCGCTGGACAGAACCCTCAGCTCAGGTCTCAAAGCACAACCCAAGGCACAGGTTCACGGTGCTCCCGAGAAGCTGAACACACTTGCAAAAGTCACACATTTAACCCTATCACAAAGGCAAGTCCCAAGACACCTTGTTTTGAAACAATTTAACAGATTGAGTAATAAATCAAAGCAAAGTTATAATAACAGTCATTAGATTATAAACAATAATAAATGAAACAAAGCTTTTGTTTAAATCAATGTAGCGCTTCATTGATCTTTTCCTGTATAATGAACTCATGGGCGGCTGACCCAACTGGACAAGGCGGCGTCCTCACTACTGCCCACTTCCCCCAGTGCCACCCCCAGGCAGCATACGGGGGGCTGTGACCGTCCGCTCTCAGAGGAGCTCCGTGACCACCACAAAATGACAGCTGACTTATTTACAAAGCACTGACTTTCCAATTTCAGCTCCTGGGGCCAAACGGGATGACGGCACCAAGGTGTCCCCCTGTCTGGCCTCCTGCCGAGCCCCTCTCCCGGCTGGCTGCTGGCGGGAGAGATGCACACGTAATCTCATTCTGCCTCCTGTTCGACAGCTGACGCTAGAGGTTAATTAAATTGGTTGTCCATTGTATTCATCCACTTTACAAAGCTAATGATATTCTGTTCCTGAATTAAAGAGCATTTTATAAAGCGTGCCCCGTGGAAGCCGGCATTCTGCACGCGGGTTGCTGAACCCTGTCACGGCTCTTGGATGTAGTGTCCCCAATTAGGAGCCCAGGAAGGACCGGGCCTTCATCTGCCAGGGTGGAACACCAGTCATGCTGACACGAGGGTAAACACGCCACATACCAGCCGCTTAATCGCCCTCGCTGGCCACGATAAATTCCACCAGACGAGTGCGCCCGTTAACATTTCCGATTACCACGGTGAGGAGCAACTGAAATGGAACGAGATGGCCTGTAAAACAGCCTGCGGCAGGCTTCTCCAAAGGGGGTACATCTGAGGGCGGCAAGGTGACCAGCAGTCCTGGCTTCTCGCCTGCTACCAGCACTGGGCTCTCTGTCACACTGCGGGGGCAAAGTCATTGGCCGGTCTAAGGACACCCACCCTTGCTGAGAGAATTCAGTCACCACTCACATTCCACAAATATGCACCCGGCACTTTCTCCTTCCTCTGTGCCACATATGTTCTCAGACATGTGAGATACATGAGTGACCAGATGGCCAGAGCCCAAGACGGCAGCGTGGTGAGGGGGGCCATGACAGAGGAGCCCCAGTGGGGAGGTTCAGCTCTGCACCCAGGCAGCATCCACAGGACCTCCAAGACCAATGTGAGCTGGGATGGGCTCTGGAGAGACAGCGTCCAGCCATGGACCTGCAGAGGCTGAAACAGCTTCAGACACCTCAGGGAGGCATCAAAGGTGACTGAACCTAGGTCTACAGTTCAGGACAGGTGCCTGGGTGATGGTGGGGGTCACCATGTGAATACCTGTGGGTCTACAGTTCAGGACAGGTGCCTGGGTGATGGTGGGGGTCACCATGTGAATACCTGTGGGTCTACAGTTCAGGACAGGTGCCTGGGTGACGGTGGGGGTCACCATGTGAATACCTGTGGGTCTGCAGTTGAGGACAGATGCCTGGGTGACGGTGGGGGTCACCATGTGGATGGGCCTCAAAGCTGGGGAAGACTCAGCTTGCCAAGGAGGAGCTGGAGCCAGAGAAAAGGGCAGGGTCAAGCACTGGACTGAGGCTACTACTGTGGAGAGACAGGAGCAGGTGAGAGCCAGCAGTCAGTGGGGCAAGGAGCCACGGGGGAAACAGGAGGGGCCGGTCAGGGACTAGGACGGAACCTTGGGCAGGTGGCACCTTGGAGCAGAGTCAGGAGGAGGGAGCAGCCACAGGTGCCCAGGGCTGCCATCTCATCAGGGGCGCAGGGAGCGGAGCACTGGCCGGGACAGCAGTCTGTAGGCCAGCGGCGGTTTGGGCAGCCCTGTCCCACACAGTCACCTGCTTGTGTTCAGCCCATTATCATGGACCTTGCTTTTCAAAAGGGAAATCTCTATTGACTTTTGTCTGATGTAATATATTTCACGAGCTGATGCCAGACAAAAAGGAAAAGCAAGTAAATTCCCCATGCCTCTTTCACCCGGAGTGGAGGGAGACAGGTGGAAAGGTCCTGGCCCAGAACTCACGGTGTGCCAGACAACAGCAGCCTCGGCCACAGGGAGACGTGACGCCCCAGAGCCTTTCCGCAGGTCTCATGAAAAACGAGGCTGTGTGAGGAACCTAGTTTCCCTGTGGGTGCCTACCAGTCATTTTAAACCTGTATCACCTAGAGCTCTTCCTCTCAAAATGAGATTCATTTGCAACGCAGATGCTATTTTTTGAATAATAAATATTTCACAAATTGAAAATTTCAATAATGAACAAAGAAAAATATCAGTCTTAAAATAACTAGTTTTAATTATGAAATTTGTTATATTTTTCTACGTATAAATGATTATACAAGTAAATCAATAAACTTTTATGCCAATTAAATTATGTAAGGAGTTTGCATCCTAATTAAAATGGTTCTGACTCTTATCTTTTGTCTTCTAAAAATCATTAGCTTTTCAATTACATTTCATGTATACATGTTCTGGAGAAACTGGTTATGTGCATTATGGATATAGAATAATTAAAGTAAAATGCACTTTAAGAGATGGCCAACACTGAACACAAGCTGTTTACAAAATACCTTCTGCCAGTACAAAAGCTCAGGGCATATAAAACTCTACTCAAAAGCCTTAATTGAGTTTTAAATGTCCATTATATTAGGAAATTGCCATCTACTTCTGTTTCAAATAATTTACCTTAGTTCCCGGTCCCCAGAAATGCTAAAACAGCAGTATTCCAAGGGCACACGCTCCCTCCAGACCCTGATCGGGGTCCCAGTTCTCCGCGTGGGAATATCCCCGTGGGAATGTCCGTTACCCTCACTCTCCCGGGCACGGCAAGGCCCCTGGAACGCTCACTCCACACGCACCCACCCCCATGCTCAACCGCACTTCTCTCCGTGTTTTACACTGCAGGAGGTGCCTCGGTTTACACAACCAATGCCCATGGCCATTTGCCCGCTTCCCCCAACTGCCTTGAGTCTCATTCCTTTCTCCTCTCTGACTTCATATGAGATCATTTTCTCTCCGCTTGAAGAACATCCGTTAGTACTTACTGTTTTTCATTTGAGTTAAAATGTCTATTTCACCTTCAATCTTAGGAGATGTTTTGCCGGGTAAGACCCTATGCTGACATTTCCTCCAAGGACACGGAAGATGCGGCTGCACCGTCCCCTGCGGTTACCATTTCTGCAGGAACAGGAAGGTGGCCTGTCAGTGTGACTGCGGCACACCCCTATGCTCTCTATGGTTTTCTTGATTTGTTATAATCTGACTGGGTATGAGTTTTTATTTTTTTGATGCTGCTAGGGATTCACTGGGATTCCCAACTTTCTGGACTTTGGGTATGGAGGACTGAGGGGGTCCAGAAGAGGAGTAGGCTCTGCAACAGGTCCAGGCTGCTGTGCCAGCTGCTCTGACACTTGGGCCATATGACCCAGCAGATCCAATGGTGCTTGAGGTGTCAGTGGCAGATAAGGATGCTGTTTGGAGCCTTTGGCAGGTCCCCATAGGTGAATCACAGCGGAGGCCTCTAGGATTTTGGAGTGAGGCCCTGCCATCTTCTGCAGGTAACTACTCTCCTTTTGAGAGACAGCTCTTGGCCTGTTACTGGGCTTTGGTGGAAACTGAACGTTTGTCTATGGGTCATCAAGTCACCGTGTGACCTGAACTGCATGTCATGAACTGGGTGCTTTCTGACCCATCTAGCCATGAAGTGGGTCATGCACAGCAGCATTCCATCATCAAATGGAAGTGGCATGTATGTGATTGGGCTTGATTAAGTCCTGAAGGCACAAGTAAGTTACATGACGACGTGGCTCAAATGCCCATGGTCTCCACTCCCGCCACCCTCCCTTCTCTCCCCCAGCCTGCACCGATGGCCTCATGGGAAGTTCCCTATGATCAGCTGACAGAGGAAGAGAAGACCGGGGCCTGGTTCACAGATGGTTCTGCACGGTATGCAGGCACCACCCGAAAGTGGACAGCTGTAGCATGACAGCCCCTTTCTAGGACATTCCTGAAGGACAGCGGTGAAGGGAAATCTTCCCAGTGGGCAGAACTTCAAGCAGTGCACCCGCTTGTGCACTCTGCTTGGAAGGAGAAATGGCCAGATGTGTGATTATATACTGATTCATGGGCCGTAGCCAATGGTTTGGCTGGATGGTCAGGGACTTGGAAGAAGCATGATTGGAAAATTGTGACAAAGAAATCTGGGGAAGAGGTATGTGGACAGACCTCTCTGAGTGGTCAAAATTTGTGAAGATATTTGTATCGCATGTGAGTGCTCACCAATGGGTGACCTCAGCAGAGGAGCATTTAAATAATCAAGTGGACAGGATGACCCCTTCTGTGGATACCATTCAGCCTCTTTCCCAAGCCACCCCTGTCATTGTCCAATAGGCCCATGAACAAAGTGGCCATGATGGCAGGAATGGAGGGTACCCATGGGCTCGGCAACATGAGCTTCCGCTCACCAAGGCTGATCTGGCTACGGCCACTGCTGAGTGCCCAATTTGCCAGCAGCAGAGACCAACACTGAGTCCTTGATATGGCACCATTCCTTGGAGTGGTCAGCCAGCTACCTGGTGGCAGGTTGATTATATTGGACCTCTTCCATCATGGGAAGGGCAGAGGTTTGTCCTCACTGGAATAGACACTTACTTTAGATATGGGTTTGCCTATCCTGCATGCAATGCTTCTGTGAAGACTACCATCCATGGACTCACAGAATGCCTTGTCCACCATCATGGTGTTCCACACAGCATTGCCTCTGACCAAGGCACTCACTTTATGGCTAAAGAAGTGTGGCAGGGGGCTCATGCTCATGGAATTCACTGGTCTTACCATGTTCCCCATCATCCTGAAGCAGCTGGGTTGACAGAATGGTGGAATGGCCTTTTGAAGTCACAATTACAACACCAACTAGGTGGCAATACTTTGCAGGGCTGGGACAAAGTTCTCCAGAGGGCCATGGATGCTCTGAATCAGCGTCCAATATATGATACTGTTTCTCCCATAGCCAGGATTCACGGGTCCGGGAATCAAGGGTGGAAGTGGAAGTGGCACCACTCACCATCACCCCTAATGATCCACTAGCAAAAGTTTTGCTTCCTGTTCCTGCAACATTACGTTCTGCTGGCCTAGCGTTATTAGTTCCAGAGGGAAGAATGCTGCCACCGCGAGACCAAACAGCAATCCCACTGAACTGGAAGTTAAGATTGTCACCTGGATACTCTGGGCTCCTCCTACCTTTATGTCAATAGGCTAAGAAAGGAGTTACACTGTTGGGGTGATTGATCTGGTCTATCAAGGTGAAATCAGTCTACTACTCTGCAACGAAGCTAAGGAAGAGTATACATGGAATACAGGAGATCCATTAGGGCGTCCCATAGTATTACCATGCCTTGTGATTAAGGTCAACGGGAAACTACAACAGCCCAATCCAGGCAAGACTACAAGTGACCCAGACCCCTCAGGAATGAAGGTTTGGGACATTCCACCAGGAAAAAAACCACGACCCGCTGAGGTGATGCTGAAGGCAAAGGGAATACAGAATGGACAGTAGAAGAAGGCAGTCATCAATACCAGGGGAGTGGGGTGGGGCGTGGAAGGCGTGGGGTCCAACGCACATGTAACTGGAACCTAGAGGGAATGCAGAGGGGGAGTGGAAGTCGTTTTTGAAGAGATGAGAAATCACGTTTTTCCAAACTTAGGAAAGACCTTGTATTAGTTTGTTTTCACACTGCTGATAAATACATACCCGAGACTGAGGAATTTACAAAAGAAAGAGGTTTAATATGGACTTACAGTTCCACATGGCTGGTAAGGCCTCACAATCATGGCAGAAGGCAAGGAGGAGCAAGTCACATCTTATATGGATGGAAGCAGGCAAAGAAAGAGCTTGTGCAGGGAAACTCCTCTTTGTAAAACCATCAGATCTCATGAGACCCACCCACCACCATGAGAACACCATGGGAAAGACCTGCCCCCATGATCCCCTTGCCTCCCGCAGGGTCCCTCCCATAACATGTGGGAATTCAAGATGAGATTTGGGTGGGGACGCAGCCAAACCATATTATTCCATCCCGACCCCTCCCAGATCTCCTGTCCTCACATTTCAAAACCAATCGCCAACCCAAATATTATTTCATAAAGTTGACAATACTTAAATGCTGATATGAAGTGAATAAATCTTATGTCACATGATAAAGGAAAAGGAAATAAAATGAAGATATTTTCTTAGTACAAGTGTATACATGCACAAACATGTTTTTAGCAAAAGAATGTCACAATGCTCAATAAGAGCCACTTAACAAAACGTAGTTCTCTCCCTACATCCTTGGGAAAGGAACTACTGAATTTTGACCTCTAACGAAACCTGTCCTCAAGCTTTAAAACCTACAGTTTAGCTGAATATTGGACAACAGTCACCTCTAATCAATGCTGTCCACCCTGAGCACCACCCCCACCGTCACCCTGGCTGAAGCTGGCCTTTCCTGCGCTGTCCCCTTCTGAGAGCAGAGCAGGCTGGTTGAGAGTACAGGCTCTGAGGCCAGAACCAAGTTCAAATCCCACATTGGCCTCTTCTGGTTGGTCCCTGAACCTCTCTGTGCCTCAACATCTCTATCTGTGACACGGGGAAGACAAATAACAGTACCCACTTCATAGGGCTGCTCTGATCCCTGCATGGGTGGCACATGTAAGGCACATGAAACAGTATCAGGAAGCTCATGTGCCAACGGCTATTCCAGGAGGTGTTGGTGCTGCTTCCTGTCAGCACCTTCCCATGCTGGAGGAGCCGCAGAATACGGCCCCAACACATCCTTGGCTGATGATGGGATCAACAGGCATGGCAGGAAGGGCTGTGCCAGCCAAGAAGGTTGTGTCCTTCCAAAGCAAGGAGGTAGATACCGAAGCAGAAAGGGTGGAGTCAGAAGCAGGGAGGGCGGAGTCCAGAGCAGGGAGGGCCGAGTCCGAAGCAGGGAGGGCGGAGTCCGAAGCAGGGAGGGCGGAGTCCAGAGCAGGGAGGGCGGAGTCCGAAGCAGGGAGGGCGGAGTCCGAAGCAGGGAGGGCGGAGTCCGAAGCAGGGAGGGCACAAGCCTCGCCGCAGCCCACGTTTGAACTCTCCACTCCTAAGTCATCTGTGCCTCCCTTGGGCCCAGGGGAGGCCACGGCTCCAGGGGCCCCAGTTGCCCACTGGCCACCAGTGTGACCCACTGTCCCAATCAGAAGGGAGAGACAGGGACACTCCTGACAGATGGAGGCGTGCCCACATGCCCATGCCTCACTCCAGAAGGAGTGGGCCACCTGCTGCTTCCAACAATATGAAAGAGAGACCTTCTCTTTTCTTTACTGAGGCCAAACCATGAGCAACCCTTACGGGAAAAGACATCCAAAGAAAGCTATCTCCCACTAATGGCCCTGTTATAAATTAGACCTGACTGACAAAGACCAAGGAAAAGTGACGCCCGTCAAGCCGTCACCGCCGTTTGCAGTTTCTCCACTTTGGCACCGCTGTCCTGACCACATGAATATCCATCATTTTCCTTAAAAAAAAAAAAAAAAAAAAAAGAAAGAAAGACACTGCCAAGAAATCAGTTTCTATAGGACAAGGAGCTGGGGAGATACGGGGTCAAGGGAGGCTTCTTCCCTAAGAGGGAAATGCCTGCCTGTTTGCTCACAGGGGTGACCCGGCACAAAGGGAGACTGGGTGTTCTGGGGAGAAGACAGGCTCCCCACTGGGACCTCCCAGAAGGCCACAGGGATGCGCGCAGGCAGGGTGAAGACTTAGCTGTGCTGTGGGCAGCAGAGGGGCAGGGGACAGGTGTGCCCCAACCACTCTCCCCCCAGCAAGGAGGGGCTGACAGTGTCCTCCTGCTTCTGGGCCAGGGCTGTGCTGAGAAGCAAGCCAGCCAGGGGCTGGGGACTACAGCAGAGGAGAGGCTGAAGATGGGGGCTGTGGGGTGGTGTCAGGGGGTGTGGGGGTCAGGTGCGGGTTCTGGGAGTGCGCACTCAGAGGATGTAGGGTCAGGGGGTGTGAGGTCGGGGGGGTGGGGTCAGGTGCAGGTTCTGGGAGTGCACAGAGGATGTAGGGTCTGGGGTGTGGGGTCAGGTGTGGGTTCTGGGAGTATGCAGAGGATGTGGGGTCAGGGGTGTGGGGTCAGGGGGTGTGGGGTCAGGGGGTGTAGGGTCAGGGGGTGTGGGGTCGGGGGGGTGGGGTCAGGGGGTGTGGGGTCAGGTGCAGGTTCTGGGAGTGCGCAGTCAGAGGGTGTAGGGTCTTGGGGGTGGAGGCTGAGGGTGTGGGTTTCAGGACGTGGGGTTTAGGGATTGGAAGCTGAGGACATGGGGGCTGAGAACGTGTGCAGTGAGGGCATGGGGGCTGGGGGTGTGGGGTCAGTGGCTGCAGAGGGATTTTCTGCAAAGAGGTTGGTGACCCTGGGGACCCAAGAGAAGATAAGAGTTTGGACAAAAGAAAGACCTGAGAGGGCTAGAAGGGCTGTGCAGGGCTGCACCCTGAGGACAGAGAGGGAGCAGTCACCAGCGGGTCCTGGCTCCCTGGGGGCTCAGCAAGGCCACAGTGGGGACAGGGACACGGGAACAATGCCCTTCCAGAAACCCAGGTCCACGCTCACGCCAAAATCCCAATGGCATCTACCCACATCTCACTTGGAGCTGCACATCTAGAGTCCAGCACGAACCGCGCCCGCCCTCTCTGCCCATGGGGCACGCACAGGCAGGCCCCACATCCTCCAAGCTTGACCAAGTCACTGTCAGACTAAGGACACATGAATGGTGTCTGCAAGCACGTAAGAGAAGCAGAACCACTTTCAAGGACGCAGCTAAGCCAGGCTGAAATGTCACCGACGGTCCCCCAGGAGAACACGGGGCCTCCTCGAGCAGCTGTTTCTGCCCTGTCACTTGCCACTCCTCCACCACACCCCCAGCTCCCTCTCGTTCTGTGGTCCCGTGAGGACGTGCTACATAGAAAGCCTTGAGGTTAAGAATAGGAGCCTGCATTGTGCCCCTCAGAGTAGGCCACAGTGGGCACCAGGGAACCCGCCTCACAGGGAAGGCCTGGCCCGGCAACACCTGGCGCTCACGGGGCTACTTCCCAGCTTCACACAAGCTGGTGCTACTCACCGGCTGTTTGTTTGTTTATTTTGAGATGGAGTCTCACTCTGTCTCCAAGGCTGGAGTGCGGTGGCACGATGTCTGCTCACTGCAAGCTCCGCCTCCTGGGTTCACGCCATTCTCCTGCCTCAGCCTCCCGAGTAGCTGGGACTACAGGCGCCCACCACCACGCCTGGCTAATTTTTTGTATTTTTAGTAGAGACGGGGTTTCACCATGTTGGCAGAATGGTCTCTATCTCCTGACCTCGTGACCCACCCACCTCGGCCTCCCAAAATGCTGGGATTACAGGAGTGAGCCACCATGCCCGGCCTCACCGGCTGTTTCTTAACCTTCCTGTGTCTCCGGCACCCCAAAGATAAAGTGGGGAAATGATCCCCCAGAACAAAGCCTCACAAGCAGTACACGCTCAATAAACGCCAGCAGTGGTGGTCGTGCGATGGAGCTCGGCAGTTTTTAAAGAAAGCCACAGAAATGGACCAAACCCAGAGCACGGTCAACAGGGGCTGAAGCCCCCTGAGCTATTCAGAGAGGGGTGAAGTGGGCCGCAAGCTTTTAAATCCTACGGAAGAGAATAAAAACATCAGGAGGAATGATAAGCCCTTCTAATGCTCCCTGTGCAAATTCATGTTTAATTTGAGGAGAAATATCAACATTTTTTCATTTCCCTGATCATGCTTTAATTAAATCTCTAGCCCACTGTTTAAAATAAAGCCATTATGGATAGTGATCAAGAATTTCATCACTCCCTACTGAACTATAAAATCAATCACTTAACTTTTTATTATATAACCTCTGAAAAGTGAAACAGTTTGAGGTTACAGGATTTGAAGTGCTCTGATTTTCGCCAAAAGAAGTCCGTCAAATGTGCTTCTGAGAAACTCATGTTCTGCTTCATTTCCATATTTTTTCCATGGCAGCATCAATAAGTTACAGGGCGTCACTTTGCCCCCTAACCACCAACAGAAAGCCTCAACTGAAAGGAGGCCGAGGCCATCAGCCCATGGCAGGAACGTGAGGCTCTCGTGTCATTTCACCTAAGAAAGGATCAGTGACACCTGAGCCTGGGATCTGCCACTGGAATTTTCAAAAGTCAAGTGTGGGGCTGGGCTGCAGGAGCCCATTAGTCCCTCACCACCACACCAACCCTGCAAGGCCGGCAGACTCCAGTACACTCAAAAAACTGAATAACTTTGTTTAATGTTGCCTAGAAATAAGGAAAAATAACAAATACTTGTAAAAGTTACACTTGAAAGATCTCCACTCCAACTTATGTTCAATGTACTTAGCAAAAAGGTCAAAGCTCCGGAATTTGCTGGATAAATAAATGTTGGTGAGGCGGATGAATCACTGGAGAATTGGTGCATGGCGGCGAATGAATAACCTGCAAATGCCTCCCAAACCCCATTATTTCCCCTTTTCCAAGAGCCCAAGATTCATGTCCCCGCATGCCGCCAGTTCATTACCGAGAAATATCATCCCTCTTCCGGCTCGCGCCGGGCAGCGCACACGGCCCCCTGAGGACCCTTTAATGTTTAATTCCCCATCATCTGCTCCACTGAACAGCTTAATCTCTGCTTGTATGATCAATACTATATCAGTGTAAATTAAAATGACAATTTTAAAGTAATTAAGCCTGTTAATGCTCGATTCAAATGTCATTATTTGCACAAGGGATTGAGGAGAAATTACATCGTGTCCGGGGTGACAGGAAGCTGTCTGGGCCTCTTCAGCCCCGCTGTGCAGGGCCACTGGAGGCTTCAGCAAAGCAGATTAACTTCTGCCTCGCCCTGCCAGCATGCCTATCCAATTTCTAAAGAGGATAACGCAATTTGATAAATTTAATTCCAGCTACAAACTCAATTATTGTGATAATAGATGAAAACTGGGAGGAGCCTCTGCACAAGGCCCACAGTTTTAAAAACACACTTAACTCCAGAACGAGCTTCAACAGTAATGGCTTGATTTGATTTGTTCTCTCTCTTTTGAAGCCCCTTTAAATAATTATGATGGTTGGAAGAACAGCCGACATTTATTAAACAGCCGAGCTCCAACCAAAAGGGGCTGCGGCTTAGACAATCCAGGTCATACTGGAAACGTCTGCTGTCCTGAGCTTGTACAGCAGCATTTATTAGACAAGCACATCATTACATTATTGGATCTCATAAATAGATATATAAAACTCAGCCAGCCTCAGATGAAACCTCCCTCTTGCTCAACACTGGCGGGTCTGCCCCAGCTTGGAAAGCGGCATCCAGCAGGACCCTGCCATTTTTTTGTCCCAGGTGGCAGAGGGGGTTGGGGGTGAGAGGAATTAATGAAAATAACTTTTTTAAAAACCACCTTTACCCTCCTATGATTCCCAGCACACTCAGTACACATTATGACTCAAGTTATCTCCAACGAGCTCTCAATGCACAGATATCTTTCTCTACCCGAGTCCACTTACGGATGAGGTGGGTGGGTAGCCTGCCGAGAAGGTCTGCACAGCACACGCTGGGGGCCGCTTTAAGGGGACAGCTGCAATTGCTGGACTTCATCCATTAGGTCAGCAATAAAAATTGACAACCAAACATTAATTTCAAGATGAAGAGCACAGTGTAACAATTTCCGTTTGAAAGATGTTTCGGCTCGGTGTGGGCCATCCTTCAGGGTTTTCCCAGACAATTCCAGATGCTGCTGCACTCCAGAAGGAAAGAGAGCCCCACTGCAAAGTCGGCAGCCTCGGGATGGTGCGCCACGGGGCCAGCGGTTTTGGGTGATCCGACAGGGGTTTTTTTGTGGCTGTTTTCAAACCCAGTGATGTATACTTTAATACTTTAACTGTCTAAATTCCACCTTTTCCATACAGGAGGGAGCTGTACAGCTGGTGTCTCTTCACTGCATGCTTGAAAGGCCCTTATCCGTTACCTCCCTACTGCCTACGATGACTTCACAGTTCCTCAAGTTTCCCCCAGCCAGCAGAAATCAGATTTAAAACCAGTGAAAACATGGAATAATGTGTTCAAATGGCTCTCCCTTTCTGTCGGTTTAAACATAAATATCCCTGACTATGAATTACTCCCCCAAGTTCCTAGATGAATCATAGTGAGGAAGTAATGATGCATTATAACAGTCACGACATGGGAGGAAGCGCTGAGTAAAGGCCAGGCACACAGTGACTCAGTTTTAAGGCAAACCTGGTAAAGGACTAATGTGGTTATATCATTCTTCTCTTTTTTTTTTTTTTTTGAGACAGGATCTTGCTCTGTTGCCCAGGCTGCAGTGCAGTGGTGTGATCTTGGCTCACTGCTACCTCCACCTCCCAGGCTCACACGATCCTCCAGCCTCAGCCTCCCAAGTAGCTGCGACTACAGGTGCACGCCATTGCAGCTGGCTAATTTTTGTATTTTCAGTAGAGATGGGGTTTCCCCATGTTGGCCAGGCTGGTCTTGAACTCCTAAGCTCAAGCAATTCACCTGCCTCAGCCTCCCAGAGTGCTGGGATTACTCCTAAGCTCAAGCAATTCACCTGCCTCAGCCTCCCAGAGTGCTGGGATTACTCCTAAGCTCAAGCAATTCATCTGCCTCAGCCTCCCAGAGTGCTGGGATTACTCCTAAACTCAAGCAATTCACCTGCCTCAGCCTCCCAGAGTGCTGGGATTACTCCTAAGCTCAAGCAATTCACCTGCCTCAGCCTCCCAGAGTGCTGGGATTACTCCTAAGCTCAAGCAATTCACCTGCCTCAGCCTCCCAGAGTGCTGGGATTACTCCTAAGCTCAAGCAATTCACCTGCCTCAGCCTCCCAGAGTGCTGGGATTACAGGTGTGAAGCACTACACCCAGCCCATTCTTCCCTTTTAACCAAGGAAGAAATTACACAATGAAACAAATACCCCGAATCTTAATATCACTTTTCCTTTGTCATAATTAACAATTAGCGACACAGAATCGAGGGGAAAAACACAGGATCCGTTTACTCCTAGGAAGGGCGTTTCTGTGAATCTAAGAGGGGGCTTTCCTGTGTTCTCAAGGCCACGGGTCAGCCAGTGGCCGCTGCGGGGTGCGCTGTCTGGGAGACACTCTCGGGATGGAAGTGAAGTGCTCCGTCTGTCCCCCTTCTTTGGAAACACAGGTGTGTCTGCAAAGGCGAGGGAAGGCCTCAGGTGGGCATGATCTCTGAAGCTCCAGCTTCGTTTCCTTCAGTCTGGGGGTGCCCTCATGCACAACAGGGCTTGGCCTTGAGGGACCTGCCCTGCACAGGCGGGGCGCTGCCAGGCCACGACTTCAGGAAAGTTCTGGGCAGGCAGGGGCAGCCCCTGACTGCTCAACGCCTCAGTTGCAACGGGAAAACCTGAGCCACCCCAACAAGCCTACATCGGGGACTCCGATACTTAAGACAGCAGGATGCATCTCTACGTGCACAGGTGGGATGCACTAAACGCTGCCCTGACAGGGATGTGTGGCCAGGATGGGAGCCACTTTCTCCCAGGAAAACATCGTGCTTGTCACCTTCCTTGGGACAGAAGGATGGGTGGTTTTCAAAGAGCACATAGCAGTTCTAACAGGTGCCAAGCCAAATGGCAAGGTGCACTCATGAAAATCACCCACACTTCTGTGCTCAGCTCTGGGCTGCTGCTGATGGGGAGCTGTGGGCCCCAGCAGACGTGGCTGTGAGAGAGCGCACTCAGAGGCCCAGCCACCCCCACACAGCGGTGTGCCACACCCCAACTCATCACACAAACGCACAGGGCAACAGGCGAGGTCTGTGTAGACACCCATCTGCTCAGGAACACACTGAAAAACACGATGTTCCCTTTGGGACATCAGGTAGTGAAGCCTCAAGAGCAGGTCAGGTGCCCTCCAGGCACACAGCAGGGTCCTGGGCAGGCTGTGACATAAAAGCTCACATTCATTCTGTGGATTAAGCCTAGAAATGTACACACGGCTCACAGCATCTGAAGCCAAACCTGGACGGGCTTTGGAGAAAATATTTGTTCATTCAGTTTCCTTCGGTCTCCTTCAAAATCATAAAAACCCATCTCCAGGGAGGCTGTGGTTGGGTGAGCACAGCTGAGGGACCCGCAAGAATTTGCACAGGAAAGAAAGCCAGGCAGAGCAAGGAGCAGCTCACGGGGCTCCGGAAGTGAAACATCACCTGAGGCCAAATGAACAGAACAACAAGCTAAACTGTGAATCAACCATGGCTATTTCTTTATGTTCACTGCTTCAGTGATTTTCTGTCAAAAAATGCTAACAAGCATGAAAGTCCTTAAGAGCTTTACAATTTTTCAGTTCGTTCACCAATACCTTTCGCGCGGCGTGTTTGTTTCCTGGGCTGCGTGTGACACGGCACTCGATCACGCCTGTCGGCCGCCTGATGGATCGGCTGCCCACGAGGCACCTTGGCCCAGCCTTTGCCACAGAGCCTGTTACGGATTTCCCACCCGGCGACAGGGGGAGAGGAATGATGTGAGCGCGGCCCTGCCCAGCTCACGGCTCAGAAGAGGAGCGAGATGACTTCACCCCTAGGGGCGAATCTGCTCACAGAGCACCAGGGACCCTCCCCAAAAGGCAAGGAAAGCGCAATGACCCAAAGTCATGCAGACGGCTGCCACAGGCACAGACTCCACTGCAAACCAACCCCAGCCAGAAGCTAGAAGTGGCACCTGCCGGCTCAGAGTGCAGAGAAAGTACAGGTGAACGTCGACCAAAATCACTCATTGAGTGGGAATAATGTTACATTCAAAATCAACAAAGCCTTACTTAACCTTAAAAATGTCTTTTTGGCAGGGCACAGTGGTTCGCACCTGTAATCCCAGCACTTTGAGAGGCCAAGGCAAGAGGATCACTTGAGGCCAGGAGTTGGAGACCTGACTGGGCAACACGGTGACACCCAGTCTCTATAAACAGTTTTTTTTTAGCCAGGCGTGGTGATGCACACCTGTATCCTCAGCTACTTGGGAGGCTGAGGCCACAGGATCACTTGAGCTCAGGAGTTCAAGGCTGCAGTAAGCCACGATTGCACTACTGCACTCCAGCCTGGGCAACAGAGTGACATCCTGTGTCAAAATAAAATAAGATTTAACGAGAAGAAAGTCTTTTCAATTTTATATAACATACGCATATGTGTATATAAAATGGAAAATTACTCACACTCTGCCGTTATGTCCTGCGGCGTGCCGAGTTGCCTGAGTTGTGAGACACACAGTGGTGTGCACAGTCCGTTCGAGGGGCCAGCTGCTGATGGAAGTACTTCCCTTTTCCATTAAATCTGCAGTTTGACCCCTCACAAGCCATCCACCACAAGACTAGATTTTCCTTCTAGAGTGCTAAGGTACGTGTAAGTGGCACTGACAGAATTGCACCCATGTGACGTGTAACTGGATGAGTCCTGACACATCCACACGTGAAACCATCACCACAATTAGGAGACTAACATGCCCGTCGCTCCAGAAGGTTCCCTGGGTCCCTTCGCCCCTTGACACAATTTACACTTGGCTCTGGATTGTGTTTGCTAAACTACAGCATGAAAGGGTGGGAGCAGAGAGCGGCCAGGCTGGAGTGCGGGTGGGGTGGGCAGTGTGGAAGGGACAGCTGCCTTCCGTCCAGCATCCTCACCTCGGCCAAGGTGCGGGGATCTACCGTGCTCCCCTCCTGGGCTTGACCTGGCTTCTCCTTAGTGCTCACTGGAATCCCTCCAGCCCCCACCACAACCCCTTCCCCGGGAAACCACTATCTGTGTTCTGTCATTACAGACTTGTTTGCATTTTTAAGAATATGATATACATGAAATCATACAGAATGCATTTTTGGTTTGGTCTGGATTCTTTTGCCCACCATAATTACTGCGACAGCTGACACACCACGGTGTACACAGACTGTCCCCTCCTGTTCCCACTCACCTGCTGTGGCTATCTGGGCTGTTGACAGGTTTTGGCTATTCTGAATAAAGCTGCTATGAACATTCAGTCTTAGTGTGGAATGTGCTTTCATTTCTCTTAAGTAAATACTGAAGAGGGAAACGGCTGGGTGATACGGTGTGTGTATTTTCAACGTTTTTTTTAAGACCTCCATGTTTTCGCATGTTTTACATTTCCAGCACTAACACGACGGCTGCAGTGCTACCACCGCCTCCCCAGCGCTTGCCACGGTCGTCTTCATAGGTCCAACTGACTGGTTTCCTCTTATAGTGGTTTCTGCTTTTGGTGTCATATTTAAAGAAAGAAGTCCTGTGTGATCTTGTGGAAGCTGCATGGTTCTAGCTCTTACGCTAGGTCTATGATCCAGTTCAAGCTAAATTTTCATGTGGTTTCAAGTAACAATTGAAGTGAGTTTTTTGCAAACGGCCCTCTAATTGCTACAGCACCCTTTGTGGAAAAGATCATTCACTCACTGCTGAAGTCCACTGATACCTCTGACAAAGATCAATAGTGGGCCACTTTCTAGACTCTCCATAATGTTCTGTGATCTGTTTATCTGGTTTTATGCCAATACTATACTGATTTAATTATTGAGATTCAAAGAAGTCTTAATCAGGTAGTATAAGGACTCCATCTTTATTCATGTTCAAAGTTGTTTTGGCCCATTCTAATTCCTTTACATTTACATATACATTTTAGAACCAGCTTAATTTCTACCAAAAAAAAAAGTCTGCTCAGATTTTGATTAGTAATGCACTGAATCTTTACATCAATTTGGGGAGAAATGACATCTTAACAAGATTGAGTCTTCTGATCCATGAACATAGTATATCTCTCCATTTATTTAGATCTTATTTAATTTCTCTGAGCAATATATCATAGTTCTCAGTATACAGGTCTTACACATCTTGACCTAATTTATTCCTAAATATTTCATATTTTTGATGCTATTATAAATGGTAATGTTATTTACATTTCAATTTCCAACGGCATCATTTACAAGTTGACAGCTTACAAGCCACTAACTACATAAAGAGATTCTGAAGACATAATCAAAATATTTTTATGTTAGTAAGACCCTTCTGACTATTCATGAAAGCACTTCATTTTGCCTTTTTCTTCCTGAAGGAGGTATTGTCCTCATCACTTTCAATGTAGGCAATTCAGTAAAGTTGATCTCAAGCATCAAACAATTTACACATGGTGCTGGATTGTGTTTTTGAAACCATATCACGAAGAGGTGGGAGCATGCAGCTGGGGACACAGAGAGACCTGGCTGGATTGTGGGTGGGGGCATTGTGCAAGGGAGAGATGCAGGCCTCATTCCAGGACTGGCTATGCTCCATCCGGCATCCTCATCTTGGCCAAGGTGCAGGGATCTGGTTTTCCTCCCTCCTGGGTTTGACCCTACTTCTCTTTAGTGCTCAGTATGGGACACTGCCCTAGTTTTAGGCTTAAAGGAATCAGAGTCAAAAAAATAAATGTGCACCAATATGGATCACCACTTCTGGTCCTCTCTGTGCATTTACTTCAATAAGAATTTAAAAGGTAGATATCAGAGGACTCTACGTTTGAAACAACACACTTGTCCCTTCTCCATCTTCCCCCAGTTCTGACTGCCTCACCTCTCTCCCTGAACTCTGTAATGGTCCCCACTGACTACCTAATCACATTCAAATTTCTTTACCTGATACTCAAAGGACAGTCAAGATTCTAGGCTCTTCTCTCACCGTGAATGGCATCCAGACAGCCTCTGCTCAGACACCAGAGCCTCTGCTCAGACACCAGAGCCACTCCCACCTGTTGCTGACACAGGTGCCTCACCGCACCAGATCACAAACTGGCACACCACCTTCTTGTCAGTGCTACCTCCTCCTGCAGGTCTTGTTTGATGTCACCATCAACAGAAGGAGTCTCTTCCTCCTAAGAAGTTTCCTGGAATTTTGTTTTTTAAAAGCTAGTAACACACACACACACGAGTTCTGCAAGGCACACTATGAAAACAGTAGCTCCTGTCCACTTCAGTCTTCTAGTTCCCAGAGGCAATTATTTTCTTTTGATTGTTTTCTTTTGGTATTTATCTCCATACCTCTAAAGCTTATATTGCCACTTCTTGATTTTCCAGTTTTCAACATTGATTTTTCAATTTTTCCATGCTGGAAGAAGAGGATTTAACTACTTTCTACTATCTTTCCCCGTCACTCAATATCACACACACACTCCATCTCTCACCCCCACCCTCTCAATATTTTCACTTAAATCAATAATCAATATTTACATCATTATAATGTGCCGTGTGTCACGCATTGGCAGACGTCAGAACGTGCCGTGGGCCACGCGTCGGCGGAGCGCGGGAACGTGCCGTGGGTCACGCGTCGGCGGAGCATGAGAATGTGTTGTGTCACGTGTCATGTGCCATGTCACAGGGAGTATGCCGCGTGTCATGTGTTGTATGTCACATGTCATGTGTCAGGAGCTGCAGGCTGCATGTCCTCAGGTTTCTGGAGCCCAGCTGACAGCACTGGATCCTGTTGTGGGCATCTGGCTCTGTGATGAGGCACTGGCCTTCTCCATGCTCCACCTCCCAGGGCAGGCAGCCATGAAGCCGTGCAGACCTGACTCGGGACAGTGCTGGGGAGGAGGCCCTGGTGAGTGCCAGGCAAGGTTGCCGCCTGCCAAGTGGGTTGTTCTCCTGATCCGGCCCTTGCTGTGGGCCTGCGTGCAGAGGTCTCCTCTGCAGGGGACGGTGGGTGTGCATCAGCCACGGCGCTCAGCACAGAATACCCATGGCTGTGCAGCAGCTGGACCAGGGCATGTTGAATGAATGGACTGCCATGGGAGCTGCTCGCTGAGAAGGAACACTGGATAACCTGGGCACGGTCATCCTTCAAAAGCCTCAGCTTAGACAGCAGCGCCTCCAGACCCGCGTCCGTGGATGCACCCCACAGGGACCTCATGGCCAGCACTGCCCACCACTCCCGCCTCACCCAGAGCTAGGGAACCCTCTGCCCATGGTCCCATGGCTAGATGGCCAGGACCAGCCCCAGAGCTACGGGCCAATGGCAGCTCTCCATCTTTCCAGTTCTGGACCCTTCCAAGGCTGCTCTCAGCAAGGTGCCTTTCTCAGTGCTCCAGCTCCTGACAGGACTTCCTGCTTCCTCAGCCCCAGGCCTCAATCTGAACCCCTGTGCCTCTGAGTCTGCCTGACACCTACAGGAGCACAGACAGGTCTCCCCGGAAGTTTGGAGAACACTGGCGTGGGGAGTGGCACCTGCAGAGCTGGGGACCCACCTAGGCATCTTCGCCTCCTGGGCTGCTCATCCCCAGGGCCCAGGTCGGTAGCCTTGGTGGCTGGCAGCTTCCACTGTGGACGGCAGCTGACTCCAGGTGATGGCAGAAGGAGCTTCCCAGGCAGCCTGTTGAGCACCCACGAGGAAGCGCAGATGCTGGCGGCACCTATCTTTTCAAACTGCCCCAGGCCCGACGCCTTCCACTCTCCTGCCGGGTGCATGGAGCCACCGGGAGCAGCCGGCGGCCTTGGTGGTCTTGGCAGTCTCGGCGGTCTTGGTGGCTTTGGCGGTCTCAGCAGTCTCGGTGGTCTTGGTGGCCTTTCGAAAGGAAAGCTTCTCAAGAGACATACAACCCAGCCTCCTTGGAGCCCAGAGGGCCTAGAGCATCCGTGCCCAGAGACCACCCAGCTGCGGGCAGCTTGCAGACACCCGGGCACCCATGAGCACCCCCGGGGGGCCGGCGGACTCAGCCCTGTGTGTAAACAGATCGACACGCGTCAAGGCTGCATCCAAGGCCCGGCCTGCAGCCAGGAAACACCCGTCTGCTCAGAACGCACGGAGCCGACCATGAAATTAACCTCATGGCAATTGTTTTCCCACCCGTTTGATAGCCCAATGTCAGCTCATCTGTTAGAAGGAAATAAAAGAGTCAAGCCTAAATGTACAAAAAATTATGATGGAAGGTCCTAAATAAAGCAGGCTTATGGAGTCAAACATCAATCCATCAATAAGGGAGTGGATTAGGAGCACCTCATAAGCCCCAAAGAAATAATGTGCCCAAACACTGGGATTTCACAGTGGAGGACCAAATTCCAACACTTTTAGGAAGTAAATAATGAAAAATCAATTCAAAGAAAAAACAGATCAAGAACCCTGGACTCTGACACATTTATTGCTGAATACCATTTCTCGGCTGACCCAAAAACTTCGGAAGGTGTTTATTTACTTTCAACACCTTCCAGAGATCAATATTTTTAATTTGGATCCGAGTTATTATTTTTCACATCACAGCAGCGGGGAGCGGAGTAAAGTGGCTCATATTTTAGTGCTAAAAAGATCGATATGACAGTTTCACCTTCACTGCAGCCCCAGCCGCACATCATCGCGTCCCACGGGACTGCAGGTGCTGGGGCCGGGGAGCAGGTCATTACCTGCCCGCTGAGGAGACAGCCCGTGATTTAGGGGAGCATGAAGGGCCCGGTGCCCTCAGAAAACCAATCTCGCCCCCTCTCACTTCATCAGGACTGTCTTGCCCCCAGGCAGGTGAGGAGGCAGCGAGCCCCAGGGCAGGGCTGGAGCCCTAAGGCAGATGAGCTTCCTCATCATAAACGCGTTTGCCTTTCCTTCCCCTTCTCTGGATCAAAGAACATCCGTAAACTCCATCAATTTTCCATAAATTCTCCCTAAAGTCTTATTTAGGAGAACGAGAGTGGAAGGGGGAGCTCACAGAGGAGGAGGAGGGAAAGCAGAAGGGCCTCTCCCAGGAAGCAGCGGGCCTCTCATTCCTGGGCCACCGCTGGGTACTGGGGCCCCCCACCCCAAGAGCACCAGGGCCACTGCCTGGGGGCCATGCCGAGAGCCTGCCTCTTACAGACTACAGAGCTGGGGGTGGGGGCTGTGAGCTGCCGTGCACAGCACTTGCAAAGGGCATCTGTGCCCCACTTCACTCTCCACAGACCCAGCCGCGGGGGAGGCAGACCCTGCTCTGCAGGAGGCCAGAGCCCCTGGAAAAGCCTAGAAGCCACCAAGGCGCGAGCAGAGTCCACCATGGCAGTGCTTGCAGGTCACTCATGGTGCCAGCAGAGACCTGCCCTCCGAGGTGCAAAGGCAGCGCTAGCGGGTGGGAGAGGGGTAAGCCCCCGGTTGGTGACCAGCGGCCACGTGCTGTGGCCACTCTGCCCAGCAGGCCTTGCAGGCTCATAGTTCTGCTCCGAGCCCAAGAGCCTTGAGTGAGCAGGCGGCGCAGCTTAGCAAGTGCATGGGGCCATCCTGGCTGAGGCAGCCTCCTGCCTCTGGGGCTACTCCACACGGAGGTCTCCTACACAAGGAGCTCAGACTTCACTCTCTCTTCCTCAACGCCTCGGCTTGTGGCTGCCCCAGACCCAACTAGGTCATCGGACCCCAGGCTCAGGCCTGCCCAAGTCCCCACACAGCCCTGTCGCTGCTGTCTGCCCAGAGACTCCTGGCACATGGGGTCCCACGGTTCCCCACATGCACCATCTGGGCTGAGTGCCCAGGCCTGTGGAGCCCTGCTGCATAGGGAAGGGTGCACACGCCTCCGGGCCACCTGAGCAGCTGTGGAAGGGTCTGCACCGCCCTGGGCCCCTCCAAACTGTCTCCAGCTGCTGCATGTGAAAAATCCTCTCAGGAGCCCGGGGCAACCCTGCTTGGTGCCCTTCAGGACCGGCTCACCTGGCCCAGCTGGCTGGCTGCACCTCCAACCCCTCCTTCTGTCTATGTGGCCACAGAGGGGCTCAGGCAAGAGGCGAGGTGGGGCAGCCCGCACAGCCACCTCCTGTCCCCAGCCGCTCCTCCAACCCCCTCTTCTGCTGACTCCTTGACTCCAGCTGGGGTCCTGTGCAGCAGGTACCTTCCCAAGCAGGGGGGACCCTCCGAGGAGCAGGCACTCTCTGAGCAGGCACAGCTGGCGGGGGCAGGGGTGTCCCTGGAGGCAGTGTGTCCGCCAGGCCACACCTTCTCAGCCCTCTCCCGAAGCTATCTTAATTGTATCAGCAGATAAACCCTTCTGCTCCAACTTTAAGCCATTAAAAGGCATGGTTTCTTCAAACTTCTTCTGGGTGGGTGGATGAAGAGGAGAGTGGGGCTTTCCTTCTCACACCCTGACCCCACTGCCACCTTCCCTCTAGGAGTTCCTCCAGGTGGGTGGATGAAGGAGCTGCATGGAGAGAGGGTCTTTCCTCTTGCACCCTGTCCCCACTGCCAGCTTCCCTCTAGGGCTTTCAGTCCGGTCAGGACAGTCCTGGGCATGGGCCCCAGCAGTGCTCACAGCTCCCAGCAGGAAAGCTGCTGAAGCAGCCGAAGCTTTGAGAGGCCACGGTCAGTGCTGGGAGGCCTTGAAGAAGCTGCTGCAGGTGCCCACGCCAGGCCCTCCTGGCCCCACCAGTCTGCATGGGACCCATGCCCAGCCAGCCACAAGGCTTCAATGGGACTAGAGCCCAGGACACAGGCTGGGACCTACACTCAGGCGCCTGCAGCCCCACGCAGCCTCTCTGGGAGGGGCGGGTGACAAGCGAACCAGAGCCATGGATGGTAAGTCACCAAGCTGAGCTGGGAGGATGGGGTGGCCTTGGCTCCTACCAGGCCCCAAGCAAGCCTCAAGTCCCTACAGTAAATACATCTTCTGGGCTTCCCAGGTAGGCCAAATCAGCAGCAAAGCCCAGTGACAGGCCCCCCACCCCTCCCACTGCAGGGCTCCACTTCTGTGGTGAAACCAGATGCGGGTGACGTTAAACGAAAATGAATTTGCAACCTCTTCCTCACAGAACCCTCTTGGAAGCGGAGTTCAGGAAAGCCGTTACCCTGCGTCCTCTGGCCGACGTCGGCTCTCTGGGCGCTGACTGATGTGTTCTCGGAGCTCCCTGCGTGCCCGGCAGACAAGACACGGGATTTCTGTGCTGTTGGAGCTGTGGATCAATAGGCACTTGGCAGCCCGGGAAAGCCTCGCCCAGGCACTTCTTCAGTGTCGAGGCCTGTGTGGGAGGATGCACCGCGGTGGCTAAGAAATTTCTCTGGGTACCAACGTGGTACCGAGACCTCCACGGCGGGGCTAGCTCTGAGCCCTGTCTCCAGTGCTGTGGGTGGACATGTGTTCCCAGGGGTAGGGACACCAGGCTGAACCCAGGAGCAAGGGCTCTGACAAAGGCGCTTCAGGGATGAGGCACACAGACCGCCTGGCACTCAGGTGTCTTCCAGCCTGGCTCTCGCCACTTTTCCATTTTCCATGCGGGCGCAGAGCTCGGGGCTCAGCCTGGGCACCTCCTGGGGCCTTCTGCCCTGAGCCAGGCCCACCTCGCCTGGCGGAGTCGGTGCATGTCCATCCCAGACTCAGCCTCCCAAAGTGCTGGGATTACCGGCGTGAGCCACCGCGCCCAGCCTAATATCCTCATTTTTTAAGCATTAAAAGTTGCCTTCTGATCATCTCCGGTAGGAAACTCTCAGGCGCTGCGTGGGCGCCATCTCCTGGTGGCAATGGGCACCTGCAGGTCGCTCAAAGCCCCTCAGCCGCGTCCCCCCCACAGGCTCACGCGCCAGGCGCAGCTTCAGGTTCAATCGCCTTCTGGGAACAGGCCACTATTTTCTGATCCCTATTAATACCCGTGACAGCATTTATGTACAAGATAAATTCATTTCAATTTCCTTTTTCAATTAATGGCCTATTATTTGAACCAGACTCAGCTAAAAATATTGCTCCAATACCATCAATCTTGTAAAAATTAAATTTTCCTCCCTCTGACAGCCAGAGGGCACCTGGCTGGGGCAGGAGGGTGATTGTCTGGCTGGCCGCTGCTGCCCAGCTCTGCCCAGGACCCCGGGGAAGTCAGGCCCCGCCACACAGACACCCCGAGGGCCCCCAGCAAAGACCAGGCCACTGAGGCAGCCAGTGGTGGCCCAGGGGGCAGCGTTCCGAGGTCTGCCAGCCCAGTCTCAGTGACAAGACAGGGAGGACAGGCCCGCCTGGCACCAGCTTGGCATGAGCTAACTGGGCATCTGGGGCATCCTGGACCCTCCTACCTGCCAGGCAAGGCTGCCCTCCACCATCCACCTGGCCTAAAGCCTCACTCAGGGCCGTGGCTGTGGGAGAGATCAGGTCCGTGCCCAGGCAGGGAAGCCGGGGCTGGAGCCCACTGAGCTGAAGGGCGGCAGCAGAGGCACGGGAGCTCCTGCCAGGCCACAGTTCCCCGAGAGCAGGCCTGAGACCCACTCTCACTCCCAAGCCTTATCCTGTCCCATTTTCCGGAAACCCTCATCGTGAGGGTGACTGGAGGAACAGCCTCGGGGCCTCAGACACAGCACGGCTGCCTCTGGGTGGCCTGTTCAGCCGCCCTGGTGCCCCGCACCCTGGTTTCAGACATCTCAGAGACGTAATTGGGAAGCGTGTGTGCTGAAGAATGGGCTGCCAGGCCCACGTCACTGTCGGGCACTTTGAGGCACCAAGTACACAGCGGCTTCTTGAGGGGAGGGGCCCGGCCCAGCCCCTGTGCTTCCTCCCCTGAGAGGCACCTTTCCTTTGACGGGGGGCGCCGTGCTCCCCGCGCTGAAGGCTGCCGTACGATCTGCAGCGGGTGCAGACTATTTTGGCATCTCACAGATTTTGAAGGTTCTAGCTTTTCACATAATTTAAAATACCTTGTAATTCTCTTTGACTTGGGATTATTAACAAACAAGTTAATTTCCAAATATTTGAGACTTTTCCATATATCTTTTTTATTTACTTCTAATTTAATTCTTTTTGGTAAGAGAATGCGTTTGTATCCTTTCCATCTCTCAGAGGCAGGGGCAAGGTCTTTCTGGAACTAGACTCATGTGCCCTGGCGACTGTTTTGCTGGAACCACCCAGGGCCAGGGAGGAACCCTGGAAAGAAGGGAGAACAACCCCAGAGCTCGTACAGGCCTGGCACGGCCTGTGCCCGGCAGCCAGGTGCAGATGCCCAGATACGCACGCCAGGCAGAGTCTCGGGTGGACCTGAGCCCTTAAGCACAGGCCGCTCCGGACCCACCTGGAAAACCCTGAAAGCCAGGTGTGGAGGCAGCCGCAGCCCTCGGGGGCCTGAAGAAGGTAGCCAGGTGTGGAGGCAGCCGCGGCCCTCGGGAGCCTGAAGGAGGTTTTGCTGAGGCTTTCGCCCTCATGTGGAAAAACGTTTTGGTGGAAACAGAACTACAGCATGACGGCTGCCCCTCCGCCAGCCCATGTGTGCCTCGCTCTCAGGTATCCCAGCCAGGCTCGGACAGACGGAGAGGCCTGCTCTGGCCAGGGCCCAGCACGCGGGTGCCTTCTGTCGGTGGCTGCGTCCACCACTGCTCTGGCTGGAGAGCCTCAGATGCCAAGGGTGCGGGTGGCGGGCACTGCCCCTCCGCCCACCTGCACATCGGCCAGCAGGAGGGGACTGTGGGGTCCTCCTGCGGTGCAGAGCCTCCCGTCTCCACCCAGCCCTGTCGGTTTCGCGTCTAAGTGAGCTCTGATATTAGGGGCGCACGTTCACGACCGCTATGTCCTCCCAAAAAGCTGACCCCTTATCATCGTGAAATGACCGCTCTCAGCCCCGACAACACGCTCGTTCTGAGGGCACCCTGACATGCAGACAGCCACTCCTACTTTCTTCTAACGACTGTTTTACAAGGTACATCCTCCTCCGTCCCTTCACTTTTAAAATACCTGTGTCTTTATATCTAAAGGAAGCTGGAAAGAGCTGAGCGATGGTCCCCATGAGGAAGAGGTAGCTGGCGACTGGCACAGATGAGGCTCCCATGGCAGGGCAGCACGCAGAGACGGGGAGCAGAGCCCCACTCTTCCGAGGATGATGGGTGGCAAGGAAGGGCCTTCATGTAACTTGCTTTCAGCAATCGGACCTTGGCCTGCGTTGGTATGTTTATTCGGCTTGAAGCTTGTTGCAGTATTTGGATCTTTCTGTAAGTTTCATGGACTGATGAAGAAATCTGAGCCATGACATCTGTAAGCATCACCCTGTCTGCCTCCTTTCCCCGCTCCTCCTGGGGCTGCAGCCACACGTGTTAGGACACCTGGTATTTCACAGTGATTTCTATCCACTTTTCAGTCCTTCTCTCTGTTTCACTTTAATTTTGTGGCTGTCTTCAAGTTCAGTCACCTTCTCTTTTCTTCTGCAATGTCTAATTTGCTGCTCCCCCAGTGGTGTTTTTCTTTTTCATCTGAATAAGCCCCTACTTGGGAAACACATTACGTTGGGTCATGGCAGAGGAGAGTGAGAGGGTCAAGGAAGCTGCCATTTTATGGAAAGGATGGCAGAGCTGAGAGAAAGAAGCTGGTAGGGAGGAGGGACCAAGGGGGAGAGGGAGGAGGGACCAAGGGGGAGAGGGAGGAAGGCTGACAGGAGGAGCTACATCCTGAGCACAGGGGTGAGGGCCTTGGCTCTGGTGTGAGTGGGGGCCCCGTGGTCCCCGTGTGCCCCACAGAGCGTGAGGAGAGGCCGCTTGTGTGTGGGCAGCTGCTTGACAGGGCGAGGGTCGGAGACCGAACGGGGGATTCCCGGGATTGTACAGACTCCACTACTGGTGGGGACCACGCATGACAGCTGTGTGACCATCTCAGGGACAAGGACATTGATCAACTGGCACTGGATGCCCAAACAAGTGAGATGGCCCTTGAACCCAAACAGCAATGAGAGTCCCACCTGCAGGGCAGGGGGGCACTGGAGAGCGAGACCCTCAGCACTGCAGCCTACGGGGGCCCACCTGGGAGAGGGCAGATTAACAAGGGCCTGTCACGTGACGGCGCAATGACGGCTAGTGGGCGCTGATGCTGGGGACAGAAGGCCAGAGATGGGGGAGAAGGATGCAGGGCCTCTCCAGAGACGGGGGAGATGGAACCAGGCCGGGGGACCCAGGGCCTCCCCAGAGATGGGGGAGATGGACCCAAGCCGGGGGACCCAGGGCCTCCCCAGAGACGGGGGAGATGGACCCAGGCCGGGGGACCCAGGGCCTCCCCAGAGACGGGGGAGATGGACCCAGGCCGGGGGACCCAGGGCCTCCCCAGAGACGGGGGAGATGGATCCAGGCCGGGGGACCCAGGGCCTCCCCAGAGACGGGGGAGATGGACCCAGGCCGGGGGACCCAGGGCCTCCCCAGAGACGGGGGAGATGGATCCAGGCCGGGGGACCCAGGGCATAAAGACGGGATTTAAGACGTGGGTCTCTGAACCAACAGCAAGTTATTCACGACCTGCAGAGTGTCCCCTCCTCTGAGGAGCTTCCTGCCCCTTCCCAGACACCTGGTGCCTGTATCTCTGTGGCTGCCACGTCCACCAGGGCCACCCTCTCATGTGTCCACCTGACAGAGGACCGCAGAGGAGGGACAGGTCTTTCCCAGCCCTGTGGAAGGCTCTGTCCCACTCCCCCTGTGCTCACCCTGAGGAACAGCCTCTCTCCGAGGCAGGACACCGCCCCAGCCCTGCACACTCAGGGATCAGGAAGGGACGGACCCAGCATGGGAGCAGGGCTGGCGACGGTGGCTCTTGAAGCAATACCGGCTGCTGTCCAACCTCTCATCTACACGCCTGGAGCCCCGGACTCCCTCTTATTTTCATGCACGCTGAGGCCCTGGGCCTCTCCCCACCTGTCACTCCCCAATTCCCTCTTGGGCTTGGTCTGGAGCCCCAAGACCCTGTGCGTGCTGGGCCACCTTCCCTGCCAGGCCAGCCATGGGCTCAGACCACGAGCAGACCACCAAGCAGGCTGCGGGAGTGCCAGGCAGGGCAGCGTGAGTGAGGCTTCAGGCAGGGAGCACCCCGACCTCTCTCCATTTACACAGGAGAAGGGCTGGCTTCTGCCAAGGCCAGCCTGTCTGACCCCTGCACCAGGCAGCGGGAGGGACTCACCGTGAAGTGCTCCTGGGATTTGTAGTTTTCATCCAGGTAGACTCGAGCCCTGTTATATTCTTTCATCGCATCACTCGACAATAGTTCTCTGGAAGGAAGAAAGTAGGTTCCTGAGGAAAAGCCACACAGACGCCTTGCACCTCATGAGATGACCACAAGGTATAAGAGGGGCTCCAGCACATAGGTACATCACCGTGAGACCATCCACCCGTGACAGGCAGAGGGCAGGGAATGGCGGCAGCCACCGCAGGAGCTGGCCTCACGTTCAGCTCTCAGCATGTGCAGAGCTCAAGCTCCCACAGGCTCTGGTCTCCACGCAGCCTGTGAGATGCCGGGGTCTGAGGCATCCCAGGGATGGAGACATTGAGAACTCACCCAAGGTCTCATGCCAGGGAAGCGCAACTCCAAGCTCTGGGGGCTCTCCTGATAGCTCACGCTTGGTCTTAAGAGAGAAATTGGACCCCCAGTAGCCACCAGCACACACAGGTTGGGGCACATGCACCCCAGGGCCCAGGTAGTTCTGTCCCCATCTGCTCCTCCCAGAAGTGGCAGCGAGAATGGTGGTTGAGTTGCCACGGCCTTGCAACCACACAGGAGGGAAAGGACCTCTGGACACGCCATTGTCCCCGACCGTTCATCCTACTGGTCACATTTTATCATCAGGAAGGCCTTAAGGAGACAAGCTCACCACCATCTCCGCAAAGCATGGCTGCACAGGAGGCCACCGCACACCCCTGGAGCCCATGAACGGAGGACGAGGCCCCGTCTGCCTGGCCCCTCCACAGAGACAGTCCATCATCCCCCTACCCACGCATGCTTATTCAAGCCAGTGGGGAGAGAGGAGACCAGCACCCTGTGATCCAGCCAGTCCATGTGTCAGGAAGAAGGGGGGTCCACATTGAAGAAAATAAAACTGCACCAGTAGAGAAGGGCAAGGCAAAGAATGCCTTGACAGACCCACACTGATCCCCATGTGGCTTAACTGTTGGTAAACACAACCTTCAACACGCTTTAAAGGAAGAAAACAGGGCTCAAACACTAAACAACGTAACATTCGCAATGTCTGCCATCCTACGGAAAATAACTTGATATGAGAAGCAGCAACACCACGTGAATGTGTCCCGTCATCCTACGAAGAAGCCGTCAACAGAAACAGACCCGGAAGAGGCAAAAATGACGGAGTGAGCTGAAAGCAACTGGGAACAGTCATTGCAACTGTGACCAGACAGCGAAAGGAACGCACAGACGGAAGGAAAAGCGAGGACAGGGAAAGCACACGTGAGGCTTCTGGAAGGAGTGGACAAACACAATGTCAGAAATAAAACGAACTGACTGCATGGACCTAAGAGAAGATCAAAATCTGCAACAGAAAAGAGCCCAGCCACTTAAAAATACAGCAACAGAGGCGATCCAAACCGAAACACAGGGAAAATGAGCTGAAAACAATCAGAAGAGCTTTAGGGCCCTGTGGGGCAGAACCAGGCAATCTAACATCAGGTAACTGGAGCCTAAGAACAAAAGAGAAGGGAAGGAAAAGAAAAATAGTATTTAAAGAAATAATGGACAAGGACAAATTTTCCCCAAATTTGATTAAAACGATAAACCCACAGACTGCAAATGCTCAAACGGCCCCAAGCAAGATAAACATAAAGAACATCAAAGCAAAGTACAACATAATCAGGTTGCTGCAAACCAGCTATAAAGACAAAACCTAGCAGTGGAGGAAAGGGCACATTATATACAAGAAAATTAAGAGAGAACAATGGCGAGATTCTCGCCAGCAACAATGCAATACAGAAGACAATGGGGCGATATCATTAAAGTAGTGAGAGGAAAAAAAATTGACAAGCTAGAATTCTATTTACAACAAAAACAGCTTTCAAAAATGAGGACAAAGACCTTTTTCAGATAAACAAAAGCTGAGAAAATTCATGAGCAGCTGACTTGTGCTAAAATAAATGTTAAAGAACGTTCTTCAGGCAGAGAGAGAAGGGTGCCAGATAAAAAGCAGAATCCACACAAAAGGGCGGAGGGCACTGAAAGCCAGTGAACTGGTCCACACCAAGGGCGTTTCTCTCACGTCTTAATCTTTTAAAAAGAAAATTGTTTAAAGCAAAAATCATAACGCTGTACATTAGGCATAAAGCGCGGAGGAAGGAAACACACACGGCATCGCGGGGGCACAAGGCCGTGGGGGCCACACTCCACTGTGAAGCTCTCACACCAAACACGGCGGCATCGTTCCCGTCCGGCCTGCGGTGTCCCCGCCTGCTGTGAGGGCGGCGTCCTCCGTGCTCAGGGTGCACCCCCACTTTCTCTCCTCTGGAAGGTGCTTCCCAACAGGGGCTGCTTTCCTTCTCTTACCGACTTACTGAGTTCTTCATATATTTAAACACTCGTTTTTGTCAGTAAGGTGTGCTGCAGATATCTTTTCCCGAAGTGGCTGAATTTTGATTTTGTTTTGAGTGACTTCATTTTGAGTGACTTCATTTTGAGTGCCTTTTCATAAGCAAATGCTTAGTTCAAACATGGCCACATTTTTCAGCCTTCCATTCTGTAGGCTGCACTTCCTGCACATTTTAAAAGAAATCTCTCATCCCAAAACTATATTTTCTCCTATATTTTAGACTGAAATTTTTAATGTTGCCTTTTACATTTATATAATTAATACAACTGAAATTCATCTTATGTAGGGTGAGTGAGAAGTGGCTGCTTATGACACAAAGCAGGGATCCAATTTCATTTTTCCCAACAGGACACCAATGATGCCGTGCCCCAGCCCATGTCCCCACCCACCCTCCTCCAAGGCAGCCGCGAGGGTCTGGGTGGGGCCTCGACTCCGCTCTCCACTCTCTGGGCTGCGCACCTGCCTCGATCCGCTCTCCTCTCCGGGCCTGCGTCATGCCACCTGCCCCACTGCTTCTTCGGAATGAGCCTTGGGGTCGAGCTGGGTGAGAACCCACTTTGTTTTCCTTCAGGATTCTTTTAACTATTCTTGACCCTTTGCTCTTATATGGCAATTTTAGTATTAGTTTGTTGAGTGTTAGGAAAAATGCCGCTAAGATTTTGATTAAAACTGCCTTAAACTGGCCAGGCATGGTGGTTCATGCCTGTAATCCCAGCACTTTGGGAAGCCAAGGCAGGCAGATCACAAGGTCAGGAGATTGAGGCCATCCTGGCTAACATGGTGACACCCCATCTCTACTAAAAAAACACAAAAAAATTAGCTGGGTGTGGTGGTGGGCACCTGTAGTCCCAGCTACTCGGGAGGCTGAGGCAGAAGAATGGCATGAATCCAGGAGGCGGTGCTTGCAGTGAGCTCAGATCACGCCACTGCACTCCAGCCTGGGCAACAGAGCGAGACTCCGTCTCAAAACAAAAAAAAAAAAAGAAAAAAAAAATGCCTTAAATTACAGATTATTTTGGGAAGTTGTGGCAGTTTTTTTTAGCAGCTGAAACCACTTTGCTCTGCTCGAGGACCCTGCGCTGGGAGTTCAACACGGAGGGCTTATGTCACAGCAAGGATGCAGCGGCTGGGATCGCCTGAAGCCTCGCTCACACTCACACTGGCACCAGGCCGGGAGGGCTCGACGGCTCTGCCCACAGGTCCCGACTCCGGGTGGCTGCATCGACCCACAGAGCATGGCAGCAGCGTCAACCCACAGAGCGTGGCAGCAGCGTCGGCCCACAGTGTGTGGCAGCGGCGTCGGCCCACAGAGCGTGGCAGCGGCGTCGGCCCACAGAGTGTGGCAGCTTTGTGAAGCTCTGCGATGTTGGGGGCTGGTCCCAGAAGCCCTCATGCTGTGAAGAAGCCAGGGCTTGCCCAGGGTCTGGAGGTGGAGACGAGCCCCCAACATGGGAATGTGCCAAGGCCACACTGTAGGGGACACAGAGGGCGGGCTTCACGGCTGCGGCCTCGGGAAAATACAGCAGCCACTATTAGCAACAGCCTATAGGAGGCCCCATGTCTGAACACAAGCCTGCCTGCCCCTGCCTGCTCCTGTCCACTCCTGGATGCCCCAGGTCCGGGCGCCCCCTCTTCCCAGGCAGGACCCAGTTGGGCCGGCCCTGTCAGAAGCCTCAGGGCATGTACAGTGGGAATACACGTGGGGCACCTTCCTCCTAAACGATGGAGATTTCGCCCCCAAGGAGGATAGACGCTCCCTGCCGACCTCCTTGAGACAGACTGCGCAGTGGGATGTGAACCCCGGCCACCACAGGCCCAGGCCTCAGACACACACACACGGAGACGGCTCCACTGGTATCTGGGGCTCACGTCCCCTGGCCCGAGAGCACAGACCCTCGCCGTGTGGAGGCAGCAGGCTGTCACTCCGTGGCCTTCTGTCGCCGCCCCAAGGAGGCTCGTGGCCACACGTCTGGGCCACTCCTCTCTTTGGAAAACTGAGACTCAGCCAAGATGACCCCCAGGTGAGTCCCGAATGGTGAGGCTGGTGATCATAGTACCATGAAAAGACCCCCGCCGGCACCCCACACCCCTGGGAAGTGGACATGCACCAGCACCTGCCCCTAGACTTACTTGACGAACTTGTCCACGTGGGACATGGAGGCCTCGTAGTTCTTCCCTCCAAACTCCTGACAGTGCAAGGCCATGAAGTGCGGCTTGTGTGTGTGCACGACCTGGAGGGAGAGAAGCACACTGTCAGGGTCGTCGGAGCCGTCCACAGAGCCACACGTGGCACCACCCCCTCCACCGCCCCCACAGCCTGGGAGCCACCAGGGTCTGGCAGAGACGGGGCCCCATGTCTGCGACCATGGGTTCTGGACAGATTCTAGGAGTCACGTCGCCTTTGTGCTTCCAGTTATTTATATTTCCAGTGCTTTTCATTTTCCCATTACTGTAAATTCCATAGAAAAGAGTCCAGATTTCTCAGAAGCCTCTTCAATCATCTAGAGGCCTTATTTCTAGTTAAAAAAATGTTATGCGTGTTTACTGCAGAGCCTCTGGGAGCCTCAAGATCAACTGGTCACAATCTCACCAGGAAGGCAGCCATTAGCAACACCCAGGCACAACCCCAGCAAGGGTGCACACGTGTGCATACGTGTGCGGGAGCACGTACCAGCACGCGTGTGCCGGAGCATGTGTGTGTACACATGTGCCTGTGTATGCATGTGTGTTCACGTGTGTAGGAGCCAGGCACTCCGCCGCCTGCTCACAGCCTGGGAGGACGCCGACACACAGCAGCAACTCACGCAAGGCCACTTCCACTAAGTGGCAGAGCCGGGAACCTGAGCCTGGCATCACGGCCACTGGTGCCCCTGCCCCGCCCGCCCCATCAAGGCTCCCAGGCCCCCGACATGTCTCTGAGGTCCCCAGCAAGGATTCTGACTCAAGCAATCACCGCTGCAGCGTGCTGAATCTGTCCCAAACTTTTACAGCTAAAGAGCAGTGCAACAAATATCCTTGTCAGTGCGGCTTCCTGTGTGACCTGGCGGCTTCCACCATGAGGCTCTGAGAGGACGCGCGGGCAGAGAATTCAGAGAGCGGATGCAGTATCGACATGGCCTCCCCTCCTTCCAGGTCCCCGTCTATCTCCCACTGTCAGTCCAGCCACTGCCCCACACCGCACACCTCGCCACTCATGGGAGTCCTGACAGGCCAGGACACGAACCATCTCACCTGGCAGGAAACCCTGGGTGGGACACATGTGAGGCAGTCGGGGAGCCCCATTTCACTTGAGCAGGATGAGGGGTGAGGCACTGATTGACCCCGCTCCCCTGGAACACAGGATGCGCAGCGCTTCCAAGGAGCAAGCCCCGACAGGGCTCTCTGTCTGGTGCCGGGGTGGTGGTGCTACAACAGCCACTGAGGGCCCAAAAGGACGAGCTTCCTTGGAGGAGCGGAAAGGCGGGGAGAGAAGGGGCCGGTGCTGTCTGTGCTGGGCTTGGGAGCCTGGAGGTGCTCACGACGACACGGCACTCACTGTGAGCCAGGTGGAGCTGTGGGCATGGCCCACCTCCCAGGAGCCCAGCGGCCACGGTCCAGGGCGCAGCTGAGCAAGTGGGCAGCCAGCAAGGGACGACGGGCTCAGGCTGGGGAGACAGAAATGGTTCCAACCAAGCCCGGCGGACAGGCCCTGTCTGTGCTGCAGGTGAAGACGGGGCTCAGGCTGGGGAGACAGAAACAGCTCTGACCAGGCCCCGTGCACAGGCTCCGTCTGTGCTGCAGGTGGCAGCGGCAGCAGGAGACAAGGGCGGCCGTGCCTGAGTTCGCAGCCGCCTCTGCGTGGATGCACCGAGTGGGCCCCTCCCTCCTGGGCGTGGGCGTGGGCTCCCCGGGCACTCAGGAGGCCAGACAGCCCACTGCCTTCAGGCCCAGGCAGTGCACTTCTCCCTAACAGACGGCCCAACGTGGTTCCCAAGGGCCAGCTGTCCCTTTGGGCTGTGCTCAAAACAACAGAAGTTCTGAAAACAGACAACCCTTGGTGCCGGTGGTCTGAGTGTTTCCGGTGGTCTGGTTCCAGCTGTCTTGATGCACAACTCTGGTTTTGTTGTGGTGTCCGAGGGTGGGGGAAGAGTGGGTGGGCTTGAGATCTGCCACGCCTCCCTGGCATGGAAGAGGCCTGTGTCTACACGCCCTAGGACACCACGGGGTCACCAAGCTCCGGAGCCTCCACGACCCCCTGTGAGTGGGAGGCGATGTCAGCACTCTCCTCACTCACAGGGCGCCAGGACCCAAGGTGATGGAT